>NC_000024.10:25456230-26064722 GCF_000001405.40 Homo sapiens
CCAGGGCCCTTTCCCCTCTGTGCTTTGGGCAGGTCCACGCATTGAAAGAGGGGAAGCAGCATGAGATACATTGGGTACAGAAGCTTGGGAGGAACTTGTTCAAACTCAAAAACCAGATGGTTAAGATGGGACTGGCATGACCTAGGAGCAGGACTGGCATCAGAGGGCTGTGAGGGTGACTTAGAATGCCCCAGGGAGGAGGGTGGATGGAAGGGCTTTGAGGCAGAGGGAAAGAGGTCTGTGCCAGGAGATGGCAAGTCTTGTCATCTCCATGAACCTCAGTGTCCCTATCAGTAAAGAGGGAGGAGTGCCCATTGTCAGCCACCCACAGTGCTCTCTATCTGAAAGTGACTTTGAAGATTGGCTACCATCCGGGTGTGAGGAGTCATTAGCAGTGAGGCCAAGTTTGGGAAGCCTGAGAGGAGGAGCTGTCCAACAAAGGGAGGTTTTTTTTTTTTTTTTTTTTTTGAGAGTCCAGAGGCCCTTATTGTCTGCTTCCTTTCTCAGCTGAACCCCTGGCCCCAGAGCCCCCAGCAGGGCCCTCTGAGGTGGAGCAGCTACAAGATGAGACCAACCACCTAAGGAAGGAGCTGGAGAGTGTGGGAAGACAGCTCCAGGCTGAGGTGGAAAACAATCAGATGTTGAGTCTCCTGAACAGGAGACAGGAGGAGAGGCTGCAGGAACAGGAGAGGCTGCTGGACAAGGGGTAGGAGCTGCTGGAACAGGAGAGGCTTCAGGAGCAGGATGAGAGGCTGTGGCAGCAGGAGACTCTGTGGGAGCTGGAGAGGATGCTGGAGCTGGAGTGGGAAGCCCTCTACAAGCAGCAGGCCGAGCCCCACAGCAGCTTTGAGGAGCTGGTGTGTTGCCCCACCTGGGGAGGCTGCCCTCTTCCCTAGCCCTCAAGGTGGGGAGGCTGCCCTCTTCCCTAGCCCTCAAGGCCTTTGTTTCCCCACCTGTAAAATGGGGCATTGTGGCCTTCATATGAAATGGTACTTCTAAAGGCACCTGTGAGCCAGAGCCCTGCTCTGATGGCTGTGGGAGAGGGTATGATTTTTCTAACCTGCCTCCACCCTTCCTGGTGCCATGGGAGGCAGACACCAAGTTCTGGGGTCTCCAGTTTTAGTGGGTGGCCACTGATTGCTTCTCTCTGTCCAGAATAATGAGAACAAGAGTGCACTGCAGTTGGAGCGGCAAGTAAAGGAGCTGAAGCTTGGTGAGCTGAAAGAGACGGTAACCTCTGACCCATCTAATAATGGTTGGGAGGCAGTCACCAGCCTCTGGGAAGGGGAGGTGCCAGGACAGAGGCAGCTGCAGCCTGAGGACAGGTGACCCCAGCACCCTCCAGGGTAGTCCTATGACTGTTTCTTGCTTCCTGCCCTCTGACGTTTAGAGGTGGGTAGCCCTGGGCTCCTCCCAGGTCTGGACATCATCATCCCAGCTAGAGGCATGGAGCCCCCCAATCACAGAGGAAGAGACAGTGGTATAAGAGGCTCCTTGGTGAGGTGTGGTGGCTCACACCTGTAATCCCAGCACTTTGGGAGGCTGAGGTGGGACAATTACTTGAGGTCAGGAATTTGAGATCAGCATGGCCAACATGGCAAAACCTCATCTCTACTAAAATTAAAAAAATAATAATAATAATTAGTGGACCTGGTGGTGCATGCCTGTAATCCCAGCTACTCAGGAGACTGAGACACGAGAATCACTTGAGCCCGGGAGGTGAAGATTGCAGTGAGCTGAGATTTCAGCACTGCATTCTAGCCTGAGACACAGAGTGACACTGTCTCAAAACAAAACAAAACAGAAAAACCAGACTCCTTAGATTGAAAGTGGATTGCGGCCTCGGTTCCACTGGTCATAATTCAACTACTTTGCATCTCTAAGTCTCTGTTTAACTTCAAAAGGAAGTTAGCCTTTTCCTTGTGGAGGTGCTGAGGATTAAATGAGATGATACGTGGAAACATTAGGTATGTGGCACACTTAGCAGATGGTGGTTGGCTCCCCCTGCTTTTCCACCAGTCTGTCGCCTACAGTTTAAATGCTGGGAAAAAAGACATGAGATTTGAGGCTGTGGAAGGAGGCATGGGGTTCTAGGCAAAGGAGGCAGTCTCGTAGGCCTGGAGCAAGGGGCCAGGGGACTGAGCAGGCCACAGAGCCCCACAGTGTCCTTGCTACCCTATTAATGGGCCAGGAATCTGGAAGCCAGCCACCACATGCCCTCATGCCCAGCGTCTTCCTGCACGTGGAGCTGAAGAGCCAAGAGGCTCAGAGTCCACAGCAGCAGCAAGACCAGTACCTGTGTCACCTGCAGCAGTTCGTGGTCGCTTAGTAGCAGGTGGCTGCTTATCAGCAGCTGGCCTCTGAGAAGGAGGTGCTGCACAGGCAGTTACTGCTGCAGACCTGGCTCATGGACCAGCTGCAGCAGGAGGAAGCTCAGGGCAAAGCGGTGGCTAAGATGGCCCACCAAAAGTTGCAGGAGACCCAGGGGAGGGAGTTGTTGAGGACAGGGCTCCAAGAGGGACAACCTGGCAACCTCTGTACCTTCTCACCCTCTTTCCTGGCCCCTTAGGAGAACCTGGAAGCTACCAGCCAGCAGAAACAGCAGCTAAAGCCCAGTTGAGCCTCATGGCTCTCCCTGGGGAAGGTATGGGAGACCACTCAGAGGAAGAGGAGAGAGCCCCAGGAGGAAAGGGGGACTGTTAGCAGCGTAGGATTGAGGAGTTGGAAGAGACCTTTAAGACAGCTGGTCATTATGCCAACTGGGTGTCCGTACTAAGTTCGGTATCAGTATGGTGACCTCCTGGGAGCGGGGCCATCGGGTTGCCTAAGGATGGGAGAACTGGCCCAGGTCAGAAAGGGAGCAGGTCAGAATTCCTGCACCAGTCGGTAGTGGGACTGTGCCTGGGCAATATAGCAAGATTTTGGTTCTTAAAAATAAAGAACAGCGCATTCCCCTCTGGGGAGGGGCTGGCTCAAGGTTACACAGTGAGTGTAGGGGCAGAGGTGGGCCCACTGTACCTCCCTTGTTGGGTTGTCTGAGGACCCCTCTGGCCACCTCCCACAGGATATGGAGGAGGACATCTGGACAATGAGGAGGAGGCACCTCGGCCCATGCTGAACATTCCAGGGGACCTGGAGAGCCGGGAGGCCATGGTGAGCCTGACTTTCCCTGCCCCTACTTTGCCACCTTCCTCTGTAGTCCCTCTGAAACCCCCTTATGTTCTTGGTTTCCCTGCCTTCTGACTTCTGTGGACTTTCTCTCCTTCCGGGAGCCAGTGGTCAGACACCATTTCACCTGTGACCAACAGGTGCACTCTGTGAGGCCCAAAAGGAAGGGGCTGTGCTCCATCTCCCTGCCCTGGTTGTTATGTGTATACCCCTACAAGAGTACTCACCTCTTGCCTTCAGGTGGCATTTTTCAACTCCGCTGGAGCCAGTGCCCAGGAGGAGCAAAGCGTGTGCTGCCAGCCCCTGGCTCACCCAGTGGCCTCATCCCAGAAAAAGCCAGAGGCAGCGGCCCCAGCCCCAGAGACTGGGGGTGAATCTGTGTGTGGGGACACCCACTGGGCCCTGCAGGAGGCCATGGAGAAGCTGCAGGTGAGTAGTCCTGGCATGGGCCAACAAGGGTGGGGTCGGGACAAGGCAGGTGACTCCTGACATGTGACCCCATTATTTTGGCTCCACAGCAACTTTATGGAAGGAGAAGATGGACCTGAAGGAGCTGGTGGAGAAACTAGAGCTTCAGTTCATCCACCTCTCAGGACAGACAGACACCATGAGTAAACGAGAGGCCAGGGCATGGCAGGGGGAGCTGCAGGGCCATCTGAGGGGCCCCAGCATCTGAGCCGTGTCCTCCTGCAGGAAAGTACATCAGCCAGGGGGCAGTGCCAAAGACGCAGCACTGGGAGAGGAGGACATCGTCAGGCTGGCCCAGGACCAGGAGGAGATGAAGGTAGGGTGTGCAACATCTCTGTGGGGGTGGGAGTGAATGTCGGTGCTGGCACCGGCATGACAGCTAACACCCCTTCCTCCAGGTGAACCTGCTGGAGCTGCAGGGGCAGGTGTTGCAGCTTGTGGGCGACCACAATGAGCAGCATGGCAAATTCTGACCATTGCCCAGAACACTGCTGATAAGCCCACTCTAGGAGCCCCAATCGCCCAGGAGCTTGGGTGTGCTGACAAGCAGGGTGGTGAGTAGAGCCCTCAGGCGGGGTGGGCAGGCAGGAACAGGGGAGGCTCGCACTGTGCTCAGATTCCCACTCCCCTCCCTCTCTCTGAAGATCTTTGTGAGGTGAGCCTCACTGATAGCGTGGAGGCTGCACCAGGAGAGGACAGGGAGGGTGCTGTCACAGCACCCAGGCAGTCCACCCACAGTTCAGACCAATGCTCAACCCCCTCAGGGTTCCGTCTTCTCTGGTCACCATCTTCCAACCCACTGGCCCAGGGCCACCTCTTGCTTGGGGAGCCCCACCCAACAGCCACCAAGCCTGACAGAAGGAACACTGCTTGAACCAAAATGGTGAAGCTATAAGGGATGGCTGGCTGGAGTGAGTACCAGAGGCCCCTCTGGGCCGTCTGAAAGCCCAGGGTCTTCTGAGGGACCCAGGGGAAGGCAGGAAGGGCAGGTAGCTTGATGCCATTGGCCATAGACTTCTAAGTCTAACAGGGGAGCCTCAACTGGTTGGTGGAGGGCTGCAGGTTGCATAGGTGAGGCTGGGCCCTTCCTGCTGGGAAAAGCAGAAGAGGAAGACTCCATGGCAGGAAAGGGAAGTGAGCTCTCTAGGCGGAGCTCAGCTGGGCCAGCATGCACTGTGGTCCCCTTGGCTGAATAGCACAGGCGAACCCTAGAAGCAACAGGCCAAGGTGCATGAGCCTGCTGGCCAGCAGTAGTGCTTCAGCAGGGGCCAGGGTCCCTGCCTTCAGTCGCATGCTAGCAGCTATCATGGTACCTGGTAGGGAGGGAAGGGGGCTGTGTGTCCTTCCATGGCCTATGAAGTGTGTTGTGGGATGACCATGTGTATAGGACTCTCAGGCTTTTATCCTAGATCACCACTGAATTGCTGACAAATAGAGGATGTGGGACCCTGACTACCACCCCTAATCTGCAGTGGATTTGGCTCTCAGCACTCCCAGGCTGGGAGCTGGATCCCTGCCCTGGCAGCATGACTCAGACCACACGACAGGTACGGCATGCCCAGTATGATGTTCCCAGGTCTCTGGCCGCCTGAGTCCAGCCCCTCACACAACCCCCTCGAAGCTCCCAGCCCCTACACCATAAACCATGAGCTCTGTGCCCTCTCTGATGGTTCCATGTCTGCCAGGTTGGGCATGGAGCCCCCAGGCTCAGCCATGGAGACCTTGAGCAGTGGCACTGAGTCCCATGGCTCACAAGGAGGGAAGTGAGACAGCCAGCAGCACAAGGACAGAAAAAGGAAAGAGCAAGTCTGCAGCTCCAGAGGGAAGGGGCAGGCCTGGGGGTGGGGGACACACACGCACACGCCGGAGTGTGCACACACATGCTGTGAGGCCCCACGGCCCGCATGCACACGCTAACACACATGCCCACAAACAACACGCATACGTCGCCCTCCCCACCACCTCCCGGTGCCCAGCACCCTCACCGGCCGGCACGTGCTGCATGGATCTGGGGTGTGCAGCCACTCGGCACACTGAAGTACATGCGTGGGCAGAGTCACAACACAGATGCTCACCCGCACACAGAGGCATGTGCACCAGCTCCCTGCACACTCGTGCCTGGCGTGCTCAGAGGACCACCCATGCTGCTCAGGGAGACAGGGCTTGCTCACTAATGTCCGGCTGTCATTTCTCCACCTAAGAGCCTTCCATGGCTCCCTACTGCCTACAGCATTGAATCCCAACAAGTCATACTCTTTGGACTTTGAAGGTTCTCCACCCGGTGCCCCACCCTCCCCACAGAGCTCTTCCTCATTCTGTCTCTGTTCCCTGCTTTGGCCAGTGGCTATCCTCAATGTGACCCACACTACACTTCTGCCCACACTGCAGCTCTTTACCCAGTTACCCTCCAGTTCCTCACAACGTATGCCTATCTCAGTCATGCCCCGGACTGCATTGAAGCCAGGCTGCCTTGAAGAAACTCTCCCAGACTGCCCTTTTCCCCAAGGCAGGGTCATGATTTGCCAAAGGTTTCGTGTGTGTTAGCAAGACTGGAGTCGGAGCAGGCATCAAACTTTGCATCCCATATGTCACACCTCACCATAGACCTGGGTGCCAAATAGCCTGAAGAGTCTGAACTCATGTTGGCAGTTAGCAAAGTGCTCCTACGGCCACATCTGCAGTTAACATAGTATCCCTATGGCCACTGTCTCCCTTGATCCCCACAGCCATCCTAGGAGAAAGGCAGAACGTCATTTGCTAGAAGGGATGCTGAGGCTCTGGGAGGGAAAGGGACTTGCCTAAAGCCCCAGGGTGAAGCAGCATCTCTGGACTCTCATAGACAGCCTAGAGCTGCTAGCATTCCCTTAGGATCTGTGCCCTTGGGCCTGGATTAATTTTTTCCTCTGCAAAGAGCCATCTGTAGGGCTAGAGGCTGGCAAAGCCTGACTTATTACTGGATGCCAGTTCCTTTGCCTGACTTTCAGCGATTTCTACCTTACGCTCGGGTTTTATGTTGCTTGTCTCAACACTATCACTTCTCATTCCTCCACAAGTTGAATTGCTCACTCCAGCCACTTGAAGCATGCTGTTCTTAACACAGTTAGCTCTAGGCACATGGTTGGTGCTAAAAAGGAAAAAAAAAGAAGATCGTTATGTCAATTTCATTGATTAACAAAAGCGATGGCTCCACTGCAAAGCAAAGTTGATACTCCTGGGTTCAAGAGCCTTTTAGACAAATGGATCTGAGCTAAAACATGATCATGCACTCATATGCATCTGTCTCGGTCTGATGAGATAATCTGGATACTTGGTTGTTATCCTTCAGCATTTTCCTGCCTCATTAATGCATGTGTAGCCAGCACAATAATCATCATAGCTAATAATGGCTACAGCTGAGGGCTTTCCTGAACCAGGCAGTGGTTTTAAAAACTTTAACCCCTAAAGCTGAGGACTTTCCTAAGCTAGATAGTGGCTTTGAAAACTTTAAAGTTTTCACATAGACTGTCATTGAATAATTTCTGTTTTTCAGATCAAGAAACTGAGACTTACTATCACATTTGGGATTAAGCTAAACAAAAAAAAAAGAAAAGAAAAGAAACAGAGGCTGAACGCTGTTAAGTATTTCACAGCCAGCAGGAAATCAGAACTTGAACCCAGGCAGTCTAGCCCTGGGATCCTTTGCCCTTACCCATTATCCAGTGTTGGCTACACAAAACTAATGGGTACATATTTTCAACTATAGTGTAAGTGGGTGACATATTTTTCACTATATTTTATGTAGGTGACTTTCAGTTTGGGGGTATTCTACTTACACAATCTATTGAGCTGGATATTAACTGAGAGCAAACAGAAACTAATGAACTCTGAAAAACATAAAACATGAGCAACATGACATCACTGCAAGAGACAAAACAGCACATAGCCTTCTTGTGACTGTATTTTGCTGACAGTCCATGAGCAGATAGCCTGAACTCAGCAGTGCTGTTCCCTTGGGAAACACACACACACACACACACACACACACACACACACACACACGAGTTGGTGGTTTTCTGCCTCCACCCCCACCCCAACACACACACGGGTTGGTGGTTGTGCTGCCCGGAGCCTCCAGTCCGCGAGTGTGAAGAACGGACCAGATGGGTCCAACAGTGCTGGGTCAAGGCGAGGAGGGGGCAGCCGGAAGCGGGCGCATGCTCTGGACTCCTGCAGCCGCCGAAACGGGTGCGCAGGGGGCGCGCGGTTTGAGGGGTGAGGGGTGACGGGTGTGAGGGGCGAGAGGGACGGGAGCAGGCTGGGGGCAGCCCTTTCCCAGGCGGTAGCGGGGGCTGTGGTGCTGTTGCCCTTTTAAGCTGCGGCTTGACAGGAGCAGCGCCTCCTGTCGGTGGAGTCTGTTAGAAGGGGAGCAGCCGCCCAGGCCTCCACACAGCTCCCCGCAGAGGCCTTGGTGCCCCTTGCCATTTTCCAGCCCTACTGTGACTAGAGTTGAGGCAGCAGGGAGAGGCGGAGCTGGGAGAGCACCGCCGAGAGGTCCCGCGGGTGGTTGCGGCCGTCACAGCGGCTCCCGACGGGCTCACCTTCGCGCCCCACCTGCCAGAGGTGAGAATAAAATGTCCGTGTGAGGGTTCAAGGCCAAGCTGAAGTTGTTGGACTCTATCTTCCACAAGAACCAGGAGCCGCTGCCGCAGCTCATGCTCCACTGCAACATCACGTTGAGGCGCCCAGTGGCGGCCTCACGGGGCAGGGCGAGGGCGGAGAGGAGGCGCCCAGAGTCCCGGGACAAAGGGGAGCCTGCCCGGGAGAGGCCCCGGTTCCCCAGGCGGGGCGAGCGCGCCCCTTTCTCCCGCGACTGGCCCGCCCCGCTGCGTGAGGCTTGCGTGGGAGGAGGGGGAGGGCGCGTCTCTCTGGCTCCTTGCCACGGGGCTGGCTTGGGGGCTGCTGGCACCTCTCGCCCCAGTCGCTGCGCCCTGAGGTGGGAGCCCGCGTCGCCCGCAGCCCTTTTGGGGCCCATGATCGCCCTCAGTCAGCTAGCCTGCTCCCCTGGACCGCGACGGGGCGTGGCAGGGTGGCTCCCGCTGTTGTTTGAGCCCAGTGAGGGAAGGGGAAAGGCCTTTAAGATTTTCGTTTTTTTGGCCGGGTGCAGTGCTCATTCCTGTAATCCCAGCACTATGGGAGACTGAGGTAGCTGGATCTCCTGAGGTCAGGAGTTCTAGACCAGCCTGGCCAACATGGTAAAACCCTGTCTCTACTAAAAATACAAAAATTAGCCGGGCATGGTGGCAGGAGCTTCTTGAGATGGAGCCTCACTCTGTCGCCCAGGCTGGAGTGCAGTGGGGCGATCTCGGCATACTGCAGCCTCCATCTCTTGACAGTCCGTGGGTTCAAGCGATTCTCCTGCCTCAGCTTCCCGAGTAGCTGGGATTACGGGCGCCCGCCACCACGCCTGGCTAACTTTTGTGTTGTTTAGTAGAGACGGGGTTTCATCATGTTGGCCAGGCTGGTCTCGAACTCCTGACCTCAAATGACCCATCTCTGCCGCCCAGAGTTCTGGGATTACAGGCCTGAGCCACCGCGCCCGGATCCAAGGCCCTTAAGCTTAAATGCCTCGTTCTTCAGTCAGGTTTTCCTTGTTCCCGCATGTTCAGCCAATCGTGTTTAAGGAGAAACTAACAATGAAAACGGACTCGTTGATGGAGGAAAAGTTGGAATGCAGCCTCTGGTGCTGTTTGAGCGATCCCTCTATCCCGGGTCGCTGCTGTGTTCTGGAAAGGCGCATTGTACCCTGGATGCAGCAGGTAAGAGTCCTGTCCAGGTGCTCTGCCCGCTTTTCCTTTCAGGCTTCTGTATCAGCTGTTTTTCCCCTGTAGAATGTGCCCCTGACAGCCACCCGCTAACCCTACCCAATTTGTCTTTACGTGTCTGACCATCAAGGCTCTTCTGGGTCATATTTAATTCATGCTGATATTTCCCCTTCCTCCCCTCTTTAGTCCTCACTATTTTTGCTTTGGTTATGTTATGCTGTATTCTGTAAGGCTTTAAAAAAATTTTTATGGTGGCAGGGGAGAATGTTTTATAATTATGCTTTGTGCTTTTTATCTTCCACTCAATAAATGCTTAGTAAATATTTGTTTTATTGGATGTATGAGCCTATTCTACCTATATTGTGCTTGAAAAAAAATCTTAACTGCCTTGTAAGTTAACTGCTAAGAATTTGTCAAAAGTGCAGACATAACATCAAGAACTTGTCATGGATAGTACAAAAAGGTCTCTAAGGGCTTGATGGAAGCCTGTAAATTGACTTCCTATGAAAGAGAGTGTAAGAAGTGAAAATGTAAAGCATGACTGGAGAGCCAGAGTGATGAAGCCAGGGTCCCTTTCTCCAGATCCTTTGTAACAGTGTTATGTGATCTCTTCTAGAAGATCATTCTGAAAGATAATGCCAACTCAGAACCTAGGAAACCATCCAGTGGGTTTCTGCAGCTTAGGTGTTTCCAATCCTCATCAGCACGGTAGTTTTCTCTGCCTCAGTTTGCTTACAATGATGTTCTCAGTAGCTACAATTGCTTTCTGTCTTTGAATACTTAAGCATTTTTTTTTTAGATGACAGGGATATATGTGCATTTTTATTTTACCGAGTGTTAGAATTTTTACTCTGCTTTTGTGGGCTCTGGGTTAGCTACTTGGTTGTTGTAAAATGATTAGCAGGGAAAGCTCTGTGTGTGTGTGTGTGTGTGTGTGTGTGTTTTAAGTTTCTTTTGTTGTCAGAGGACTTCGAATTTTATTTTATATGGTAATTCTTTCAATTTACTTTATTCTCCACCCCACATTTATTGAACAGCAAAGTATGAAAGTAATGTGTCCCATAAGCAGCCTTCAGAAGAATTACAACTGCTTTATATCTGAAATTCTTTTTTTTATTTTTTATTTTGAGATGGAGTCTCACTCTATTACCCAAGCTGGAGTACAGTGGTGCAATCTTGGCTTACTGGAACCTCTGCTTCCCAGGTTCAAGCAATTCTCCTGCCTCAGCCTCCTGAGTAGCTGGGATTACAGGCACCTGCCACCGCACCTGGCTAATTTTTGTAGCTTTAGTAGAGACAGGTTTCACCATGTTGGCCAGGCTGGTCTTGAATTCCTGACCTCGTGATCTGCCTGCCTCAGCCTCCCAAAGTGCTGAGATTACAGGTGTGAGCTACTGCACCTGGCTGAACTTTCAAGAAGAAGTTTGTGCATCAGTTTTCAAAAAATTATGATATCAAAAGATAGCTGTGCCCTACATTTGGAAAGATACAAAAACTGAACATACTGGCAGGCAGTTTTGCTTGCTGGTGCTTGAGATAGAGGCACACATTGGTCTCGGTGGAATTATGGAGAAAAATAGATAAAGTTATTTCTAAATAAGACCAAAAAATCCTTTTCTTAAGCAGTGACAGGTAAAGAGGTTGTCTTGACTAACCTTCAATTGTGTTGCCCTTGCTTGAGACCGTTTTATGGTGGGGATGGTAGTGGTGATAAACTTGCTGGAAATTTGTCTGCTTATAGTAACCTTTGTGGTAGCTGTCACAGACAACTTCATCCTCACAGGCCTTGAAATTAGTATAAAACCAGCAGAATGGAGGAGAAACAAAGGACCTGAATAATTAGATGCTTAGATAATTGTTCTGTGTTTTCATAACTGGTGAAAAAGAGCAGTATTAGAAGCACTTACACATTCTATATAAGGAACACTGCCTGAATTTATATTGTGATTTTTGAGCACCATTAACTGTTTAAAAACAGGCATATTGTAGGTAATATTTTAAAGACAAACAGAAAATTTATCTTTTCAAGATGGATCTAAAACTTATCAAAATTACAAAATTTAAAACGTGATTGAAAAATATTAATGCATAGGTTTAAATATTGGTCATTTTAAATGTCTTTCAAAATAGATTGTCTCTTAAATATTAAACTGAACAAACTTTGAACATGTTGTAGAGTTTGTGCCGAAGGTTAAATTTCCTGGGGTGATGGATATTTTGTAATATGAACAACAAAACCTTCTTATTTTAAGAAATTTAGAAAACTTTTAGGCAAAACTAGAAAATACTACCTATGTAATTCTACCACTCAGCAGGTGCCACTGTCAGAAATTTGTATCTTTCCAGTCATCTGCTCTTTTCTCCTGTGCTTGTATATGTTTCCTCTCCCTTAAAAATCAGATATTTGTTTGTAATCTGCTTTTTCACTCAACAGTATTGTAGATCCATGTTATAATTTACTCCTCTACATTGCCTTCAGTTATTGTGTGCTTTCTGTTGGATGACTGTACCATGTAGTCAGTCATGTTTTCTGGTACTGAATGCATACGGGTATGTGTGTGTGTGCGTGCACTTGTGTGTGCGTATTTTTTTGTAACTTAACTAATGCTTTAGACATGAGTAGGTAGACCTAAATCCTTGAAACCTTCCACGTGGTGACTTTCAGTTCTCATTGCTGAATTTGTTTCCAGAGATGGAAGAAATTATATTGTATGGGAACTTTTTTTTCTTTTTTTTTTTTTTTTTTGAGATGAAGTCTTGTTCTTGTCGCCCAGGCTGGAGTGCAATGGCGTGATCTCACTGCAACCTCCACCTCCTAGGTTCAAGCAATTCTCCTGCCTCAGCCTCCCGAGTAGCTGAGATTACAGGTGCATGCCACCATGCCTGGCTAATTTTTGTATTTTTAGTAGAGACGGAGTTTCACCATGTTGGCCAGGCTGGTCTTGAACTCCTGACCTCAGGTGATTTGCCCACTTCAGCCTCCCAAAGTGTTGGGAATACAGGTGTGAGCCATTGTGCCCAGCCTTTTTTTCATCTCAGTACCAGCTTTTATTTATCAGATTGGTAAAAATGTTAGAAAGTGTGCAATGAAATGGGCATTCTTACAGTCATGGCAAAAAATATAATTATCTTTGACTTTCTAGAAAGTAGTTTGGATTTCGAGAAACTTGTTTGAATTCTCCCTGTTTAGGCAGGATGAATTCTCACTACCCCAAGGTGGCCAACCTTGTCCCTGTGATTCCATCTCTCCCAGAAAGAGAGGTCTAGTCTCAGGGAAAACCCAGATTTGTTTGGCTTAGCCCACCTGACAGCTAATCACTGGAAATGGGGTGGGCTGGTAGAATCCTTTGGTCAGGCTTTGTGTTGAAAGAGAGGTGGAAAGATGGGAGGGAGGTAGCAAAACTTGCCTCAGTGGAACTATGTAAGTTAATATAGAATGGCAAAGGGATGTTTCTTCCAAGGAAGAGATTCTAGGGAAGGAAGAAAGTGGAGGGGAAGGCAGCAGTTCTCCAAGTTTTTGGGTCAGTATTCCTTTACACTCTTAAAAATACATTGAGGGCCCAAGGAGCTTTGGTTTATGTAGGGTATATCTATTTGTATTTATCACTAGAAATTAAATCAGAAATATTTAAAATATTCTTTAAAAGCTCACCACATATTGTTATAAATGCTTTTATGAAAAGAAAATTTCTAAACCCAAAGTAGTACAGTCTTACATCTTTTGCAAATTTTTTTGATGTTTGATATGTCATTTGCATGATGTTTGACATGTCATTAGCAAATTGATATGTCAGTTTGCTTCTGCATTCAATTTATTGTGTGATATTTTCTTGAAAAAAATGTGAACAAAGGCCAATCTCATACAGATAACCATTTTAGATCATTGTGGATATATATATATTTTTTGAGATGAGGTCTTGTCCTGTTGCCCAGGCTGGAAGGTAGTCGTGTGATCACAGCTCACTGCAGCCTCAGTCTCCGGGGACTCAGGTGATCCTCCCACCTCAGCCTCCAGAGTAGCTGGGACTACAGGTGTGTACCACCACACTTGGCTAACTTTTTGTATTTTTTGTAGAGACAGGGTTTTGCCATGTTGCCTAGGCTTCTTTTTTGATACTCCATCAAATCTTCGTTTTTCTTGAACTTTGGATCTTCCACCCTTGCATGATATTACAACATCGTGCATTGGTTACTTATAAAATAGTGGTTCAATAAGATCTTCTACATATTGATACATTTGATTGTACAGTATCGAAATACATTCATCAATACCACCATCAATCTCATCAGAATACTTTCGGAAAGCAATGGTGGACATAGGTTTTCTAAAATTCTGATTTTTTCTTCAAAAGCTTGAATTTTATTAGTAATTTTGTTATTGAATTTTATTATAGCCTGTCTGTTGTTTTCCTTGAAATGACAGCATCTCATTTTTTGAGAAAATATCTTCCAGAAATGCAAGTTAAAACAACATTTTTTGTCAGTCAGCCTTTCAAGTAAAAATGGTATTCCATTAAAGTGGTTAATTAACTTCATGACTTAGTCACTCAAGTGTTTTTTTTCTCAGGCAGCCTGTAGGAATGCTCATGTATACTTCCCATTTCATCACTTGAAATATTAAAAAGATATACTCAAGGATTTAGATTTAGTAGAATATTCACTGCTTCATCATAGACATTCTTTTTTTTTAAATTTTTGAGATAGGGCCTTGTTCTGTCACCGAGGCTGGAGTGCAGTAGCATGATCACAGCTCACTGCAGCCTCAACTTTCTGGGTTCCGTCAATCCTCCTGCCTCAGCCTTCCAAGACGCTGGGACTACAGGCATGCAGCCACTGTGTTCAGCTAATTTTTGTATTTTTTGTAGAGATGAGGTTTCACCAGGTTGCCCATGCAGGTCTTGAACTCCCAGGCTCAAGTGATCCCCCTGCCTGGGCCTTCCAAAGTGCTGGAATTATAGACATGAGCCAAAATTCCCAACCTTATCATAGACATTCTTAAATGAAACTGACCTTTTGTTGCCCTTCCTTTTTATTTTTATTTCTGGAGACGGAGTTTTGCTCTGTTGCCCAGTCTGGAGTTACATAGGTGCAATTTCAGCTCAAGGCAACCTCTGCCTCCCAGGTTCAAGTGATTCTCCTGCCTCAGCCTCCTAAGTATTTGGGAATACAGGCATGCACCACCACACCGAGCTAATTTTTGTATTTTTAGTAGACATGCGGTTTCACCATGTTGGCCAAGCTGGTCTCAAACTCCTGACCTTAGGTGATCCGTCTACCTCAGCCTCCCAAAGCACTGGGATTACAGACGTAGGCCACCATGCCCCACCCGCCCTTCCTTTTTAAACCTTTCCTGTGCATAGTGAAGAATACCATGACTACTAGTAGTTTGGTGTTACTGCCTTTGTTTGTGCTAAAGTACCAACATTTTTACCCACCATTGTATTTGCACACTTACAGCAAATGTCACCATGTTAGTATTCCTGTCAAAATAGTTTGGACTTGGGGGTCTGAGGGCCGCACTTTGGGAACCATTGAAAAAGGTACTTAGACGTACTAGATATCATATCTTTTCATCTACAAGGTTTTTAAAAACTTGATTTCAGTTAATTTTTTTTTGTAATTTTTAAAATATGGTTTTGAGGGGTTTCAGTCCAGAGCAACAACACATATTTTATTTTGCTTATGCTGAAGTTTACTAGACAAATACTAACCTAACAGAATGAAGTCCTAAATCTAATTGCAATTTCCTTAGCCAAAAGAAAAAAAAAAAAAACAAAATTAAAAGCGTAAAAATAGTCCATATGGTGTATTCTCAGTGTATGCTGAAGAATTTATAGAAGAAAATGCAATACTCAGTAAGTGGTGTTCTTTAAGAATAGGATTGGCTGGGTGTGGTGGCTCATGCCTGTAATCCCAACACTTTGGGAGGCTGAGGTGGGCGGATCATCTGAGATTAGGGGTTCGAGACCAGCCTGACCAACATGGAGAAACCCCATCTCTACTAAAAATACAAAATTAGTGGGGCATGATGGCACATGCCTGTAATCCCAGCTACTCTGGAAGGCTGAGTCAGGAGAATTGCTTGAACCCGGGAGGTGGAGGTTGTGATGAGCTGAGATCGTGCCACTGCACTCCAGCCTGGGCAACAAGAGCGAAACTCGGTCTCAAAAAAAAAAAAAAAAAAAAAAAAAAAAAGAAAAAAAAGAATAGAAGTAATTCTGAAGAGTTTCTTTTAGCCTGTAAAGAGATTTGGAACACAGTAAGAGGGGAATGAGAAGAATGAGAATAGTAAAATAAACCATTATTGAAGAGATATACTGTTAATGATGTCCTCCACCAATACAACTTGTTTTTCTTTTTTTTTTTTTTGTTTTTTGAGATGGAGTCTTGCTCTATCGTCAGCCTGGAGTGCAGTGGACATCTCAGCCCACTGAAACCTCTGCCTCCCAGGTTCAAGTGATTCCTCTGCCTCAGCCTCCTGAGTAGCTGGGACTACAGGCACCCGCCAGTGCGCCCAGCTAATTTTTTTTGTATTTTTTTAGTAGAGATGGGGTTTCTCCGTGTTAGCCAGGACGGTCTCAATCTCCTGACCTCGTGATCCGCCCACCTCGGCCTCCCAAAGTGCTGAGATTAGAGGCGCGAGCCACCGTGCCCGGCCCATCTTGTTTTTCTTAAAAAGGAACCTTCAGTAAATATTTGGTTTCTGTGGCTTCAGCTTTAATTCAGATTACAGTTTTCAAAGCAGTGTTGCCTAAAGTTGTTTGTGCAAAATTGTTTTCTGTGACTTGAACCTAGTTATTCTGAAGCTAATATATAATAATAATGGTTTTTCCCCAATTTATAATAGAGAACAGTACAGAGTAACAGCGGGAATGTCTGTTAGTGGGTGAAAGCACATAATGCATAGTTCATTAGCTTTTTTAAAAAATCACATGTAATTGTGTTACAAAAATATATGTATAGTAATGGCATTTAGTTGGTATTACTTGGTTTGTGTGATAGAATAAAATATTAGAATTTTATGGTGTTTGAGTTAGTTATCTATTGCTCTGTAACAAATTTAGCAGCTTAAAATAACAAACATTATCTCAGTTTCTGTGGGTCAGGATTCTGTCTAGTTTACCTTGGGTTCACTGGCTTGGTCTCTCACCAGGCAGTGAAGATGCTGGTGGTGGCTGTGATCATCCCAAGGCAGGATAGGGAGAGAATCTGTCTCCAAGCTCAGGTTGGCAGGATTCATCTCAGAGGCTGCTGGACTGGGCCTCTGTTTCTAGATGGCTATTGGTCAGAGGCCTTTCACAATACCTTGTCATGTGGGCCTCTCCATAGGGCACCTCATCACATGGCAACTGGCTTCCATCAGAGGGAGCAATGGAAAGAGCAGGAGAAGGGTGACCAAGGCAGGCATCGTAGTCTCTTTGTAGCCTCACCTCAGAAGTGATGTTACTTTTGCTGTATTCTCTTTGTTAGAAGCGAGTCACTAGGTCCAGGGGTGGAATTTTACAAGGGTGTGAATGGCAGGAGGTGATGGTGATCAGGGCCATTTAGAGGCTGCCTACCATTCTTAAAGAAAATTGTTGACTTCTATGAGCTGTGGCAGCAGACAGTGCTATGCAAGGAGAATGGCTGTCTCAGAAGTCCAGCTCCTCACATGGGTTTTAATGTGTTGCCTTTTCCCCCATACATTTTGTTTCAATCCATGGTCATCTTGCCATTTAGTGGTGTGGTTTAATCGCATATTTGGGTTAGTCTGTATGTAAACATTTAACATAGGTGTCTCTGGTTTAAACAGGAATCCTATTCATCTTCTTCACCGATAAGGTCTGTGGACTCTGATGAGCCAAATCTGACATCAGTTCTGGAACGTCTAGAAGATACTAAGGACAACAGCAGTTCGGTGAGGAAAGAAACCAAGCTATTTTCTCTTTTTCTCATAAACATTATATTTAGAAATTAAATGTTAAGTGATAATATTATATAAAAACATGATTAAAAACTATAAACTTAGAGGAATTAAAGTCTGGGTATTTTAAGTCCTCCAAATCTTATTTACTACCTGGTTTCTCTTTATTATTTCCCACTTGTATAATCTTAGTTTAGATTAGCAATTAGGGATCTCTTTTTCCCTGAATTCTAACCATTAAGCCAAGCAAGCATTTTGGGTGGAGACCACTAGCCAAGGTGGGAAGTAGAAAAAAGACCAAGGTGGAAGTGAAGGGAGAGATGGGGAGAATGACACCAGAACTAGTGGGAGGGAATTGCCTTTTCTTTCAAGGGTCTGTAAGTCTGCAGTAAAAGTCAAAGGTATTCAAATAGGAAGTTTTGTTTTTGTGTTTAGTATATAAAGAGGCATAACTTTCCATTTTGCAAAAACTTTAGAAACCTTTTTTCTTGATTATAAAACTTATAAGCAACCGTTATTGAGAAGATTAGTAAAATATAAAAAAAATAATCTCACATAATTTCTCTACCTAATATAACCACTGTTGACATGATAGCTAGTTTCTATCAGTATGTATTGCTTCTTTGTTATCAAAGTACTTATACCCTTACAGATATGTTTAAATAGTTGAGGTCATATTCTATAAATATCTGTAAATAGCTGGGTGCTGTGGCTCACACCTGTAATCCCAGCACTTTGGGAGGCTGAGGCAGGCAGATCACAAGGTCAGGCGTTTGAGACCAGCCTGGCCAATATGGTGAAACCTCATCTCTACTAAAAATACAAAAATTAGACCGATGTGGTGGCAGGTGACTGTAGTCCCAGCTACTCGGCAGGCTGAGGCAGGAGAATTGCTTGAACCCAGGAGGCAGAGGTTTCAGTGAGTCGAGATTGTGCCACTGCACTCCAGCCTGGGCAACAGAGCAAGACTCCATCTAAATAAATAATTTATATATACACACACATACACACACCCTCATATATATATACACATATATGTGTGTGTATATAGACACACACACACACACACATACACCTACACATGGCCGATTGCCTCGCCTCTAGCACTGGGAATCAGTCACCGTGCTGTCCTTGTGGAGTCTTGTGGCCCAACAAGAGGAAGCTCTCCCCTGACATTGCCCCTCCAAAGTGCACCACTTCCAGTGAGCCTCCCTGTCATGCCCGGCCTGTGGACAGCCAGCCCCCGCCATCCCTCCCACCCCCCACCAAGCATGGGGGTGCTGTGTAGGCAGCTGTGTGGCCTGACAGTCTCTACCAGTCCTGCTGTCCCTTGGCTGAGAATCAAACCCATTTCTGGATGACAGGGAATGTGTCCTATGCTGGCTGTGTTCTCTGTGGAGCTCACGGGAGGGAGAAGACCAAGCCATTTCTAGGGTGCTGTCAGGACCAATGAAAAGGTCACACTCTTTCCAAGAGACACTTTTCCTGGAAAGCCTCTGGAGCTTAGCTGGCTCTTATCCTGTGATAAGCCAGAGGCTCTGCGGGGTGAGGGAGCATGAACCCTCTTCACCCCACCCAACGGGGACCTGTATAACTCTGCCAGTCTCTCACTTGGCCTTGCTGCTGTCCTCTGAGACTGCCTATTCCTCCCTCTCTGTGACTCTACACCACCATCACCTCCTCCAGGAAGTCCTCTGGATTGACTCCTAGCTTATTACATCTTTATTGTGCAGACCCTCTCCATTCAAAGCCCCTCTTCAACTGCCCCCCACCGCCCCACCACCTCCAAGACAGAGATTCTGGGTTCCTGCAACTGCAGCCCCTCAGAGAGTGTAAGAGGGTCAGAAAAAGGAGATTAGGAAATGAGGGAAGCAGCGCTGTCAGAGTTTCCAAAGCCCTGGCCAGCAAGGCATCAGAGGCCTCTGTTGGGGTGGGGGCCTCCCTGGCTATGCGCTCCAGCAGCACAAGGCAGCCTCTGTGAGCTTCTCCCGCTTAGCCCTACAGGAAGCAGGAGGGCCCAGCCTCAATGGACTGATTCAGACCCCAGCACTCCAGAAAATACCTCTGCTTCCTGCCACCATTCCACTCTGGCCAAACAGCCTCTACTCTCTTCTGCTGGGAGGGGGCCACAGGCAGGTGGTTCAGTGGTTAGGGCCAACCATCTGCTTCAGTTCCTGTCTGGCCCAGATCCCTGATGTTGACCATGCCTTAGTGGGTGTATGTATACCTTTAGTGCAAGGGTGGTGTGACGGTTAATACTGAGTGTCAACTTGATTCGGTTGAAGGCTGCAAAGTATTGATCTCCTGGGTGTGTCTGTGAGGGCGTTGTAAAAGGAGATTAACATTTGAGCCAGTGGGCTGGGGAAGGCAGACCCACCCTTAATACTGGTGGGCACCATCTTTCTAATCAGTTGCTAGTGAATATAAAGCAGGCAGAAAAACATGAAAAGGCAAGACTGGCCTAGCCTCCCAGCCTTCATCTTTCTCCCACGCTGGACGCTTGCTACCCTCTAGCATCGGACTCCACGTTCTTCAGTTTTGAGACTCAGATTGTCTCTCCTTGCACCTCAAACTTGCAGACAGCCTATTGTGGGACCTTGGGATTGTGTAAGTTAATACTTGATAAACTCCCCTTTATATATCTATATATCTATATTTATATCTATATCTGTCTATATCTCCTATTAGTTCTATCCCTCTAGGGAACCCTGACTAACACAGGTGGGTAGGCACAGGGAGATGTGCCCCCTTCCCTGTGGGTGCTGGGTAGGTAAATGTTTAGCAATGGGCTTTCTTGGGGAGAGGGAACCCTGATTTTCAGTATTTGCCTCTTTTCCTGGTATAAATATTCCCACTGTGGGCAGTATCACATGGCTCTCAAAATTCCTGAAAATTCAACAGTTGGCTCCTGGCCACTGCTGTGAGCCGTTCCAGCTGGTGACTGTGGTGGCTCCATCCTGCAGGGCCATGTGTCCCCACCCCTTGTGCTATGGCCTCCCTCACTTTAGTGTGCTGTGTTTTGCTCTTAGGAATCAATGTCTTTGCAGATAAGGCACCCCAGTAGGTCACCACCTGCAGTTCCCTGGTCTGTCTCTTGCTGGCACCAAGCTGTGCTGTGCCTGCTGAGACTGCTGGGCCACCCCCACACAGATGGTCTGTGGGGCTTGCTTGATTCCCTTAGCTTCCCAGCCAAGGTGCTGGTGTTGCCAGCAGTGCTGGCAGGAGGAGGGGATAACTAGAGGGGATTTAACTCAACCCGAGGGGCTCTTACGGGATCTTTCCTTGATATCCCTCCAGGTGGGGCTGGCTGCCCTTAGGGCATAGAGACCTCCAACTCCTCCAATGGCTGAAGCTACTTCCTCGAGCAGATGGCAGCTGGCTCAGGCTGGCTAGGGACCAGTGCATGTGAGGCCGGTGCTGGATCACCCCATCAAGGCCATCAGCCTGTGCTTGTTCTTGGGGTTTGAGGGAAACCCAACAGGGATGAATCACGGTTTTTAACCTGTGTTTGTCTGCCCCCCAGCCCTGGACAACTGCAGGCAAAGTCAAAGTTATATCTGGCTCTTGTCACCACAAAAGGCATAGACCAGAAATTATGGCAGTGGGTTGGAAGTCAGGGAGGCTAATTTGGGGAAACTGCCTGGAGGAAGCAGCAACTCAAAAGAGGAGGAGTCCCAGTGTGGGACAGAACGGGCCTTGCACAAGAACCACTAACCCCAGGCAAGCCCAGACATGGCCTTCTGCCTGGAGAGGCCATCTTTGGCCTGCCCAGCAGACCCTCAGCCCCTCCTAGGCCCTGTATTCAGCCTCAGACTGAGTGGTGGCCTGGGGAAGTTGGGAGCTCAGCTGTTCTCATCCCTGGTTCCTTGGCCAAGGTGGAAACAATGGGGCCGGATCTGACTGCTCAGTGGGGACTGTGAATAGCTCTCCAGCAGGAAGCAACAGCAGGGGTAATGGAGGAAGTGTGGGCCCACTTTGGTTTGACACTGCATATGGTCCCCATCTGGCCTCAGAGCCTTTACTCCTTGGCAAACTCAGGCCAATAAGCTCCAGCCCCCACCCTCAATGGCAGCTGGAAGAATGGCCTGAGGGAGAAGTGGGGATAGGTGGGCCACACTGACATCACCCCCAGATACCAGCCATGGCCCCAGCCAATGCATGGAGGCGAGGCATGGCACAGCAGTTGCTGCACAGGAGCCCAAGCACAAGGGCACTTAGGAGAAGGAATCTGAGCAGGGATCAATCTGGCCTGGGGGTGATTCTCCAGAAACTCCATTCCTCAGGGCTGTGACCACCAAGCCAGGTGATCAGGCCAGTGATGTTTCCCTTTCAGCCAGGTCGGGGAGCCAGACCTGGGAGGGAGACTCCTCTGGGGCCCAGGGGATGCAAGTCAGAACTGGCAGAGGCCTCTGGCTCCAGGAACCTCCAAGAAGGAGACCTGAGTTGCTGGGAATTTCTGGGTCTGACCTCCTGCAAAGTCAAGGTCTGGGCTGGACACAAGGTGAGGCTGTGCCTTCTGGTGCCAGGACCAAGGAAATGTGGGGATCTGGGCAGTGCTCAGAGACAGCAACATATAGCAGAACCATGAGGGTGCACCAGCACGGACCCCTTTCTGCAACCCACCCATCCCTCCCTGCAGCACCTCGCCTCCTCCAGGCAAGAATCTGAGCCTTGACCACAGCTCCCTCTCTCACACAGCTTCCTTCTTTGGTGAGAACCACCTGGAGGTGACTGTGGCCATGGCTCTGACTGACATAGACCTGCAACTGCAGTTCTCCACGTCCCAACCCGAAGCCCTCCTTCTCCTGGCAGCAGGCCCAGCTGACCACCTCCTGCTGCAGCTCTACTCTGGACACCTGCAGGTGAGTGAGGGTGAGATTCCTTGTCCAGCTTTGAGTGAACCCCAGCTGGCTGTGTGACCTTGTGTAAGTCACCTTTCTTGGGGTTTCAAGTTCTCTACTGTGGGATGGGCAGCAGCAGCTCAGAAATGGTAAATCCTTCATGAACTGGCTCTGCTCACCAGCTCCCTCCAACCATGTTTCCCACCACAAGCCCTCACTGGCCTTTGTGCTCTGACTGCACTGAACTGCTTTCAGTTCCTGGCCATCTTATGGTCACTTGCTGCCAGTCCTTTGGTCATCACACTCCTCCTGCCAGGTGTGTGCCCCACCCATTCCCTGCACCTGCCTAACTCTAGCCTCTCCTTGAAGTTTCAGTGTGGGCATCCCCTCCTCCTGGGCAAGGCCCCCTCCTGGGCCCCCATGACCCCTGTGCTTCCCGGTGGCACTGCACCAATTTCTCTGCAGCACCACTGTCTGTCCATGACAGTAACAGCACCAGTACTGCCTCAGCTTCATTTTTCCATTTCATCCTTCAAGACACCACAAGCTTTATTATCAAGGAGTCTTGTGGCTCCTTCTTGAGTCTTCCCCCATACCATAAAGAGTTTAAGAACCCAGGGTCTTAGTGCAAATTTGGGGCAAGCTGGGTGCAGTGGCTCATGCCTATAATCCCACCACTTTGGGAGACCAAGGTGGGAAGATCACTTGAGCCTAGGAGTTCAAGACTGGCCTGAGCCACACAATGAGACTCCATATCTATTTTAGAAAGAAAAAAAAAATTAACAAATTTGGGGCAGCCATCTCCTTCCGCACCCCAGTGGGAAGAGGACTAGGGCTTGGTCAGTCTGCTGCTGTCATTGCTGCTCACTGCCACAAGTGTCACTGTTGAACACCTATGTGGTGCAGTCTGGCACTGATGGCTGTTGAGCTCTGTGGGTACAGTGGTGCCACATCCCTACAGAGATGCACCATACCAGGATTCCAAGATCATGGTTCTTAGTGTTCTGGTTCTGCAGTTCCCGTACTCTGCCATCACCTATTCTAGCACCTGGGAGCACCACACCAGAGCCATTTCTTGTGTCAATGTCATGGTGACAGAACTATGTCCTTCATCTCTCCTTGAGATCTTCCTCCCCCACAGGACAGGGAGCTTTTTTTTCAGAACACAGAGCATCTGCCTGGGTTCCCTATCCCTGAACAGTTAGCCTGGCTTCCTTCAGTGACCTCAAGAAACTTTGCCAAACTTAGGGGGACTGATCAAGGGATTCTCAGTTACCCATTATTCCAGGGGTGAAATCTAGATTCCAAGACAATATTTCTGGTGCTTCTCTCTCAAGGAAAGAGGAGGAGAATTTAAAAATACAGGTTGGGTTTCTAGAAGAGCATCTTGCTATATGTCAGTTCATTGTGGGCAAGGACCACATCTGATTCACATCAGGGTCCCCAGAGCCCATCCAGGCCTGGCCCAGAGTTTCCTTTGGTGAGTGTTTGGAGGATGAATAAAGAGATGGCAGGAAGGCAAGAGGAGTGGCACCAGAGGCCCTTGTCCTAGGTTTTCTGCTCTGGGGACCCAACTGTGGGGAACCCACTGTGCTTTTATAAGGGAAATGATGGATTCAAAGTGCTGCCCCCCATCTCCCATTCCCTGTCTCTCCTCAGGTCAGGGTTGTCCTGGGCCAGGAGGAGCTGAGGCTGCAGATCCCAGCAGAAATGCTGCTGAGTGACTCCATCCCCTACACTACAGTTCTGACTGTCTCAGAGGGCTGGCCCACATTGTCAGTCAATGGGTTTCTGAATGCCTCCTCTGTAGTCCTGGGAGCCCCCCTAGAGGTCCCCTATGGGCTCTTTGTTGGGAACACTGGGAGCCTTGGCCTGCCCTACCTGAGGGGAACCAGCCATCCCCTGAGGGGTTGCCTCCATGCAGCCACTCTCAATGGCCACAGCCTCCTCCGGCCTCTGACCCCCGATATGCATGAGGGCTGTGCTGAAGAGTTTTCCACCAGTGACGATGTGGCCCTGGGCTTCTCTGGGCCCCACTCTCTGGCTGCCTTCCCTGCCTGGGGCACTCAGAACAAAGGAACCCTGGAGTTGGCACTCACCACACAGATCTGGCAGGCACCCTTGACCTTCCAGGCAGCGGGCTGGCATGGGGACTTCATCCATGTGGACATATTTGAGGGCCACCTGTGGTTCATGGTCGAGAAGGGCCAGGGTACTGTATTGCTCCTCAACAGTGTGCTTGTGGCTGACGTGCAGACCCTCAAGGTCAGCATCCACATCAACACTCACCAGCTAGAAATCTCCATGGACCAGTACCCCACACGTACTTTGAACCGAGGAGTCCTCAGCTGCCTGGAGCCATGTGACAGTCTCCTTCTTGGGGAGCTGGTTGCAGAGGCCTCTCATCCCCTCCAGGAACACCACTGAGGCCTGACACCAGGGGCCGCCAATGCCTCCCTGCTGGGCTGGCTGTATGGAAGACCTCAGTGTCAATGGCCAGAGGTGGGGGCTTCGGGAAGCCTTGCTGACACACAACATGGCGGCAGGCTGCAGACTGGAGGAGGTGGAGGAGTATGAGGACAATACCTATGGCCATTATGAAGCTTTCTCCACCCTGGCCCCCAGGGCTTGGCTGTCCATGGATCTAGCTGAGCCATGCATGCTTGAGCCAGGGCTGCCTCCTGTCTTTACCAATTTCACCCAGCTGCTGACTATCAGCCCAGTGGTGGTGACCGAGGGTGGCACAGCCGAGTGGTGGCATGTGCAGCCCATGCTGGCCCTGATGGAGGCTGAACTGCATAAATCCCAGGTGCTGTTCAGCGTGACCTGAGGGGCACACTACAGTGAACTCGAGCTGGACATCCTGGGTGCCCAGGCATGAGAAATGTTCACCCTCCTGGACATGGTGAACTGCAAGGCCTGCTTCATCCATGATGGCCCTGGTGCTGGAGGTGTTGGTGATGGCTTGGGTGCCCATGCCTTCATGCCTGCGGAGGGGCCAAACTGACCTCCTGCCCATCCAGGTCAACCCTGTCAATGACCCACCCCGTATCATCTTCCCATGTGGCAGCCTTATGGTGATCCTGGAACACACACAGAAGCCTCTGGGGCCTGAGGTTTTCCAGGCCTATGACCTGGACTCTGCCTGTGAGGGCCTCACCTTCCAGCTCCTTGGCACCTCCTCTGGCCTCCCTGTGGAGCACTGAGACCAGGCTGGGGAGCCGGTGACCCAGTTCTCCTGCTGGGAGTTGGAGGCCGACAGCCTAGTCTATGTCCACTGCAGTGGCCCTGCATAGGACTTGACGTTCCGGGTCAGCAATGGACTGCAGGCCAGCCCCCCGTCCATGCTGAAGGTGGTGGCCATCCAGCCGGCCATACAGATCCACTGCAGCACAGGGCTGCATCTGGCCCAGGACTCTGCCATGCCCATCTTGCCTACCAACCTGTCGGTGGAGACCAGCACCGTGGGGCAGGATGTGACTGTGTTGTTCTGTGTCACCAGAGGCCTGCAGTTCAGGGAGGTGCAGAAGCAGGGGGCTGGTGGGGTGGAGGGTGCTGAGTGGTGGGCCACACAGTCATTCCACCAGCAGGATGTGGAGCAGGGCCACATGAGGTACCTGAGCACTAACCCACAGCACTATGCCGAGGACACCGTGAAGAACCTGGATCTGCAGGTGCAGGTGAGCTGGGAAATCCTGAGCAATCTGTCCTTCCTAGTGACCATCCAGAGAGCCACTGTGTGGATGCTGCAGCTGCGGCCACTGCACACTCAACACCCAGCAGAGGCCCTCACCACAGCCCACCTGGAGGCCACCCTGGAAGAGGCAGGCCCAAGCCCCCCAACCTTCCACTCTGAGGTGGTTCAGGCTCCCAGGAAAGGCAACCTTCAACTACAGGGCACGACACTGTCAGATGGTCAGGGCTTCACCCAGGATGATGTACAGGCTGGAGAGGTGACCTATAGGGCCATGGCACATGCCTCAGTGGCAGTGGAGGACACCTTCTGTTTCCATGTCACAGCTCCACTATATTTCTCCCCACTCTGTACTTTCTCCATCCATACTGGCGGTGACCCAGACATGCCTGTCCTCACCAATGTCCTCTTGGTGCCCGAGGGTGGTGGGTGTGTCCTCTCTGCTGACCAGCTCTTCGTCAAGAGCCTCAACAGTGCCAGGTACCTCTATGAGGCCATGTAGTGGCCCCGCCATGGGAGGTTGACTTGGTGTGGGGCACAGGACAAGACCACTATGGTGACTTCCTTCACCAATGGAGATCTGTTGCATGGCCAGCCGGTCTAGCAGCATGATGACTCCAAGATCACGGAAGATGATATGCCATTTGCTGCTGCCACCAGGACCAGAGCAGTGGTGATGTGGCCTGGGAGGAGGTACGGGGTGTCTTCTGAGTGGCCATCCAGACTGTGAATGACCACGCCCCTGTGCAGAGCATCAGCTGCGTCTTCCATGTGGCCTGGGGTAGGTGGCAGCTGCTGACTCCACACAACATGGCCTTCAGCAATGCTGATTCAGGCTTTGTGGATGCCCAGCTGGTGCTGACCCACAAGGACCTCCTGTCTGGCAGTATCATGGCCACGGATGAGCCCATGCAGCCCATCTTCTGCTTCATCCAGGAGGGGCCTCAGGAAGAGGCGAGTCCTGTTCACGCACTCAGGCTGACCATGGCTGGATCCTGCTGCATGTGTCCGACAGGCAGCACCAGGCCATCTTGGTGCTGGAGGTGCAGGCCTTGGAGCCTTACCTCTATGTGGCCAATGGCTCCGGCCTCAAGGTCCCTCAAGGAGACCAGGGTACCATCAATATGGCCGAGCTCCACCTGGGCACCAACCTCGACATCCGCAGTGGGGATGAGGTCCACTACCACATCACAGACAGCCCTTGCTGGGGACAGTTGCTCCAGGCCACTCAGCCAGCACAGCCTTCGCCCAGAAGGACCTGCTGGTTGGGGCCGTTCTCTTTGGCCACAATGGCAGCCTCAGCTCCCGCAACACCCTGGCCTTCTCAATGGATGTGGGGCCTTCTCAATGGATGTGGGGCCTTCTCAATGGATGTGGGGCCAGTGCACACAGACAGTGCACACGGTGCACTCTACAAGTGACCATTGCCCTAGAGGGCCCACTAGCCCCACTGAAGCTGGCCTGGCACAAGAAGATCTACATCTTCCTGGGAGAGGCAGCTGAGATCAGAAGGGACCAGCTGGAGGTGAGGAGCTGGGGGTGGTGAGTGGGGGTGTGGACCAGGTAGAGGGCCTTCCTCCCAGCCTCCCTGCCGGGAACACATGTGACTTGGGCTGTGCCTGTGGTGGTCCCAGGTTGCGTGTGTGCACGTGCCTCAGATGTGCTCCCATATATGTTGTGTTCCCAAGAGTTTCTGGGGAGCTTGCTGTACACCCATCCTCCGGGGAGTTGTGTGTGCCTCTAGAGGTGGTGCCCACTCATGTCCATGGCATGGCTGAGCATGCAGATTCCTGGACCCCACCCAGCCCTACAGAATCTCTGAAGTGGAGCCCGAGAATCTGCATTGCAGTCAGTTCCCTGGGAAGGCATCACGGGTCCTGAACTTTTGGGATTGCTGGCCGTGGAGACAGGCCACTGCCCCTCAGACCCCTGTGTACCCTGCTTTTTTCTCAGAGCCCAGACCAGGACTAGGAGGGTCTGTCAAGGGCTTCTGCTCATCCAGGAACCCCACAGAACCCCACAGACCAGCCACAGGCCTTCCAGAGATCTCACTGACATGCCCTGTGACCTCAGGCCAGTCCTTGCCCACTCTCAGCCTTACTCTCCCACACTGCTCATTTCGGAGACCCTTCTGGTCTGCATCTGAGCGTGGGGCCCACGGTGAGCCAGCAGATCTGGCATCAGGAAGGTCTCATGGGAGGAGGCAGTGTTTGGGCTGGGCTCTGAAGAGCACAGGCCATCTGGAGCAGGGAATGGGGAGTGGTATTCCAGGCAAAAGGAACATTCCTGGCAAAGGCACAGAACAGGAATGTGAGTTTGGGGGCAGTTCACAGGGGAGGACCTGGTGAACTTCACTCAGGGAGAGGTAAGGGCCCCACTCTGCAGTCACCACTCAGATGCGCCCAGCCTCAGGTGGCCACTGTGCTATGGACATCATGTGGACATGGGCACCAGCTCCAGCATCACTGTCAGCAGACACTCCCGGGCCTGCCATGGTCCAGGGCCCTGGTGTCCTGCCCTCCAGGAGTCATCAGGCTGGTGGGGCAAGTTCATGTTCCCAGAAGGAGGGAGAAGGATGCAGGAAGTTGGGGATACAGGTCCCTAGAGCAGGGCTGGGGTCTTGGGGTGTGGCTTCCAGAAGGAAGCTACAGCTGGACCCAAGGGTCTAGAGAGGGAGCACCATGTAGGGGCACTAGTGGCACCCCAGTAGCTGGTGAGGGGCAGTGCTTGGTGGGGGATGGAGTCAGAGGTGAAGCAGCTGCTGGGGCCTGTGGGCAGAGGTGTGAGCCTGGGGCTCAGATCAGGTGCCAGCCAGAGGCAGAGTGGATCCTAGGAGCAGATGAGCTGATGAAAGGCAGCTGAGTCAGCCAAAAGGGGGAAGCCACTGTTCATCTGTCCTGGTGGCTTCAGGGAAGAACTAGAGCTCTCAGCCATGGGTAGTGGCAGACTCTGTGTGGTAATTGTGCCATGGGGACCAGCCCAGTCATTGTTTAAATGAACACCTCTCCCCAAAGGCAGAACGGGAGTTGTTCCATAGCAGGGCAGAGCAGGGCAGACTCTTTGTGGGCCGTCCTGGGCAGGCAGCACACCTGATGCTCCCACCAGGAGACTGCGTGAGCATCTGGACCCAGCACATGATCACAGTGAGTTCTGGGTAGGGAGTGGTCTTGTGGGGCGCAGAGCTGACTCTGTCATTCAGGAGCCACGGCACGCAGCACTGCCTCAAGTACCTCCAGAGGGGTCCCACTGCCAGCCCTTGAAAATGGCAGAGCCCACACCTAGCCCCCTTTTCAAGCTCCCTTGCTTGGGCAAGGACCTCCTGAGCCTGGCAGTCTCCCTCCTGAGAGGTGCAGATGGTACTCAGCAAGTGCAAAGCCAAGGTTTCTTGGGCCTCTCACATCAGTACCTCCCAGACCTGGGTTCTTTATTTCCCCAGAGCTCCACTCCTGCTATGGCACCCTCCCCACAATGAGATATTCATCAGGCTGGTGTCTACAGCTGCTGCATACCCTCAGTTGCTGGGATCCTTTGTCAAGAATGCCCAGGAATGAGGAGGGCATGGGACCAGACCATCAGCAACCCTCTTGCACTCTATAGTCCCACGTTACTCAGAGCTTCCCCATGCCCCAGCAAGATGGACTAGATTGAATGGTCACCAGGGGTCCAGGCTGGCAGTGCCACCCAGGAAAGCCGGGAAGAGGCTACATGGGCTACCTGGCCCACTCAGGGAGGAGGAGGGCAGGACTGGGTATTGTCTTGACAGCAGCCCTGTCCCACAACACTGAACTGGGCTGGGAAGGGGTCAGGTGTCCTTTTTCAGGTAAGAAAACTGAAGCTCCTGGAGGGCAGGTAACTGTATTCAGAGCACATGGCGAGTAAGAGGCAAAACTTCTGCTGGCAAGTCCAGGATTTCTGTCACCAGAGGACACTGCTTGCTCCCCAGAGCTCAGGACCCTGTGTTTTGTCTCACTCCCACTCCTGGAGGCCGAGACGGGAGGATCACTTGAGCCCAGGAGTTCGAGACCAGCCTGGGCAACATAGTGAGACCTTGTCTCCACACAAAAATTTTACAAATAGCTGGGCTTGGTGGTGGCACGTGCCTGTAGTCCTAGCTACGTGAGAGGCTGATGTTGGAGGATTGCTTTGAGCCCAGGAGGTGGAGGCTGCAGTGAGCAGTGATCACTGTACTCCATCCTGGTGACAGAGCGAGACCCTATCACTGCCCCCTGCCCTGCCAAAAAGAAAACTGAGTAGACAGGTGTCTTCTTGGCATGATAGGTCCTAAGTCCCCTCCCAGATCTGTGACATTGGACAGGTGTCTTTTCCTCTCGACCTCAGTGTCCCCATCTGAGTGAGAAAAGGCGGTGGGGAGGGGGATCTTCCAGTTGAAGCGGTATAGAAGCCCGTGTAAAAAGCCATACTCCAAGGGGCTCCAAGTCCAGCACACAGTCCCAGCAGGGCCCAGCAAGGCAGCCAGGGTGGCACAGGCAGCAGGTCCCAACCTTCTTCCCTGTTTGTCCACTCTCAGACCACGGAGTTCATCATCTCGGAGCCGCTGGCCAATCTGTACTCATGTGGGGACCAGAACACACTGATGGAGGAGTTGGCAAAGCAGGCACAGCAGCGCGACAAGATGCTGTGCATGCACCACGCGCTGAAGGAGGCAAATGACATCAACAGGTGACATCAACAGGACCACCGTCAGCATGCCCATGCCCCCGCCTGTGGATGACACCTGGCTGCAGGTGCAGAGTGTCCCTGAGGAACACAGGTACCAGGGACTGGCCCCCATAGCCCCAAAGTCCCCCATCCGGGCCACACAGAGGAGTGCCCAGGGCTTAGTGGCACGCTCCCTCATGGGGTGGTTCCCACCTGGAGTAAGGGGTGGAGCTGGGATGTTCTCACCACTGGGGGCGGGGCTTAAGCTCCGGCGACTGTCTCTGGGGGTGGCCGGGGCTGGGGCGGGGCCTCAGGGGGGCAGAGCCGCCCATCTCTCCCCTCCCTGTGCCTTGCAGGTCACCCAAGTCCAGCCCCAGGATGCCCAGACCCTGCCATGTCCCTAGCCCGGCCTGGGTGGCGGGCCCAGCTCTTGGGCTTCCTCTTGCCAGGTCCACCCTTGGGGAAGCGTGCCCTGTACCCTCCAGGCTAGAGGCTTCCCCTGATCCCTTCGGCCCCTACCCCACCAGGTGCACTCATGCCCCACCCGGGGTCTCCAGGTGAGTAGGGGCTGAATGCGACCAAAGAGGCTGCCGGATGGGCGTGGCCGGGATGGAAATGGGACTGGATTCCAGAGCATCAGACCTGGCCGCCTCCATCCAAGGCACTGGGACCATGGGTGCCAGAGCCACGTGTGGCCAAGGGCTGGCGGAGCCTGCCCCCCAGGGAGCACTGACTCCTGGAAGTGGTCGTTTTTGAGGGGGCTGTGGGGCTTGTCCCACCTGCCCCCTTCTGTCCAGTACGTGCATGGCACTTCCATCTTGGTGGGTTTTCACTCTTGGCGGCTGCCACACTTTGCATTTCTCTTCCTTTCTTCTTCTCACTGTCCTCCATCCTCCATTCTGTCCAACTCCTATCCCAGCCCCTGGGGAGCCTACCTCAGGTCTGAGAGTCTGGGTGTGTGGATTTCCTTCAGCTACCCGGATGTCCCCACTTCCAAGTCCTGACTCCTTTGAGCCATCTCAGGGGGTGTCCAGCCACTGGACCACAGGAGTAGAGGCCAGGCTGTGACTGTGTGACCAGCAAGGTGTGTGATGTGTGCAGGTGCAAGCACACGACTGTGAGAGTGTAAGAATGGCACCCAGGCCTCAGCTAGGACAGAAGCAGCTGGGGAAGGAGCCTGGGGGCCACAGGCAATCTGATTTTTTCTCCACACCTGGACCACTCACCCTCTATCCCTAACCCTGTCTAAACTAATGGGGTAGTGGTAGCTGCAAGGGCAGGGATGAGAGTGGCTGAAGACTACTTCACTCCCAAAGATTTCTAAGGAAAATGGTTCTACCGCATCCTTTGGCTTGGCCTGGTTGACCCATGACCCTCTTTCAAGAACATTCACTCTGATTTCCAGTGTGCCCTGTTTCTACTGGCCACGTTCTCTAAGGAAGAACAATAGCATCTGTTTTTGTTTCCAAATGGCTGGACAGTGGGGCTGTAGGTCCAGCGCCCATATACAAAAATGAAGCAGGGATTGGGGCTTGCCCTATGACGTGCTGATGACCAAATTAGATGGGTAGAGGGAAGCAGCATAGTATTGGGCAAGATCACTGGACTGGGAGTCCAGAGATGCTGCTTCACCCTGGGGCTTTAAGCAAGTCCCTTTCCCTCCCAGAGCCTCAGCATCCCTTCTATGAAATGATGACGTTCTGCTTTTCTCCTAGGATGGCTGTGGGGATCAAGGGAGACAGTGGCCATAGGGATACTATGTTAACTGCAGATGTGGCCATAGGAGCACTTTGCTAACTGCCAACATGAGTTCAGACTCTTCAGGCTATTTGGCACCCAGGTCTATGGTGAGGTGTGACATATGGGATGCAAAGTTTGATGCCTGCTCCGACTCCAGTCTTGCTAACACACACGAAACCTTTGGCAAATCATGACCCTGCCTTGGGGAAAAGGGCAGTCTGGGAGAGTTTCTTCAAGGCAGCCTGGCTTCAATGCAGTCCGGGGCATGACTGAGATAGGCATACGTTGTGAGGAACTGGAGGGTAACTGGGTAAAGAGCTGCAGTGTGGGCAGAAGTGTAGTGTGGGTCACATTGAGGATAGCCACTGGCCAAAGCAGGGAACAGAGACAGAATGAGGAAGAGCTCTGTGGGGAGGGTGGGGCACCGGGTGGAGAACCTTCAAAGTCCAAAGAGTATGACTTTTTGGGATTCAATGCTGTAGGCAGTAGGGAGCCATGGAAGGCTCTTAGGTGGAGAAATGACAGCCGGACATTAGTGAGCAAGCCCTGTCTCCCTGAGCAGCATGGGTGGTCCTCTGAGCACGCCAGGCACGAGTGTGCAGGGAGCTGGTGCACATGCCTCTGTGTGCGGGTGAGCATCTGTGTTGTGACTCTGCCCACGCATGTACTTCAGTGTGCCGAGTGGCTGCACGCCCCAGATCCATGCAGCACGTGCCGGCCGGTGAGGGTGCTGGGCACCGGGAGGTGGTGGGGAGGGCGACGTATGCGTGTTGTTTGTGGGCATGTGTGTTAGCGTGTGCATGCGGGCCGTGGGGCCTCACAGCATGTGTGTGCACACTCCGGTGTGTGCGTGTGTGTCCCCCACCCCCAGGCCTGCCCCTTCCTTCTGGAGCTGCAGACTTGCTCCTTCCTTTTTCTGTCCTTGTGCTGCTGGCTGTCTCACTTCCCTCCTTGTGAGCCATGGGACTCAGTGCCACTTCTCAAGGTCTCCATGGCTGAGCCTGGGGGCTCCATGCCCAACCTGGCAGACATGGAACCATCAGAGAGGGCACAGAGCTCATGGTTTATGGTGTAGGGGCTGGGAGCTTCGAGGGGGTTGTGTGAGGGGCTGGACTCAGGCGGCCAGAGACCTGGGAACATCATACTGGGCACGCCGTACCTTTCGTGTGGTCTGAGTCATGCTGCCAGGGCAGGGATCCAGCTCCCAGCCTGGGAGTGCTGAGAGCCAAATCCACTGCAGATTAGGGGTGGTAGTCAGGGTCCCACATCCTCTATCTGTCAGCAATCCAGTGGTGATCTAGGATAAAAGCCTGAGAGTCCTATACACATGGTCATCCCACAACACACTTCATAGGCCATGGAAGGACACACAGCCCCCTTCCCTCCCTCCCAGGTACCATGATAGCTGCTAGCATGTGACTGAAGGCAGGGTCCCTGGCCCCTGCTGAAGCACTACTGCTGGCCAGCAGGCTCATGCACCTTGGCCTGTTGCTTCTAGGGTTCGCCAGTGCTATTCAGCCAAGGGGACCCCAGTGCATGCTGGCCCAGCTGAGCTCCACCTAGAGAGCTCACTTCCCTTTCCTGCAACGGAGTCTCCCTCCTCTGCTTTTCCCAGCAGGAAGGGCCCAGCCACACCTATGTAACCTGCAGCCCCCCGCTGACCAGTTGAGGCTCCCATTAGACTTAGAAGTCTATGGCCAATGGCATCCAACTACCTGCACTCCCTGCCTTCCCCAGGTTCCCTCAGAGGACCCTGGGCTTTCTGATGGCTCAGAGGGGCCTCTGGCATTCACTCCAGCCAGCCGTCCCTTATAGATCCACCATTTTGGTTCAGTGTTCCTTCTCTATCAGGCTTGGTGGCTGTTGGATGGGGCTCTCCAAGCAAGAGGTGGCCCTGGGCCAGTGGGTTGGAAGACATGGGGACCACAGAAGAGGGAAGCCCGAGGGGGCTGGCATTGGTCTGAACTGTGGGTGGATGGGTGGATTGCCTGGGTGCCATGAGAGACGCCAGCGTGTGTGGGGTGGGGAGGGCCGCCGCAGTCCCCAGGCACTACCTATGAAGCTCTGGCTTCTCCCTCCATCTTCCTCCCCTTTCCTTTCTAGCCCCTCTTTTCCAGGAACCTTGCCATGCCCACAGCTACGCCCTCCCCTCCCCGGCCCTCCCACAGCTTCTGCAGCGCACCCATACTCTGCACTCGCCTCACCAGCTCTGACTTTTCTCTAACCCGTTTTCTCTCTGCTTTCTCTCCAACTACCAGCTGATCGGGTCAGGCAAGTCCATCCCATCCTGAGAGCCCCAGGCCCCACTTCGACCTCTAAACAGATTCCTCCTCTTCTCAGAGACCTCCCTTTCCAAGCCTGCCTGGGTGGGTGTCCTGTGACTTGACAGTGGCTCCCCCAGCCCCAAAGCCAGCCCCCTTCATCTGTGACTTAGTCTGTTGTAGTGGTGAGCTGACACATCCAGGTGTGACCATTGCTGAAAACTTGTGCCCCCTCTGTGGTATGCCCCTGCCCAGTTCTATAAATAGCTATAAATTCTCTCTCTCTCACACACACACACACACACACACACACACACACATATATACATATATATACGTGGCCAACTGCCTCAGCTCTAGCACTGGGAATCAGTCCCCGTGCTGTGCTTGCGGAGTCTTGTGGACCAGCAAGAGGAAGCTGTCTCCTGACATCGCCCCTCCAACGTGCACCACCTCCATTGAGCTTCCGGGACATGCGTGGCCTGCGGACAGCTAGCCCCCGCCATCCCTCCCACCCTTCTGGCCAAGCATGGCGGTGCTGTGCAGGCAGCTGTGTGGCCTGACAGCCTCTACCAGTCCTGCTGTCCCTTGGCTGAGAAACCCATTTCTGGATGACAGAGAATGTGTCCTCTGCTGGCTGTGTTCTCTATGGACCTCAGGGGACGGAAAAAGCCAAGCCATTTTTAAGGTGTTGTTGGGAGCAGTGAAAAGGTCACACCCTTTTCAAGGGACACTTTTCCTGGAAAGTCCCTGGAGCTTAGCTGGATCTCACCCTGTGAAGCCAGCTCTGGCCACTAGGGGACAGGGCCCTGAACTCAGCCTGGAGGGAACCTGCGGGGCAGCCGGCACTCTGGAGGGACAGACAGGCCACCTGGTGCAGACAGGAGAGGGAGGCAGGGGGACAGAACGGAAGACACTTAGGGTGGATGGAAGTCAGTGCCCTTGGGCGCAGGTATCTGCCTTCCCTGCCACAGCTACATCAGGCTTCTCAACCAGTTGGCTGTCAGGGCCAGACTGTACTCCGTAGGTGACATGGCAGTCCCCATGAAATCCACCAGGTGTCACCAGGCAGCATACAGGTAACAGGCCTGGAAGGTCCCCAACAGCCCAGCTGGACATTCTGAGACACTCTGGGGCTCCTCATTCAGTGGGACAAACTGCAGGACCCAGTGAGGGAAACAGGAACATACCAGGCCGAGCAGTATGGCTAAATCCATTTATTCCAAAATCAAAAGCAAAAAAAAAAAAAAAAAAAACCGAGTACCATCACCAGGGAGCCATGACCCCATCCCCGCCTCCTTCCTTGCTCCTATGCTAGCAATAAATAAGTTTCCCAGCCGTGAACAATTATAAGAACCTCTTCCTCATATGCCAGCTGCAACCTCCGGTAGGTACGATACAGAATGTTACACAGATACAGTATGTACACGGGGGAAGGGGGGCCACCCCCAGCAGCCTGTGCCCTCACCTCATCTACAGTTATCTCCACTGTCCCGCCTCAGCTGCCTCTCTGAGTAAGAAGATGGGAGCCCCCCTGAGGGAAAAGTTGCTTTGGTGAGAGTAAGGAGGCCATCAGACCTCCTCCAAACAAACCAACTCCACCAACCTCTGGCTCTTACATAACAAACATCATCATCCAGAAATGTAAGGACTCAGGCTTGGTCAAGGTGGTAAAGGGTCTCTTTGTCTCCCTCCATTAGACAGGGGTCTTGTCTTGCTACCCTAATGGTAAAGGAGTGACAGGGAAGGGGTTGTAGGGACATGGTAGGGGTGAAGAATCCAGACCCACTTCTCCAGGCGTATGCTGACAGGGGCCTTCTTTTATTTATTTTTATTTTTATCCCATGATGTTTTTTTAAGTCCTGTAACTTCTTTTTCAGGATGTTTTGAAAAAAAATTTCATAAAACTTTTTTTACTTTTTTTCCACAATTTTTTTGCCACAACTTGTCCACAGTATTTTTTATCCCGTAACTTTTTCATCCCACAACTTTTTTAAATTCCTGTCACTTTTTTAGTTTGTGTTCTTTTAATAAACACACTTACATAGTTACAATTTTGTAAGAATAAAAACCGATTATCTCATGCCAAGCATACCCAGAATTTGCAGAGTCTCAATACCCAATACTATAGTTTTCAAGACACACAAAATTTTTAGGCAAAACAGCACCTTGAAACAATTTAATAATGTATTACATTATAGTAGCATCACAAAAGCAGTCAATAATGCCACTTTAGACAAAAATCAGTATTTCCATTATGCATTCTGTGTATAAGAATTCATAAATCAGTAAAAGTCATTCTAAGAAAACTTGGCAAATACAGCTTTGGACTGGAATTGGCATTTCTTTGTCTACTTTCCTTCCCCTACATTCTTTGTTTTAAACAACAGTATTCATATTTTAAAATGTTTTAAATTATTTTAAGACATTAATATAGCAGTTACATTTTTGAATAGTTATTTGAAAGTGACTGTAAGATAAAGTTTTAGAGAATCTATTATGGATAGGGTTGGCTTACATTTTCACATTTTCTAAAAATCAGCTTTGGTTTTAGAACTGATTGTTTTTCATTTCCGGAAAACCTACCAGGTTTAATCAATTACTTTAAAAATAATTATCATATTTTGCAGTCTTTAAATAGGTGTTTTGATTCTTTACTCCCTGAAGAAATTCAAATTTATTCAGTTGAAGTCACATTTTTAAATTCTATGTTCCTGCTGAACTCTAACCTTCTAATGTTGCCTTCTAAGCAAATTAAAAGCTGCCTTATACTGAATGAGGTAGAGAACAAATACTTGGCTGAATGAGGTACTGCAAAAGACTGCATGCACTTTGAAGAAAGACTTGAGTTATTGTCATAGGATTTCCATTCTCTTTAGCTTTTTCTTAAACATATGACAAAATACCTACACAAAGAGTGGTATTTGAATTAATATAGTATATTTATATTTCAGACTGACATTCAGCTTAAATATGCCAGTATGTGATTTAATCCAGAGGTACCTGATGAACACATTATTGTCAGATTGGTTACAGTTGCTAAATGCTATCTGAAGGTCATTCCTAGTCATTTATGTGTCAGGGTAAAAGTGAAGTGATTTGAACTATAAAAATACCTTTGAAATAATTTATCAATGTATTAGATAAGCTCAGTTTCAGAATGATAAACAAAAACTGTTAGACCAAATAACATGGCTAATTAACAGTGGTATGATTTCTAGCCCGAGGGTTTAAAATGGAGTTAAAGTAAGTGTCTTTAAACTGAACTCAAAGAATGCAAAAGCAGCAAGTTCAGAAAAGGCAAGAACAGGACCTTTAGTCCATTTTAAGCCATAAATATTACAAAAAATATGCCTCTAACTGAAACTGAGAGGTATAAAAACATATTTCACTCTTCATAAAGAACTTTGTGAGGAAATATAACTGATTGTATAGACACTTTCCTCATGACACTTTGACATTCACAAACAGTAGATTGTGCTGCAGTTTGTAAACATTTTAAGTTGCATAAACTGCTCCTTGATTTTCAAATGTAGTATAATACTGTCTACTAAAATTCCTTTTTGTTTCAACTAAGTACTCTCGCTATATTAGTTTATAACAATGTTTGTTATTATTTTTAAAGTGTTCTCCATTCAAGGAAAATAAGTAAATTCCTATGTCAGACGGTTGAACACTAGCTATTAGCCAGAGAGGTCTAGATGGTAAAATCCATCTTCTAGCCTCAAATAAGCTATATGAACATAGAGGAATGCCAGGTGTCACACAGCTTTCCTTCACTCAAATTCATTCTTGACTAGAGCCTGTATGCCTGTTCCAGGGACATTTAAACTCTTAAAGGATTTCTTCTGATCTTTACTAAATACAATAAGGAGAATGCCAACCAGTGCCCTTTTGTGTACTGGGACATGTAGTCATGTGATTAAAACAGGGAACATGAACTCTGACTTTAAAATGTTTGTAGATATAAATGCTCTCAGCTAGAAAAGTTTTTCCACATCCACAGTCATGATGGGAGCCTTTCATTCCTCAGAAATAATCCCTTTTCATGTCGTCAAAAAAGAGTACAACTGCCACAGCTCATGAGGCAGTATCTTCATGAGCCCAGAGCACATACAAATCCTAAGGGAACTACCATAGTACAGTGCTCATTCTTGGCACCGGAACAAATGAAACATATTCTATCCTGCACACACCTACCAGAGCAGGCCACTTTCCTCTTTTGGGAGATTTAAAAACCTCCCCAAAATGTTATTACTCCCATCCCCAATACACAGAAAAAGGGGGAAAAGCTGTTTCCAGTGCTTCACCTTTAAACAACTGTAAATGTCAGTACTCACAGTGGCATATTACAAAGTAATAGACCGTGCACTTGAGGGCAGACCACATATTGAGCTAATGAAGAGCTCACTGTGATTAGGATTTGATCAAACATAACAGCAGAACATAAGGAAATTTTATCTGAATTCCGTAATGAATATACATGCTGTACTAACATTTAAAAAGCATGGCAGCCTATCCCAAACCAGCAAGAAAAGTTGTATGCACATAGTGGGTCTTTGGGTGTTTGAACTCCCACCACATAAGGGCAAACTTGATATGCATGCTAACATCCTATAATTATCAAATTTTAAAAAATGCTAAAGGATGCCAGAGTGAACATGAGTGAAAGACCCACTCTCATTTAACTTTTTACAAATAAATTTAAACTATAAATTAGAAACACAAATAAATTTAAACTATAAATTAGAAACACAAATAAATTTAAACTATAAATTAGAAACACAAATAAACATAAGTGGCTCTAACTTTCAAATGAAGTAAATGAATTGTGTGGGAGACTAACCCCTTAACTTTTTTTTTTTTTTAATTTCTTGACCAGCTCTTAGATGATGGTGATGTTTATCTCCCTGTTCTCGGCAGCCCAAAAAGAATGGCATGCAGCATCTCCTGCTCCTCCTGCAGCCTCTCCTGTACCAACAGCTTCTCCACCCAAGCCTGGGTGCTCCTGGGGAGTCCTGCATTAGAGGAAGGAGCTGCTGGATCTGCTGTGCAGTGGGGTTGTCATGGAGAGAACCCTCCCTGTCCTCTCCTGGTGCAGCCTCCACGCTACCAGTGAGGCTCACCTCACTAAGATCTTCAGAGAGAGGGAGGGGGGTGGGAATCTGAGCACAGTGCCAGCCTCCCCTGCTCCTGCCTGCCCACCCCACCTGAGGGCTCTACTCACCACACTGCTTGTCCGCACACCCAAGCTCCTGTGGGATCAGGGCTCCTAGAGCGGTACACAGGTACTGGTCTTGCTGCTGCCGCAGACTTGGAGCCTCTTGGCTCTTCAGCTTCACCTGCCGGAAGACCCTGGGCATGAGGGCATGTGGTGGCTGGCTTCCAGATTCCTGGCCCATTAATAGGGTAGCAAGGGCACCGTGGGGCTCTGTGGCCTGCCCAGGCCGTGGACCCTTGCTCCAGCCCTAAGAGACTGCCTCCCTTGCCTGGAACCCCATGCCTCCTTCCCCAGCCTCAAATCTCACATCCTTTTTCCCAGCATTTAAACTGTAGACCAAAGACTGATGGAAAAGCAGGGGGAGCCAACCACCATCTGCTAAGTGTGCTACATGCCTAATGTTTCCACGTATTATCTCATTTAATCCTCAGCACCTCTGCAAGGAAAAGGCTAACTTCGTTTTGAAGTTAAAGAAACAGAGACTTAGAGATGCAAAGTAGTTGAATTATGACCAGTGGAACCAAGGCCAGAATCCAGTTTGAATCTAAGGAGTCTTGTTTTTCTGTTTTGTTTTGTTTTGTTTTGTTTTGAGACAGTGTCACTCTGTGTCCCAGGCTGGAGTGCAGTGGTGTGATCTCAGCTCACTGCAACCTTCACCTCCTGGGCTCAAGTGATTCTCGTGTCTCAGCCTCCCGAGTAGCTGGGATTACAGGCATGCGCCACCAGGCCCGGCTAATTATTTTTTTAAAAAAAGTTTTAGTAGAGATGAGGTTTCACCATGTTGGCCACGCTGGTCTCAAACTCCTGACCTCAAGTGATTGTCCTGCCTCAGCCTCCCAAAGTGCTGGGATTACAGGCGTGAGCCACCACACCCAACATAAGGAGCCTCTTATACCACTGCCTCTTCCTCTGTGATTGGGGGGCTCCATGCCTCTAGCTGGGATGATGATGTCCAGACCTGGGAGGAGCCCAGGGCTACCCACCTCTAAAAGTCAGAGGGCCGGAAGCAGAAACAGTCATAGGACTGCACTGGAGGGTGCTGGGGTCACCTGCCCTCAGGCTGCAGCTGCCTCTGGCCTGGCACATCCCCTCCCCAGAGGCTGGTGCCTGCCTCTCACATCTTCTTGGAGGGGTCGGAGATTACCGTCTCTTTCAGCTCACCCGGCTTCTTCAGCTCCTTTACTTGTTCCTCCAACTGCATTGCGCTCTTGTTCTCATTGTTCTGGACAGAGAGAAACAATCAGTGGCCACCCACTAAAACTGGAGACCCCAGAACTTAGTGTCTGCCTCCCATGGCACCAGGAAGGGTGGAGGCAGTTTAGAAAAATCATACCCTGTCTCCCACAGCCATCAGAGCAGGGCTCCGTCTCACAGGTGCCTTTAGAAGTACCACTTCATGTGAAGGCTACAATGCCCCATTTTACAGGTGGGGAAACAAGGGCCTTGAGGGCTAGGGAAGAGGGCAGCCTCCCCAGGTGGGGCAACGCACCAGCTCCTTGAAGCCGCTGTGTGACTCCGCCCTCTGCTCATAGAGGGCTTCCCAACCCAGCTCCAGCATCCTCTCCAGCACCCACATCCTCTCCAGCTCCCACAGAGTCTCCTGCTGCCACAGTCTCTCATCCTGCTCCCAAAGCCTCTCCTGTTCCAGCAGCTCCTCCACCTTGTCCAGCAGCCTCTCCCTCTCCAGCAGCCTCTCCTGCTCCTCTTGCCACCTCTCCTGTTCTAACAGCTTCGCCACCTCTTCCAGCAGCCTCTCCTACCCTGGCAGCTTTTCCTGTTCACACAGCCTCTCCTCCTATTCACATAGCCTCTCCTCCTGTTCACATAGCCTCTCCTTCTGTTCATGTAGCCTCTCCTCCTGTTCACGTAGCCTCTCCTCCTGTTCACGTAGCCTCTCCTTCTGTCTCCTGTTCAGGAGACTCAACATCTGATTGTTTTCCACCTCAGCCTGGAGCTGTCTTCCCACACTCTCCAGCTCCTTCCTTAGGTGGTTGGTCTCATCTTGTAGCTGCTCCACCTCAGAGGGCCCTGCTGGGGGCTCTGGGGCCAGGGGTTCAGCTGAGAAAGGAAGCAGACAATAAGGGCCTCTGGACTCTCAAAAAAAAAAAACAAAAAAAAAACCTCCCTTTGTTGGACAGCTCCTCCTCTCAGGCTTCCCAAACTTGGCCTCACTGCTAATGACTCCTCACACCCGGATGACAGCTAATCTTCCAAGTCACTTTCACATAGAGAGCACTGTGGGTGGCTGACAATGGGCATTCCTCCCTCTTTACTGATGCGGACACTGAGGCTCATGGAGATGACAAGACTTGCTGTCTCCTGGCACAGACCTCTTTCCCTCTGCCTCAAAGCCCTTCCATCCACCCACCTCCCTGGGGCATTCTAAGTCACCCCCACAGCCCTCTGATGCCAGTCCTCCTCCCAGGTCATGCCAGCCCCATCTTACCCATCTGGTTTTGGTAAACCCAAGCTTCTGTACTCGATGTATCTCATGCTTCTTCTCCTCCTTCGATGTGCGAACGTGCCCAAAGCACAGGGAGGAGAGGGCCCTGGAGAGAGGGGCTGCTGAACCTGTAGAGACAGAGTTTGAGAAAGTCCCACCTCCCTTCTGCCAGCTTGTGATTTAGAAAGGTGCATTCATTCAACACTTACTGAGCATGTACAGGCCAGGAACAGATCTTCATAGCAGAGATATAAGAGAGCAAAGAACAGACAGGAGCCCTTGGCCCTGAGGTTTCCATTCTAAGGGCCTTTAAATCTCTTTCAGAGCTAACAGTGACCTTTGATACTCTCTACCTCCTCCAGAAACACGAGCCTAAGGAGGAGAGATGGCTTGTCCAGACTCAAAAAGCAAATTAGGGACTGAGGCAGGGCAGAAATATGGGCCCCTGACAACCAGTCAGGCTAGTGCTTCCCTGAGAGGTGACAAACCCAGGGCATGTGTGGCAACAACTAGAGCAGGGGTGTCTGGAGAAGAGAGAGTCAGCAAAGAGGGCAGTGGAGAAGAGCCACGCTGCATGTTCTGTGCTCTGGGGTCCCTCCAGGTGAGGCCTGGGTGCCCCAGCTCCCCACTGGTCCTGGCATCAGGGGCCCCTAGCCCCTTTCTTCAGGGCCCCAAGAGGAAACTGGAGTCCAGGATTGACCAGCTGGAATCAGGGGACCCCACTGGACTCTTACCAGTGAATTGATGTTTTCACTGAGTTGACTGATTATTGCGGAGCTTGAATCCAGGGCTACTGCTAGTTCTTGGTACTGGCTCTGAGGTGCATGCAGAGAGGAGGAGTTGGAGGAAGATTGTGGGGAGGGGTAGAGAAAACAATCATTAGGGCTGGTGGGGGCGTGTAGGCTGTCTCAGCTGGCAGAGGGGCAACAAGCCCCTGCTGTGGGAGGAGGTTGGAGGGCTGGCCTGCAGGGTCACTGCACCTCAGCCCAGGGCCTCTTACCTCCAGATCCTCCAGGGTAGCAGATGATGCAGGGCCCTCCCTGTAGATACCTGCTGCTGACTGCAAGAGATGAGAGTGCATATGGAGATGTTCTGTCCCCCCTCACTGTCTAAGCCCTCTGACTTCCTTTCTTCCCCCATCAACTGGCAAAAGCTTCTTTTCTGCCTATCTTGGACCCTTTGTCCCATAACTCCTTTGTGCCAACTTCTGTCATGGTTCTTATCTCCCCACCATCCCACCGTGGGGCCCTTTCAGTGACTCCTAAAGGGACAGCCTGATGGCAAGTGGCTCTTCTCATTAGCCTGGCTTCCTCTTGAGACTGAGGATGAGGAAAATCAAACAGCAATGACCATTTTCTGGGTGTCCTGGGTGTTTTCAGCAGGCCATATACTAAGGATTCACATAAAAGCAACAATAATAAATCTGATTTAAATTTAACAAATGGAAGTCAAAAAATACCACCTCTATTATACAGATGTGAAAAGAGAGGCCCAAAGACCTCAAGCAACTTACCCTAAATCATATGCTAATCAATCCCTAATCAATCCTTAGCAGATGGAGAGGCAGGATTCAAACCCAGAATTCTTAACCAGTACCCAACAGTCCATCCACAATCTTAAAAATTACCCTCTACTGCCCCTTGGGCCCCCTGTCCCCAGGAGCCTGGCCCGCCAAGACTCACATCCCCAGGTGAGTGGTAACCACCAGAAGTGGCTGTGTCAGGGCTACTGCCATTGATTTTCTTTTTCCTGTTAGCTCCTTCTGGAATGCCAGGGCTCTTCCTCTGCCAATATTCTTTTAACTGTGGGAAAAAAAGAGCAGTAACACTCATGAGAATGATCAGCCCCTACAGCCACATCCTCCTTTACAGTTTTGACAAAATACTCTTATATACCATCTGGTTTAATGCCACCAACAATTGGACAAGGTGTTGTCACAGTCATTTAGTGATTGAGAGGGATTGATATCATGGATAGAAAAAAAAATGTCAAAACTGGAACTGAAACTCAGTCCTCTGACTCCAAGCTCTGGAGTTTTCCATGAATCAGCAGCTGCCAGGGACCAAAACAAGGGGTAGAGGTAGAAAAGTAAACATTAAGCAGGCAGGAACTGTAGGCCGTGTGGTTTAGAGTCATACATCCTCACAGGTCTGCTAGCGTGAAAAAGCACACCAGTACCTCCCACACTTTCATATCAATGTGTCTTCATGGCAGAAGGCAGCTTTTCTGTTAAATCTGGGAATTTATCAGAAAGAGGACAACCCAAGCCTCATTTCAGAGAGAAGTCTGGTATACACTTGGAAACCTATGTGTCTGTCATCCCTAAGTACATTAATGTTTTTTCTCAAGAGAATCAAGGGAAAATGATGCTTCAGAAAGATGTCCCACATTTATCCTGTGGCACTCAAAGTACCCTAGGTTGAGATGATATGAGGAAGATTCAAGCTGTCAAGTTCAGTTTCCCAAGATCTATTCCACAGAAGATGAGCAAATCTCACTTCAGAGACCACTGACTGAAGGTCAGTCTGGTCCCAGAACCATGGAGAACTCAGAAAATATGTTAAAGTCTCTCTGGAAGGTATAAGCCTGGGAGAAAACCAAACCAAACCCATTCTCCCATTGCTGCCCAGAGATACTGTCAATGTTTTGAGCTCACAGGAAGTGTAAGCTTTTCACACTGTGAATTAGACATTGTTCACGGTGTAAAGCAGCCTGAAACTTCTTGCTCATAAGTCCCATAGTCCCCACTCCCCTTCCAGCTGGAAATTTGTGCTGCAACCAGAGGAACCAGAAATGGGGTGAGAAAACTTAGGGGACTGGGTTGTAAAATCAAAGGCCGGTCTTGCAGCAGTAATGACAGTTCCTCGTGGGACTGTGACATCACTACATTCCACTCCTCCCAGGGGAGGGGACCACATCGGCTTGATGCCCAAGTTGCCGCTCCATGATGGGGGAGGGAAACACAGGGTTTTGACCCAGGTCCTCGGAGATGCCAGTCCAAGAAGCCCAGGGAGGTCGAGCTTGGGGCAGCAAGAGGGGAGGGCCGAGTCTGCAGTAGGGAGCCCCGGGAGTCAAAAAAGTCACCCAGGTATGACTGGCCAGGGCGGGGCCCGGGGCTGGGGGACCCAGCTCCTGGGAGACACAAGCCCAAAGAGCCCAGGGAGGTTGGGCTTGGGGTGGCAGGAGGTGAGGTCCGAGTATGGAGCAGGGAGCCCCAGGAGTCACCCTCCCAAAGTCACCCTGTGGTGACTGGCAAGGGCAAGGACTGAGTGGCTTGCTGAAGGGGTGGGGCTGACTGACAAGACTTTGGTTGGGGGAGCCCAGAGGCGCTGGTGTTGGGGGGCCTAGTCTGGTATGCCTCAGGAGTGGTATGGACTCTGCCACCGGTCTTGTCATCGGAGGGGATCTGTGGCTGGGTTGGGGGCCATGACCTGGTGCGTTTTACCTTTTTCTTGGCTGCAGCCAATTTCCCCTGTTGTGTGTTTTCTGACATCGTGGGGTGGGGAGGGAGGCGGGGTTGGGGCCACATCAGCAAAATCCCAGTGAGCACTGCTGAATGCCTCCAGTCACCTACAAGGCAGCTGTGCGACTGAACCACAGGTGGTGTAACCAGGGCACCAATGTAACACAGAATAGGGGCTTGGCCTTAATGCTCCAAGCCCATTGGTCAGTGAGAAAGATGAAAGGGAAAGGAGGCGTGTCCAGGCAGCAGCATGTCCAGAGGGACCTGTGGCATCATAAGGAAAGCTGGCCATGCAACTGCTGTCCCCGCCCACTAAGAGAGAGGGGAGGGGCCGCCCAATCTGGGAGAGGGGAGGGGCTGGCTTTTGCTTTAAAAGCTTTAAAACTGTAAAAAATAAACTTTAAAAAATATATGTGTGTATACTTTATATATGTGTGTCTGTGTGTATCTATGTGTTCCTCCAGAGCTGTCTTCATTATCCAGCTTCTATGCAAAGTCTATGATTTTGGCCTATATTTTTCATCTTCAAATGGAACACAAGAATTACCAGTATTACCTTAACTGAAATATAGATCCTATATAAATGGAAAATCCATAGAATTCTTGATGATTAATGAAGCCAACTATAGTATCCGACATTCCAATAACAGAAAATAATCACAATGATTTCTCTTTTTTGGAAAAATGTTTGTCTTATTCTCCTACATTATTGTTAAGATTTCTTTTAAAAACAAGAAACATGTCTAATATCTTTAAAAACACAAAGCTTTTGGGCCGGGTGTGGTGGCTCACCCCTGTAATGCCATCACTTTGGGAGGCCGAGGTGGGTGGATCGCCTGAGGTCAGGAGTTCAAGACCAGCCTGGCCAACATGAAGAAACCCTATCTCTACTAAAAATACAAAAACTAGCCAGGTGTGGTGGTGGGTGCCTGTAATCCCAGCTATTTGGGAGGCTGAGGCAGGAGAATCACTTGAACCCAGGAGATGGAGGTTGCAGTGAGCCAAGCTCACGCCACTGCACTCCAGCCTGGGCGACAGAGCAAAACTCCATCTCAAAATAAATAAAATAAAATAAAATAAGATACAAAATAAGTAGGAACACAAAACTTCCAATTTAATAAGCACTTAAAGCTCTTTACTGGTTTAAAACAAATACAAGGCCCATTTTTCTAGAATCACCTGGCCTCTCTAAGCCTTGCAAATGAAACTGAATTTCTCACTTGATACCTGGCTATGACTTGCAATCATGAAAACCAAGAATTGTGTTATGTCACTGTGTATTGCTTGTTACCTGAAATCCACACTAGGCTGGGATCAAGGGTTGAATCTTTCATGATTTTCTCCATAACCTGTGTGCTTCTTATCCCAGACCAAACTAAGCTTTTTTCTAGAGTTCTACAATTTACACTTAATAGACAAGAGTGGTTCTCAAAATGTAGTCTATGGACTAGCAGCACCAGCAGCACCTGAGACCTTTTTATAAGTGCAAATTCTCAGGCCCCACCCTGGACCTGGTGAATCAGAAACTCTGGAGTAGGGTTCAGCAATCTGTGCTGCAGTAATCCCTCCAGGTGTTCAAGAACCTCTGGCATACAGCAGTTAGTAAAATGTGTTTACTTCTGTAGGTCCAAAGCCAGGGTTGCCATATGGTCTGCCTTGTTATGAAACAATGACATGCAATTAAAAGACAAGAATCTCCTTCCTACTCGCACCCTCCATCCAATGTGTTTTATTTTTATGAGTTCCATAAGAAAAACAAGTGGCAATCAGAGATTTAGTCTAAAAAGTATGTTTACAAGTGTCCGTTCTCATCCAGCCTGATCGCCTACAAAACCATTTACATCCTCTTACATCTCAAGTTTTAAAAAAGTATCTTCACAATGTAAGACTCAAGCACACTAGCAGTTCTATAATAAAACACCAAGTAGATCAGAATGTCCAACCTTACTAGAGAAGAAAAGTGCAATCATTGGCCATATTTTCAAATTGCATTCAACAGGAAATTTAAGTTTTGAATTTTTTTCACCTTCATACTTCCAAAGTAATAGAATTAAAGCAGAATATGCCATTCTTTCAAATACTCTAGCCAGGCAAAGTTTTACTGTATTATTTCTTGCTTTCAATGGATATAAAGCAGATTCCTGGTAGGCACATTCTGTGTACCTTCAAAGATGCAGAACTAAACAGTTCCATCTGTTCAATATTAAACCAAAAGTCCTGTAGACCGCGGATGGTGAGTGTAATACTTCAGCACTAGCCCAAAGCCTCAAATATGAAAACATACCAAGAACACCACTACCAAACAAAACTAAACTCTCTGTCAGGAGCAGTAGCTGACACCTGTAATCCCAGCACTTTGGCAAGCTGAGGTGGGAGGATTACTTGAAGTCAGGAGTTCAAGACTAGCCTGGGCAGCATAGAGAATTCACATCTCCACAAAAATTTTTAAACATTAGCTGGGTGTGGTGGCACACAGCTGTAGTCCTAGCTACTTGGCAGGCTGAGGTGGGAAAATTGCTTGAGGCGAGGAGTTCAAGGCTGCAGTAGCTATGATTATGGCACTGCACTCCAGTCTGGGTGACAGAGCGAGACTTAGATAATTACATTTTCTCCTGCTCCTGTTTACACTAAAATCACGAAGTTAAAAGGCTTTCAAATTTGGCAGGATAAAAATTAAGTGAAATGTGACTTTGGAGCTTGGCTAATGAAAGAAAGAAAGAAAGAAAGGAAAGAAGGAGGGAGGGAGGGAACAAAGAGAAAGAAAGGAAAGGAAGAAAGAGAGAGAGGGAAAGAAGAAAGAAAAAGAGAGAGAAAGAAAAAGAGAAAAAGAAAGAGGAAAGAAAGAGAGGGAGGGAGGGAAAAGAAAAGAACGTAAGAATGGAAAGCAAGAAAGAAAAGGAAAGCAAGGAAGGAAGAAGAAGAAGAAAGAACGAAACAAGGAAAAGAAAGAAAAAGAGAAAGAAAGAAAGGGAAAGGAAAGGAAAAAGAAAAGAAGAAAAAATGAAATGACAAATTACTTACTGGGAGAAAGTTTTTGTAACCTCAATGACAGATAAAATGCTTGCATCCTTAGTCTATAAAGAAATCTTTAAAATTACTGAGAAAAAAAACAAATGATTTTCAACTGAAATGGTTAATGGAGAAACTGGCATGTCTCACAAGAATAAAAATGGCCAATGGCATATACAAAGATTCAAAAGCACAAGAAATCAAAGAAATGTCATGAAAACAATGAGATTTTCTGTATAAAGGCAGGAAAGATGACAAATGGAAAGGGGAACCTGGAGCTCTGTCCTTGTTGGTGGGAGTGTAACCTGAGTCACTTTTCCTGGAGAATGATTTGAAAGTTTCTATTAAAAACCCTAAAAATTATTTTCCTCCAGAAATTCTACTTCTATGAATTTAGTCCAAAAATGTTTGCTCAAGCCCATTAAAATGTATGTATAAGAAAATTCACCGGCCGGGCGCGGTGGCTCACACCTGTAATCCCAGCACTTTGGGAGGCCGAGGCGGGCGGATCACGAGGTCAGGAGATCGAGACCATCCCGGCTAACACGGTGAAACCCCGTCTCTACTAAAAATACAAAAAATTAGCCGGGCGTAGTGGCGGGCGCCTGTAGTCCCAGCTACTTGGGAGGCTGAGGCAGGAGAATGGCATGAACCCGGGAGGCGGAGCTTGCAGTGAGCCGAGATCCCGCCACTGCACTCCAGCCTGGGCGACAGAGCGAGACTCCGTCTCAAAAAAAAAAAAAAAAAAAAAAAAAAAGAAAGAAAATTCACCTCTGGGGTGGCAGTGATTAACTTAATATACATGCAGCTATTAAAAATGATGGTGCCAGGATACATTTACTGCCACAGAAATATGCCCAAAATATAGTAAGTGACAAAAGACTACATATTACGATTCTACTTTTTAAAAGGTTTATGTGCATAAAAACATATAAAAAGCAACAAGCCACAATGTTTTGAGTGGCAAATTAAAGATTTTTCTTAATATTTGTCATCCAAATTATTACAAAAAGAATGATTTCCTTTATAATGAGGGAGAATTGTGATTTTCATTTATTTATATTTAAATCTCTTTTCTTTTTCTGATTTTTTTTTCTCCTGTATGTATCCCATGTAGGCTAGAATCCCTGCCTCTTGAGGTAAATCAGCCCATTTTCGGGAAGTGCGCTACAGAAAGCTGCCCTAGCTTCCTTTTAAGAGATGTGGAGACATTTTTTATTTCAAATTGTTTTATCATTCTCAGATTATTTTGTTTAATATATGAAATTGAGGAAAAGACAAAGGAAAGGCTGACTCCCTACCCTCCTGGGGCTACTCTTCCAATTTTTGCTGCTATTGTTTATATTAATATTCACTAGGTACTAAAAAATGGGCAGCCCCTTAGATCATTTGTTCTTATCTCTTTCTCATAATCCTACTTCATTCCTTCATTCACTTATTTTTAAAAGGGTCATGTGTACAAACACATGGTTCAGAAAATTTTTAAATATAACTACCTATAAAAGTATGTGGCCAAATCCCATTCACAGTCTTATTCTCCTTCTACAGCCAAACACTTTTAATTGGTTTCTTATATATCATTTCAGAATTTATCTTTGCAAATACACACGTATATTCTTATTCTACTCTTCTCTCTCAACACAAAAAGTAGCATACCATACATACTATACCATTCCTTGTTCCTCTTAAAACACACACAATATATGTGAGTTCTTCTACATGAGTACAGAGGTCTTTGTCATTCTTCTTTACAACCGCACAGTATTCATCGTTTGGATGTACCACAGTTTACTTAACCAGTTCCCTGTTGGTGGACACTGAAGTCATCCCTATCATACTATTACAAACAATAATGCCAAGCATAACCACCCACACACTAAGTTCATTTCTGAATCTGCCTTTGATGAAGCCTCTATTTGAATCACCACAAAGTCACAAGGCTGAAAAGTTAGCCAATTTTTTAGTTTTCATTATGTGCAGCAGTATGTAGCAAAAGACTCCCTTGGGCAAAGCAAATGTGCTCTTTGGGGATTTACTGCATAACAATAAATGGATTAACACCAAGGAGAAATATTTCTATTTAACCATGCATACGTATGTATATAATGCATGCATATGCATAGATAGTATACAATAAATCCATCAAAGCATTAAGCATTGTCTCAGTATGGTGGATCTATGGAGTGCTTTGTAGACAGCCCTCCTTGCCTATCAATTCTTCCTAGTTTCAAAACAGTGAATATGTACTATTTTTGCAATATAAAATTTCAACAAATGTTAACTCAAGCCAGATACATTCCTTCAGTCTGTCCTATATTTGTATGGTGCTCCAGAGTGCTCAAATATCATGTCATTTAAAAAATTTATTTATTTTTTTTTCAAATATAGAAACAGGCAGGGCTTTGCTCTGTTGACCAGGCTGGTCTTGAACTCCTAGATCCTCCTAGATCCTCCCACTTCCACCTCCCAAAGTGCCGCTATTACAAGTGGGAGCCATCCGGCCCGGCTGGCTTCATTTGAGAAATATTTCCCCAGAACTCCATATATTATGAATAATTCCTTTCTTCTTGTTTAGATACCATCTTAGTCATATCTCTATTACCTCACTTGTCACATGATAATCAGTTGCTCACCCATCCATCTTCCTTGATTGCTCGAGAAGAGTCTGATTTTCAGCACCTTGAACAGTGTGCAATACATACATGCTTCATACGCAGAGAAGGAAATGATATCACTACAGTGTAATTATTCCCAGAATTCAATGCCCGTATTTGTAGATTGTTCCAGATACTCTGCCAACAACCTGAGAATGTTACGTGTTTTCCCTAAAACTTCCATCCATTACTGAGTGTCTACGGTCATAGTTAACTCAGTTGCGATGTGACCTCTGGCCAAGCCCATTCATAGTTTGTATTTAAGGTGATTTTTAATCTGAATTTTTGATTTTGATAGTTTCCTTTTTGTTTTTTTAATCTAGCAGTGTTTGGTAAACTTCTACATCTCTATATCCCTATGTCTTTGCACCTACTGGTCTCTGCTTGGAATAATAGCTCAAGGTTTTATTCACCTGGAAAAAATTTCTACTTACCCTTAAAGAATCAGCTTAAATAAGCTGGGCATGGTGGCTCATGCCTGTAATCCCAGCACTTTGGGAGGCCAAGGTGGGTGGATCACCTCAGATCAGTAGTTTGAGACTAGCCTGGCCAACATGGTGAAACCTCATCTTTACTAAAAATACAAAAAATAGCTGGGTGTGGTGGTGGATGCCTGTAATCCCAGCTACTCAGGAGACTGAGGCAGAAGAATCACTTGCAACTGGCAAGCAGAGGTTGCAGTGAGCTGAGATCACGCCATTGCACTCCATCTTGGGTGAGAGAGCAAGACTTCATCTCAAAAACAAAAACAAAATCAGCTTAAATGATACTGTCTCTGAGAAGCCTTTATATCTTCCTATTCTTTCAGTAACAGTTGAAAATTCCTCAACTCTTAAAACATTTGTGCCTCTATTATTATGTATCAGGCACGGAACTGAGTGTCTAGGATAGAAAGATGAAACTGTAGACCCTGCCCTCATGGAGTTCATGGTCTAGTATGGAAAACAGCCATATGAACAAATAACCACACTGTAGGTCTTCAGAGCTCAAACCCTATCCTAAATACTGCTAAATTAATATTCTGTGAGGTTTTGAAATTACTAGGGCCAGAGACAATATCGCTGTTTGGATGACTTTCCATCCAAGTTAATATTCCGCCATCATCATCAAAGGTGATATGTGTGTACCTCTTCCTTGCAACCCACCAGGGCCTAACACATCATATACCCACTTTTGAAATTAGGAAACAGCCTCAGAAGTCCAAGAGCTTGACCAAAGTAACTCAGCTGTTAGGTAGCAGAACCAGGTCGGTATGATTCTTCTTCAATATCCTCCAAGTTATATGGGCAAGTGGCCTCAAAATCAACAAAAGACAAGTAGAGGTTGATATGCATCAATGGAGAGAGGCTCAAAAGGAAGAGTTTATACACAAGAATAGAACAGAAATGTTCTAGAAGTATGTCTGGGGATGTGAAGTAGGAGGGGGCACACCAGGTTTCACCTTGGTCAAGTGAATCTATAATTCCAACCTGGGCCTCACCCCTGAGCTCCAGACTTAGCTATCTGTTTTTCTCACTCTAATATAAAATCCATAGGGCAGGACTTAATCTCTAGGTTGTTCATCACAAATTAAAGCAGAGTCTGGTTTATAGTAAGTACTTAATAAATAAATAAACAAACTATCAAAGAAGCTAAAGAAACATTCTACACTCTTGGGGGAAGGGATTACCATGAAATGCCATCTGTCCTTTTTCTTCTTTTCAGTATTTGGGGTGTTCTTCATTGAAAAAGATTAGCTTCTTCAATTAGCTCCCTTCTCTTCCAGATAGGAAGAGAGAGGGAGAGGGAGAGAGAGAGGAATAGAGAGAAGTTTCATATTTTAACTATGGTTCAATTCTAAGCATTCTAAAATTGTATTGAGTTTTTTAAACCACGAATTACAAGGGTGTTTAATTTCCAAATTCATGTAGCTTTTTTTTAATCTCTTCATTATTGCCTTCTAACCTTAATTGCTTCATATTTAAATTATAAATTATATGGTGTGGATGGTACCAATTGTTTTTTAAATCTTCTGACTTGCTTTATGAATTAATATATAATTAATGTTTCACCCACAGTCCACATATGCTTGAGAAGAATATACAATATCTAATTATTGGGTACAAAGGTCTATATTTGTCCATTACACCATGTCCATTCACTGGTTATTCAAATCTACATATGGGCATTCCGTGTAACTTACTTATGGTAAGCAGGGTATGGTGAAATCTCCAAATATGCTGGCAGACTTGTCAATTTCTACCTGTGGTTTTATCAGTTTTTCTCCTGCATTTTGAGGCTATTTTGACAGGTACATAAAATATGAAAATTGCTACATCCTCCTAATTAACAGTCAGCATCAAGTTTCTTAATAACGCTTTCTGTTCCAAAATCCTTTTTTGATATTGAAGCTCCATCACTTGTTTTTGGTTAATGTATACTGCCATATCTTTATCACTCTCTCTCCTTTATAAAAACTTTCAATCTTCTCATATCCTTATATTTTAAATATGATGGATTAAAACAGCTGGATATTCTTTTATTAGTTCCACCTAACTGGTAACTTTAGTCCATTTACATTTGTTGTGACTGATTTATGTGGACTTCCTTCTATCACCTTTAGAATTTCTATTTCTCTCACTTTCTAATATAATTTTAATATTCCCTCCTGGGATTCCACTAAGACATATTTTAGACCTCATTCTGATCTCCCTCCCCCTACAACCCCACCAACTTCTGCCCTATCATCTATCCTCATGTCTTTCTGTGTAACATACTGACTCACTTTTGGGAGATAATTGTCTAACCAATTAATTCTTTCTTCTGATGTCTAATCCATCCACTGAGGTTTTTATTTCAACAATTACATTTTTTATTTCTTTATTTCATTTTATTCTGAGACGGAGTCTCACTCTGTCACCCAGGCTGGACTGCAGTGGCATGCACGTGCAGCCCTTGTCTCCTGAGCTCAAGTGATCCTCCTCAGCCTCCTGACTAGCTAGGACTATAGACATGTGCCCCATACCCAGCTACTTTTTTTTTTTTTTTTTTTTTTTGGTGGTGTTGGGGTATTTTTTACAGAAACGAGTTCTCACCATGTTGCCCAGGCTTGTCTCCCCAACTCCTGGGCTCATACCATCCTCCCACCTCAGCCTCCCAAACAGTGCTGGGATTACAGGTGTGAGCCACCAGATCCAGCTATATATTTTATTTCTGTAAGTTCTAGTTCATCCATTTTCTTTTCAGGTCCTCCTCATCATTCCTGGTGGTCTTTCTGTTGCTCAATTTAATGAGTCCTTCTTTTATATTAGGTTTCACATGTAACTATTTTCTCACAATTCTAATATTTGAAGTCTGTGTTCTGTATCTGATAATTCCAAAACCTAGTCTTTGGGAAACATATTCATTGTTTCTAGCAATTCTCAAATATGTTGTGTTGAGACTACTTGAATGCTGTGATTTGACTGAATTCATATTTGCCTGCTTTTAATCTTTGGGAATCCTACAGGCTTAAGTTAGAGATGTTTTCCTATAAAAAGTATCTGTGTCTGCTTCTGATGAGAGCTGTGGGTACAACTAACATGAGAGCACTTTACCACCATGCATAATCCTGACATTCTCTTGGATTATCTTGGAGCATCTCAGCATTACACAAGGTTCTCAAATCTGGCTCCCCACCATTGCTCATTTATATACAGAAGACTAGACTGCTTAGTATAGGTGGTGACTCACTTCTTGCTACCCTGGAAAAAACAAAACGGATCTCTCATCTGAATGTGATCACAGACTAGGAAATTCTGAAGGTGAATAACTAGAGGCTGTGGGCAGCAGGGAAAGACAGGTGTCTTTCCTGACCATAGAAATAGGTCAGAAGCTGCCCTAAAGGCTGTGTGCTACAGCATTTCACTATTTAGCTCAACTACCATTCCCTCCATAAGTGTGAGTGGAAGTTTCTTGGAGCACCATATTGCCTTTAAACGAAACCAAATTTTTGCTCAAAAGTCATGGTCATGGAAAACAAAACAAAACAAAACAAAAAACCCTCTGGCTTTGGAAGGCTTTCTCAGTAATGTCCTGGAATTAAGGTTACAGGCTGCATTTCATGTTAACTGAACAGAAAACCAGCCTCCAACATCCTTCTGCCCCATGGCTTGCTCTCAGCTCCTCTTGGTTGGGCCTAGGGCAGTCAGACTGTCTGGTTCCAATCCTTGTTCTGCCACCTGTGACCTTGGACAAGTTACCTACTTCCAGTTGCCTCATCCATAAAATGCAGATATTATTAATACCCTCTTTTAAAGAGGTATTCAATCCTTATTAAGAGGATTGAAAGAGCTAATAAAAAGACTTGGTAAGCATAGGCACAGAGGGAAAGAAAAAAAGTAAAAATAAATAAATAAAAAGACTAGTGTCTAGCACATAAAAGTTCATCAGGAATTAATTCTATAACATGAACTCAATTTTGCAAAACTTCAAAGTACATATAACTTTTACTAGGGTATACATAACAATAATAAATTTACAACTGTAGACATGTTTCTCTACAGTAAATAAAGACTAAACAATCAGATACTAAATCATTAAGTGATTATCAGTTAGTAAATTTAATTTTCTTAAACTTCTATATTTTCTATAGATCATCTTTGTAAGAGAAAAAAACCAAATGAAAATGAAATGAATTCTCTCAAAAAGAATTAAGACAGGAAGAAGACTCACAAAGTAACACAAAATATATCTTATGGTTTATGTAAAATTCTTAATAAAAGTACCTTCTTTGCTCCAAGCTGCACTCTGGCTTTGCCTTTGTCTCAGGTGTGTTTTATTTGTATGATGGCTAATTCTATCGAGTAGGCACTGCTTCAGCTCTACAGGAAGAACAAAACATCTTTAGAACACAGCAGCGTTCCTGGTTCCCACTTGAGAAGGCCTAACCAAATGGCATATAACTTAACAGTAGCAGACCAGTGTTAAAAAGTCTGGAGTCAAAGGGAAAAGGTAAAATTGGAACGTTTCCAGAATCTCACAAAAAAACAACAAACCAATGTTCTAAGTGCCCAACATGAACAAATTAGAACCTTAAATAAAGGTCACTGTTAATGCCTATCCTAGCATAAATTCAGCACCAAGTACAATGTTATTTTACTGGTTTGCCTTTTTCATTCTTTTTTTTTTTTTTTTTTTTTTTTTTTTTTGAGATGGAGTCTCGCTCTGTCACCCAGGCTGGAGTGCGGTGGCACCATCTCAGCTCACTGCAAGCTCTGCCTCCCAGGTTCACACCATTCTCCTGCCTCAGCCTCCCGAGTACCTGGGACTAAAGTCACCCGCCATCACGCCCGGCTATTTTTTTTGTATTTTTTAGTAGAGACGGGGTTTCACCGTGTTAGCCAGGATAGTCTCAATCTCCTGACCTCGTGATCCACCTGCCTCAGCCTCCCAAACTGCTGGGATACCTTTTTCATTCTTGAAAGTAGAAGCTATGAAAAAAAAAAAAACACTAAAATGTCTTTAAGAGAACAGTCTACTTACGATCTAACTTACATAATCAAAACACTCAATTGAGGGTGAAAATTGAGTATAATAATAAAATAATCACCAATTTTGTGAGAGGTTCCATACATAATGCTCCTCCACCCAATACATACCTTAAAAAGAAAAAAGGAAACATACAAAATTATCTTGAGAAGTATTCCTGCTTAAACAATTTCCATGTGGCATTATTAAGAAAGTATGCACACAGTAAAGACAAGAAGAGAACACGTAAGCATGAACATACTTGTTAGGCATATAGGACTATAAGTAATTTAAAAATTCTAATGGTATTACTCTTATGTAATTGCTCTGAAATTCTAGTCAATTGTTTGAAATGGCAATCAGAACAGAATACTTTGAAATTTTTATGATGTCAAAAACTAAAAACGTGGCCCTAAATATTCCAAAGAATCAGAGCAGAAGAACCCATTTCCTTAAATGGCATTTGAGTGTTCTTTACAATGGAAACTTTCTCTCTCAACCTGTGATGGCCAGGAGTTTTTCCTCTGACAATAGCACTGATCTTACCCTATTCAAAATATGAACATCTGCAAGGTTTCATGGTTAAAATTGTTCTTATCCATTCTGTTGTGAGAATCGAATGGTTCACACCATGCGGCTCCTCTCTGGGACTCCTCAAGTCCTTTCTAGGTCTGAAGACTGTTCTCTGAACCAAAGACAACTTCTGGGGATGTACCAAATCTCCCATTAGAAAATTATTTAGATCAAGATGTTTTAACCTTTTAATTCTTTCTCAAACAAAATAATTTCATTTCTCCTTTAATGTTATTTTAAATTTCAAAATACACAGATAGCATACCTAAAGTAAAATCAAGGGAATGATAGTTTTAGAACAAAAACTGTGGTAATTTTGAAAACACAAAAGCTAAGACCACTGATTAGATCTATGTGGACACCAAGTCCACCACAAATGGTTCTGTCCTCCGGGGCTCTGCCCACACCTTTCCCTTGCTTGAGATTCCTTCTGCTTCCTACCCTTCCAAATGCTGTATTTCCCCCCAGAAGACTTGCCAAGACCACTCTAGCCTGCGCATCTTCTGTTCCAGCTAACCAAAGGCATCCTTGCATTGACTAAACCAAATTATTTTGCAGAGAAGGCATCTAAAAACTTCTACTGTAGACCATTCACCTTAATAATTGTTATCATGACATTATTCAATAATAAAATGAGGGAAAGAAGTCCTCTTTAACTCCCTTGCCCTAGAGAATCCAAGCAAGTGGCTTTCCCACTTGCTTTGCTCAAACCCTGGGAGCTTTCAAAGTGAAAGTTTAATGGAAGGAAAAGAAAATCTAAAAGAAAAACTCTCCGAAAAATTAAACTCAGGTAAAGAATCATGGGATTACAAATTTTTATTCTTTGTGTATCTGATTTCTGAAACATTTGAAATCTCTCTCTCACTCCTTAAATCTGCCACTGGGCTAAGAGAGTATTGTATATAATGTGCACTCATTGATTTAACAGAATTAGAACATCCAGGCACTCACTCAGATTTTGGTTCCACAACTGCTCAAAGTCTAGTCATTTAGTTAATGAGTTAACACCACACTTGATCTTCAAATTTTGGAGATGCTGATGGTAGACAGGAACTTGTTTTGGGAAAAGGAAGTATATGGTAGACATTGTCACCCATTATCCAACCAACACCACCTTTCCTTTAAAGTACCCCACTCTTCCTTTAAGGTTGCAGAGTCTCAGAAAGTAGGAAGAAAGGAAGTTTTTGCATTTTCAGGTCAAAAGACAGTACATTTGTACAACTGCATAATACCTATGCAAATGTTTGTTGAAATCTAAACAGAAGACAGAAGTAGTTCTAGTACCTTCACTACATAAGTAAGATAAGTAAACTTTTCTTTAATATACACTTTCAGCAGCACTGACACATAAAAGTGGTCAACTCTACTACTGTATTAAATGGCATTCATTTCATCAATATGTGTTCCAAATTCTTACTGCTCTTTGTCTCCAAAGGGTTCCTACTGAATATTGAGACAGTTCAAGAATACTAGGGAAAAAAATTCTAATAATTGAAGTAACGGTCATCTAAGGATAATATGCCACATATACAGACATAGTAATATTTTCAACTTAAAAAAATTCAGTTATCAAAGCTGTACAGCAAACACTATCCTAAGCTTTGCCTCTTCAGGCATTTGCTTTATAATCACTTCAAAGAAAAGTCAGTCACAAAATGCCACATTTTGTATGATTCTATTTATATGAAATGTCCAGGATAGGCAAATCTACAGAGACAGAAATTAGATCAGAGATTGCCAGGATGAACGGCGGGGGAGACAAGCACACAGAGCGACTGCTAATGGGTATGGGGTTTCTTTTTGGGGAGAAGAAAAGGTTCTGAAATTAGCTAATGGTAATGGCTGCATAACTCTGAATATACTAAAAACCACTGAACTGTACACTTCAAAGGGTGAGGCTTATCATATAAAAGCTGTACCACAATAGTTTGAAAAATGTTTGGGTATGTCAAGAAATAAACAATAGGATCATAGCTCAAAGATATGGGATATAAAATATATGGAACAAAACTGCTCAATAATCTATCTAGAATCACACAATGCTTAAGCTTTACCCTGACTAAAATTGCAAGCTTGGTGTTTTATTGGTATTTCACATTTTTTACTTCTTCCTAAGTCAGCCAATAATTCCTCCTCCTTACTTAATATTTGACTATGAAGACCAAGCCATTTTGATTCTGCCTCCAATGGGCTTTCACATTTCATTCCTCCTTCCACTCCCATGACTACCACACCAATGTAAGTTCTCCTCACTTCACTCTAAGACAACAGCATGGCCCTCAACTACCGTCACACTCTTCTAGGCTCTGTGAGCACAATGTGTCTCATATTCTCTTCTACTGTCACCAGATTTATTCGAAAACAGTTTCTTTACTCTTACTCCCATTTCTCAACCAGTTACATAGAAAGATGAATATCCAGGGGTAATAGTTTACTTACCTGAAAAAAAAAATCTGTCACCAATCCACAGAACTGTTTGAGTACAAAATATTACATCCGCAATATTTCCTACAACTCTTCTACATGAATCCTACCCTCCTTGTGTTATAGCTCAAATTGGTTTCGTATACTCTGAATTCCTCGTTCTCTTTCCTAGATACCTGATTTTGTTTACTCTTCACCTACGTAAATAATTTTCCTGCAACCTCCCCCAGCTGACCAAACCCCAGTCACATTTCACTGCCCAGCTGAGATCCCACCTACTTCATGAAGAGCAACTCTTTGCAGCTTTAAACCTCAGATAAATTAAGTCCATGCTTAGCTTTTCTTTTTCTTTTTTGTTCAGATGCAGTTTATCTTTGTCACCCAGGCTGGAGCGCAGTGGCACGATCTCAGCTCACTGCAGACTCTGCCTCCCGAGTTCAAGCAATTCTCCTGACTCAGTCTTCTGAGTAGCTGGGATTACCAGTATGCACCACCACATCTGGCAATTTTTTTGTATTTTTGGTAGAGATGGGGCTTCACCATCTTGGCCAGGCTGGTCTCGAACTCCAGACCTCAAGTGATCCACCCGCCTCAGCTTCCCAAAGTGCTGGGATTATGGGTGTGTGCCACCGTGCCTGGCCCATGGTTAGCCTATGATAATCAATGTGGAACTTACAGCTCTTAGTACTTTTAATCTCCTTTTATATAGCTGGCATTTCATATAATGAAAAACACTTTACTAGGACTCAGAAGATTTATTTAGGTAAGTCACAAGCTGACTTATTATTCAAATTATTCATCCAAATAATGAGGACCATAACACACTGTGGCAAAAAAGAATCAATGAAGAAACTATGTAACATATTTTAAAACTGAAAATGGCATGATTCATAACCTCATGTATTCGTCTCGATTCTAGGTGGTATACTAAGATCATAAACTTACATTCTTGGGATTCTTACAACCAAATGTTGAAAAGCTATACTGGTCTATTTTATAATCACATTTTAAAATGTTTTCATACATTTATCCTGAATTTGCAGATTTTTATGCAAATCTTTTCTTTGATCATTTTTTTTTTCTCAAATAAGATTCTGAACAAAAAATGACCTGTTTTCCTTTCCCTATGCTTATGGGGATATTGAGTCAACATACACAATTTTATAAACCAGCACATAAAACTAAAGCACAATACTTATGTCCTTTCTCCCCAATCAGGAAGGGCTTCATTACAAAGACATTTTGAAATTCAACTATGACAAACAAAAGAACTATGGCTTGGTGGCTAGTTATAGGCCGCTGTAGTGAGCAAGAGACACAAAGTTTAAACATTTACTATTTTTCAGTCTTCTGTTTATTTTGTATACATAAGTATTTGGCTGGGTTACCTAACACTGAACTTCCAAAATTGACCATTAGGTTGTATGCCAAGAGAAGTACTTTTTATAGCAATTTTACTGCCAAAACCAAAACAGCCTAGAGAAGATTTAAAGTTAACAAAATAGTACACAATTCTAAACAACTCTGCTTCACACCCAACCTGGGACTTCCACTCCCCGTAATAGTATATTTGTGATCAACTTTGTAACAAGCTGACAAAGGGAGACCTCTGACATCTGCTCATGAAGGAATCACTTCAGTATGTCCTGCTCTGCAGCAGAAAATGCATGGGGATCACTCAGAACTTCAGATTTCTCACAGAGCAGCATTTCCCAGAGTAAGCCAGAAGACACCATCCTCTGAGATGTTGTCAGGAACACTAATAAACAAATTTGGGAAAAATAGAAAATGGCATTAAGGCTCCAAGAAGTCCTTTGGTAAAAGACATTTTGAAGCTGGCTTCCCCAAAACCTTGCAATCCCCACAAAACAAATATCTATTACCATACCACTATATTAGCACTCACAGAACATTTGGGGAGATTTGGCAAAGATTAGGCTGCAGGCGTCAGGTAAGTAAACTCTTAAAACACAATATTGAAAAAAATAGAAATTTAAAAATTTAAACAGAAAAGCAAAAGATAAGTAAATAAATAAAAAATTTTAACAGACAACATTGGGCTGGGCAAAGTGGCTCAGACCCATAATCCTAATACTTTTTCAGTCTCAGCAGGGTGGATCACTTTAACCTGGGAGTTCGAGACCAACATGAGCAACATGGTGAAACCCTGTCTCTATCAAAAATACAAAAATTAGCTTGGTATGCTGGCATACACCTGTAGTCCCAGCTTCTTAGGAAACTGAGGTGGCAGGATGGCTTGAGCCGGGGAGGCAGAGGTTGCAGTCAGCTGTGATTGCACCACTCACTCCAGCCTGGGGCAACAGAGAAAGACCCCGTCTCAATAAAATTAAGTAATTAAATAATAAAATCAATATTCCTTTACTGTGTGGGGAAACTCAAAATGAGCTCAGCACATCCACATGTAATACTAAGGTTTTTTTTTTAAACCCACACTTCTTGTTTCTCTGAACTTTTACACATGGATATCATGTCCAGACAACTATTCCGTAGTATCAGCACCACAGTTAATATGTATTCTGATTATTCAGAATGATTCTTAACAGGATCTTAGCCCCCAAAACACATACATAAGTATGTAAAGCAAATACAACTAAAAATAACTAGCAACAAAGCTCTTCTGGAGAAAGTTCTGAAGTCTGAAGTAGTCACTCATATTTTTACCCTAAATGCAACTATTACTATCTCAACCATAGAAATGATCAAAGTAAGGGCTGGAGATATTTAGATTTTAATCACCATAAGGTGGATTATGTCAAGTAATGGAATTAGTCAGCTGAGTGTTTGAAAATCCTCAGGTTACTTTCAATTGCTCATACTTTAAGGGTCTACAGAACATTTCATAACTAACCTAGCAAACTGTGACTTTTCCCCACTTCTGTAAGACTTTCAATCACAAAAAAGAAGCAATACAAATTTCAGTAAAACTACATGACAATTACCATTTGATTCTACTACACTGCAACTATCACCTCTAGAAGTAATCAGCCAACTCCATAGGTCCATGAGATTTCCCATGATTATTCCTAGAAGTACTAATTAGGATCACAGGTATGTGGGGACCACTCTGTAATCATAACATTCTCTAAACCTTCAATCATAATTTACATTTGAAAAACCTTTGGTTTTTATGATTAAAAAGTATGTATGAATATATATATATATGTATGTATGTGTAAATATGTGCATGTGTGTGTGTATATATATGTGTATATATGCATATATATAACACTAAAATCTCTACCTGTCAACAACATAATGCTTTATAACCAGTGGTTCCAGATGTAGGCCCCAGAACAACAGTATCAGTTTCACCTGGGAACTTCTTAAAAACGTAAATGCTCAGGCAACACCACAGACCTACTGAATCAGAAACCCTGGGACTAGCTCTCCAAATGATTCTGGTGCATACTATATTAAAAAAAAAATGTAACCCAGGCACAGCAGCTCATGCCTGTCATCCCAGCAACTTGGGAGGGCAAGGTGGGAGGATCACTTGAGCCCAGGAGTTCAAGAACAGCCAGAGCAACATAGTGAGACCTCATCTCTACAAAAAATTTTTTTAAACTAAAAAAAAAAAAAAAAAGCATTTAAAGTAAACACTTAATCACTTAAACTTATGATCCTGAGAGAACAGGTAACACCACTCAAACAAATGGAGGATCAAATGGAAAGTTATCCTAAAAAGCAAATAAGCAAGCTTAATTAATTTTAAGAACATTGTTAATACTATATACTATTTAGAAGATTTTAAAATAATCTATAAAAGAATATGTACATTTATTATCAGATAATGGGTGAGAGTCATAAAGGTAAAATTAGTACAGAAAAAATGAAATGAAAACCAAAGCAAATAAAAATGAAGTTAAAATCAGGCCCAAACAGAACAGTGTTGTGGTAAACTTATGTAACATATGAAGGGGCTTCACTTCAATAGAACTATATAAAGGAACCATTGCAATAATGATAGACTAGGTAACTTAGATCAATCCTCTCACTGAGAACTAGAAAGGTGGACAAAATGTAATGATTACAGGGCTGAGAAAAGGGAATACCAGAGAACAGGGTCTTCTTTTTTACCCTTTGGGTTTTCTTGCAATGACAGCAGAGAAGAAGAGGTTAACAAGCTGAGCTAGAACTCACAGCCTCACAGAGCTCACAGGGAGATAAACATTGGAGCTCAGCATCCACTGAGGAGAGGCCCTGTTAAGTCTCCCACTCCTTAGGTTGGGAACCTGAAGAACAAACTGCAAATTGCCCCGACAGGGAATGATGGCCAGATTTAATCATCTCAATCCCTGATTGTTAATTTCCAAGCCCCTGGCAGGGGAAATGTAAATCCTCTCTGGAGAAGAATATCATCCAAGGCTTCAAATTAGCTCTACAATTTTTCCATATATAATGTCTATCACTAAAAATAGAAAGCCACATGAGACTTAAAGATGACACAACAGAAAACAAGAGAAGCAAACAACAGACACAAAACCACAAGGGATCAAGATAACAGAGTTAGCAGACACAGTTCAATATAACTGCTGAACATGAGCAAGGAAAGATGGGACAAGACTAAAAACCTGGCAGAGAAATGCAAATTATAAAATGAACCATATGAAATTCTGCAATTTAGAACTACCAAAACTGAAATTAATAACGTAATGGATAAGCTTAACCACAGCAGTAACCTAGCAGAAGACAGATTCAGTAAACTGCAAAAAGTTCAGAAAGACAAAAAGGTGGAAAATTGAGAAAATAAAAGACAACATATTGAAAAGTTTATCACATACGTAGAGCACTGGAAGAAAAACAAGAATGGGACAGAAGCAAGAGCTGAAGATATGGTTGTGGAGAATTTCCCAAAACTGATCAAAGACTTCACAAGATTTAACCACCATAAACACTTCAAGAGAAACAATGGAAGCTGGCATAAGAGAATGATATCTGCGAAGTGCTGAAAGAAGGAAACTGCCCATCTAGAGAATTACGCTCAATGAAGATACTCTTCAATGATGAAATAAAAAGCAAGGATTTTTTCTATCTGCAGACTCACACTAAAGGAAATATTAAAGGATATTTTCAGACAGGAGAAAGAGGTTCCTCTGCATCAAAACCTGGGGACTCTATTCCATAAGCTCTGTACCCTGGAACTCAGGAATCAAGATTTTACAGAAATAAAAAGAGTTCTTCAGGGAGGGGAAAATAAAGGTTGAGGGTGACTGGTAAAATTAAGTTTGAGTTACCTTAGTATATTTTAACTCAGAATGAGACTCTCAGGATCTACAAGGATCTCATGAAATTATCTGATTTCCCATTTGACATCTCAGCCTTCTAAGTTATTCTTAAAGATGAAGAACATTCTAGTTTTCAAAGACTACATCACCAGATGGGTCTAAATAGTTACAAGTCACTTCCTTACATTGAGTTGAAAATCACCTCTTTGTAATTTGACTTATTAGTTCTAGTTTTATGCCCTGTCTTCACCAAAAATGAATAAAAACTAATGCTTCCATATACATACTCCTTCAAATAGTTTAAGACAATCTATCATGAACCAGAACCCCCAAGTTTTCCTCTCCAAATCCACAATTTCACCAGCTATCCTAGGACATGGAAAAGAATCTCTTCCCAATCCTGGCTATTATTCTCTAAATGAACCTAACCTTATCTAAGTAGATCTTTCTTAAAGTGCTACCTCAGAATTCAATTCAGTAATTCTGATGTTGCCTGTAACATCGGAAAATGACTTCCTTAAAAGTACAGTAAGTTGGATTTACCAAGTTGCTGACCAGGGCACATTTCCTCCTGCAGTCACTCCCATCTTTGTGTTATACTGTATCTCAAGTTCAATTTTGCTTATTATTCATGACTCTCAGGTTGTCACTGTGGACATCAGAGGCCATAAACCTATTGTTCTGGCTCTTTCCTGTAAATCTTTCTGAGTCATACCTGCTAATCTCCAAAGTCTGTGAATCCCGATACTAATAACTTGGCAATTCAGTTTAAGGTCCTCTTCAGAAGGACAGTTAGCTCAAAGCAATCACATTCTTCCCAGGCCTCTTAAGAAATACTCCAACCCCAGAAAAGGCCCTTCTGTCTGGTATCAGGAGCCATGGGCCACAAACACAAATCCAATAGCATTTCAGCCATTTACCTCCCAAATCATCCCCTCCCTGAAGTTCTAACTAGAGCAGGAAAAAATAATGAAAACACCACCTGCAGTCACAAATCCTCCAATTTCCTGGCCAAGATTTCATATTCCCTTCAAGATACCTCCCAAAGAGGACATGACAAGGGAGGGGCACAGAGGGTGCTACAGGTACTGATAAGGTTCTATTTCTTTTTTCTTTTTATTTTTTGAGATGGAGTTTCACTCTTCTCACCCAGGCTGGAGTGCAATGGTGCAATCTTGGCTCACTTCAACCTCTGCCTCCTAGGTTCAAGTGATTCTCTCACCTCAGCCTCCCAAGTAGCTGGGATTACAGGCACCTGCCACCATGCCTGGCTGATTTTTGTATTTTTGGTAGAGATGGGGCTTCGCCATGCGGGCTGGTCTGGTCTCAAACTCCTGTCCTCAGGTGATCCACCTGCCTCGGCCTCCCAAAGAGCTGGGATTACAGGCATGAGCCACCACGCCCAGCCAAAGGTTCTATTTCTGAAGTTTGGTGTTGCGCATATGTTCATATGATTTAATGTTTTTTTAAAAAAATGGTATCTTCCTGTTTTGTGTGTGTGTGTGTTTTTTGTTGTAGGCCTGTGTGCTTCATTCATTCACCCATATGAATCCATAAAGAAGTAGCCATTAGCAACTTCAGTCAATATATACTGGATTCATGCTTCAGGAAGACAACTCAGTTGACAACCACAACAGTTTCTATGATAACAAAACTGAGAGAAAATACTAACATTAGGGTCATTTCAAGACAGTTCAATCATAAGATATATCCCCAAGCAAAAATACGCACATGTAAAAGCTAAGTAAGAAGCTTTTAGAAAACTACTACCATCCTTAAAGTACAACAAAGTATTCTTTTACGTCTGTGTGCTTCATCAAAATACTTCATATAGCCATAGATTTTAAAACATTACATCTTATCTAGATTCCATATTAGACCATTAACATTTTTTCTAGATTCCATTCTTATTCTTTTGTAACCTTTTAGTATCTTAAAAGTACTTTATTAAATATAACACATTCAGAAAAGTACATAAAATATACCTTAAGGTAGACCTTAACAAGTTATTCTAAATTATTTGCTCATGTAACCACCAACCTAGTCCAGAAATATATTACAGCCAGTATCCAAGAAGCCCACAGATGTACCTTTCAGTTCACACCTCCCTACCTCCCACCTAGATGGACTCCTTACCCTACCCTGTGTGTAATCGCCTCTTTTTTCTTGATAGTTTTACTGCCCAAGTATGAATCCATAAAGAAGTGTTCCTCAGTTTTCTTTTATGTTCTATGGCTGTTTGGAGGGCAGCAGACCATTATAATAGGTCAGATTTTCTTTCACTCTAAGGACCAATTTTCACTCCACTGCAGGCGATATTGCCTGCGCTAAGAATGTATGCCCTAACCAACATTAGTTTTGCCTATTTTTGAACTCTATATAGAGGAAATTGTACAAAATAGGTTTTGGGGATCTGGTCTCTTTTGCTTAACATAGCGTTCAGGATTCACTCATCTTGTCCCACATGACTGTAAGCCATTTTATGAATACCACAATTCTCCATTTTATTGGAATGAACATTTGGGTTATTTTCTGTTTGGGGTTATTATAAATGATGCTGCTCTGAACATTCCTGTGTCTCCTGGCACATATGTACTCATTTCTTGTGTGGTATATATCAATGAGATTCCTGAACCATAGGGTATGAGTATCTTCCACTTTACGAAACTGTTTTCCAAAACACTTGTACAAATATATACCCCCATTCATAGGATATAGAGTCTCATAAAAATTTTCTTACCTTAAAACATAAGCAAAATGTCTCCTATCTCTTCTTCTTCTTTTAAGATCTGAAGATCACTGTGTAAAGGACTATCAGGGTCAACCTTCAGAATTCCAAAACAAAAAACAATTCAAACAAAAAGATTATTATTATTATTTGTATTAATTTTACTAACTCAAAAATGAACCAATCTGAAAGCTAAAATACAGCACCTAGGGTAATTTCCAGAAAGAGGAGACCTTAAGCTGCTTTATATCCCCAGGAAAACTAGAGGCCACTATAGCTTCCAGCTCCTTTAGAATAAATGTCCCAAAGAGATTATAATAGCCTAAATCTAATCTAATAAGGGGGTTCAGAGTTTGCAGTCATTCTAAAGGAAAACAGTCGCATGTATATAATTTTCTCAAGAATTCAAAAAAAGTTTAATATGCTTTCCTAAACTTGTATTACTAGCCAAGTTGTTCAAGGAGAAAAATTTGCCATGGACAGAGCTGTCAAAAAAGTTAAATCACCAAAAAATTGGTATTTTTCTACAACTGTCCTACATACACATATATAAATATGTATCCCACCTCCCACTCTCCTTTTTTGTTTGTTTGTTTTATGACACAGGGTGTCTCACTCTGTCACCCAGGCTGGAATATAATGGTGCAATCACGGCTCATTGCAGCCTTGACTTTTCCAAGCTCAAAAGATCTTCCTGCCTCAGTCTCCTACCACCCCTAGTAGCTGGGACTGTAAGTGTACTCCACCTATATATTTTAAAAGTAATAACATAACTACCTCCACAATAAGAGTTGATTATGCTGCTTTCAAAACCTGGGGAAAAAATCATAAAATCAACTTGGCAATCATTATCTGTATATTGAAATGTATTATTTGTATTAAATTATCAAGCAATATTGCTCAAGCTTTTTGCCAGAAGATAAAAATCACGCAAATATTCACTCTATCAGGAAGATGGCAAAATAAAATTCCAATGGACCTATAAAAACAATTTCTTTAATTCCAAAATACAAGCAAACTAATCCTATCTTACTCCCTACATCTTTTGGAACTTGATTACATTTGAGTTTCACAAAATAAAGCTAGTAAACATTTCCATTTCTGTCCAGTTTTAAGAAACAACATTTATAATCTGACAACAGAAAAGAACAAAAGAATGATAAGAAGAACAGGGATTTAGAGATCCTTACCTGTCTTATAACTCTGTGATCTGTATAAGTCCCTGAAATCTTTCTTAAGTCTATCTGAAGCTTGCACTGACCCAGACACTGCAGCCTGAAACACAAAAGCTGCTGTTTACCAGGGTCTACTGAGCCAAATAATTTAAAGATTTAAGGTATTTCAACCTGCTCTAAAAGATTACAGTAGCCAGGCATGGTGGCTCACACCTGTAATCCCAGCACTTTGGGAGGCTGAGGGGGGGTGGATCACTTGAGGCCAAGAGTTTGAAACCAGCCTTGCCATCAGGATGAAACCCCATCTCCACTAAAAAAATACAAAAGTTGGCCGGGCATGGTTGCATGTGCCTGTAGTCCCAGCTACTCGAGAAGCTGAGGCAAGATAATTACTTGAACCTGGGAGGTGGAGATAGTAGTGAGTTGAGATGGTGCCACTGCACTCTGGCCTGGGCCACAGAGTGAGACTCCATCTCAAAAGAAAAAGAAAAGAAAAGAAAAGAAAAAGATTACAACAAAAATGGATCACCACTCAACAATTTAAGAAGTAAAAGGAAAAAGTCCAATTAAATGAAGCATTATGAAATTTCAAGGGAATATAAAACTAGACACAAGTCTGGTTCATTTCCATTTTCCTATCACCTAAAAAACTCTAGCCAACATGTTCATACCACCATGGACTCCACGATAGCATAGAATTCAGTATGAGTCTATTTCAAACCCCAGCAATTTTTGAGAATACTCAAGATGACAAAATATTAAGTAAAATAGGCTTCCATTCATAAGACTGCAAGCAAGAATATCACACAGATGGTCTAGTTCACACATGAAGACACTGAGAACCATGTGTGCCTACATGCAACTGGTTTCAGTTTTTCAGTGCAGGGACTTCTCTAAAGATGAAAACACATTGATATCTTATCCTAAGACTAAATAGAAATGGAACTACTTTTTGGTCATGTGCAACTAAAGCTTTTAAAGACTGCACTAGAATTTGAAGGGGAAAAAAATCAAGTTTATAAAAATATTACCTCCTAGCTATATAACCCTGAACTAATTTCATATCTATAAAATGTGAGTTTTTCCTATCTCTAAAGTATAAACAGCACCTATTTCACACAGTGGCTATGATGACTAAATGAAAAGATCTATAAAGTATTAAGTATGAAGTATTTAGCATAGTATCAGTCATACAAAATTATTCAATAATTTTTACTTGTTTTGAAGATAACTCAAACTGGACTTGATCACAAGACACAGAAAGTACAATAACATTAATTAAAATGCTACAATCTTAGTTTTTTAAATAATCAAAATATGGGGATTAACTAAATTTATTTGCTGTATGAAAAATTACCAATTAAATTAATATACAAATAAGATTGAAGGAGGGAGAGTTACCTATCTGATTGCAACACTTGACATCTGCTTGCTTAACAATTCATTCCCTGTTTTGGAGAACCTGTGCCCAAGACAAAGTAACTGGTCCTCGGATATTGTGGAGTTGGTAAATAGCTCTAATACAAGGCAGGAAGCAGTAAGTGTTCAGACAATCATTTGATGTTTCCCTACTCTGTCTAAGCATTTTATGAGTAACATGCATCATTTTAATTTATTTTTCATAGCAACCATCCAAAAGATATGTACTGTCTATCCATATTTTAGAGTTGCACAAAGTGAAACCACAAAAGGTGTGTCTGTCACCAAACTCAGTGTTCCTTTCCCATCCTGCCACTTCACATAAAAGAGATGTTAAGTCAAAAGAGAAACCCTACTTTTGGTTTGGTCAGAGCAGGATGGATCAAAGTCAGCTTCATGAAGGAGAAATAATTTGAGTTGTGTTTTGTAGGAGAGAATGAACTTGAATATACAGATGCCACAGAAGGAAGGTAAGCAGAGAACACAGCATAGACAAGCTGGAAAGGGGCATATACAGGGATCAGCAGGTGGTTCCAGGATGTGAAGAGCAGATCAACAGGGTAAAAAGTGGCTATTCATGGATGAGAAAGATAACCTTGGGCAACAAAGCATATGAGTGTGGCTAGGCATGGTGGCTCATGTCTGTAATCCCAGCACTTGGGCAGGCCAAGGTAGTAGGACTGCTTGAACTCAGGTGTTCAAGACCAGAATGGTCAACATAGTGAGGCCTCATCTCTACTAAAAATAAAAAAAAAATTAGCCTTGTGTGGTGGGACATGACCATAGTCTCAGACACTTGGGAGGCTGAGGTAGGAGGACCACTGGAGCCTGGGAGATAAAGGCTACAGTGAACTATGATTGTGCCACTGCACTCTAGCCCAGGTGACAGAGCAAGACCCTATCTCAAAACCAATAAACATATGACTGAATCTACCACTAAGGCAGGAATGGAGGAGGAGAGCAGCTAAGATCAGCATGTTCATGAATTGCCTGGTATTAACTATAATTACTTAACCAAAAAGTCCAGATATTTATACACACATTTAAATGGCCTTGCCTTTCAGTCTTCCTAATTTTCTCTAATATTGCCCAATTTTCTTTTTCAGTTCCTTCATCTTCCAACTTCTTCTCACTAGTAGGCTCTTCTTTCATCTCATAGTGATCTAAGTCTTCTATATCCTGCAAAAAGAAGAAAAATATTAGCCAATTCAACCCACTTTCCTTCAGCAGTTTCTTATGCCAAAACTTAAATTATTCTTGACTCGGTGGGGGACAAGAAACAGAATATATCTATCCTATGGGGAGAGAGAAAAAGCCCCCACATTCCATTCAAGAGGCTCCCACCTTTTATATCCTGTAATTTATTTAAAAGCTAGACTCTGGGGAAAGCAGATTTAAAAGCTTTACAAAGTCACACCTATTATGAAATAAGCCATCATTTATTTATTTACTTCTTTAATTTATTTTATTTTTTTTTGTACGATAGAGTCTCACTCTGTCATTCAGGCAGGAGTATAGTGGGGCAATCTCTGCTCACTGCAACCTCTGCCTCCCAGGTTCAAGTGATTCTCATGCCTCAGTCTCCTGAGTAGCTGGGATTACAGACGTACACTGCCACGCCCAGCTAATTTCTTTGTATGTTTAATAGAGACAGGGTTTCAACATGTTGGCCAGGCTGGTCTCAAACTTATGACATCAAGTGATCTGCCCACCTCAGCCTCCCAAAGTGCTGGGATTACTGGCATCAGACACCACGCCCAGCCAAGCCATCTTTTAAATCTCTTCTCAAGAGGAACCTTTGAAACAGTTTAGCAGCAGGTGTCAAGAACCTTAAGTGTTCATAGTTTGTTCCAGATACTCGACCTCTAGAACTGTATTACAAGAAACTAGTCTAAGATGTAAACACAAATTTAGGCATAAGGATACCTATTTCAACCTTGCAACCACAAAAACAAACACAAAATCTGCATGTGCAAAAATAGCAAAACAGTTAATTCAATTCCATGAACTATTAAGAAGCCACTGAAATATCAACACAGCATAATTTCTCCTGTATCGAAAAACTTTGAAATGAAAAATGGATTACACAAAGGAATAGAAAGAATTTCAATTATGCTGAAATAAGCACAGAAAAAGACGAGAAGAACTTATATTGAAATCTTAATTTCAATTAATTTTAGTTGTTATCTCTGGAGACATTTGGTGCTTTACCCTAATTTCCAAGTTTATGGTTTTATGTAGTAAGCACCTATTGATGCTAATGACTTAAAAATAAGTTAGAAAAAGAATTTGATGTCAGGTGCTCAGGAGGCTGAAATAGAAGCATTGTTTGGGCCCGGGAGTTTGAGGCTGCAGTAAGCTATGATCATGCCACTGCACTCCACCCTGGGTGACAGCAACCCTATCTCAAAAACTAATAATAATTTCAAAAGAATTTGAATAATACCCCGCAGAACAACATCTTTATTCACATCATTCTGCTCCCTCCCTTCCCATACTATCTGTTCTTACATATATACAAACATATGCAGAATTGTTTAAATCCTAACTTTTTTCAATTACCTTATATTTCTACTTCAATTGCCAAAATCTCTAAAGGGGTAGTTTATGTTTATCTCGATTTTTTTTCCCAAGCCAGCTAATTCACCGATTTCTAGACCAGACTACTGAATACCTTCACTCAAACTCTGCCCATGAGTCTGTACTTCATGGAGCTCCCTTCTCCCTGTGTGCACTTTTCAGCCCTGATCTTCTACCCACATTTGTTTTCCCCACAATGCTCACAAATGCCTTTGGCCTGTATTTCCACCTGTACCTTCAACCTCAGTCATGTTCCCATCCACAAAACTTCTCCACCTAAGTATTAATCAGCACATCCCAAACAGAATTCAACATATCTTTCTAAAACAATATTCTCAGCACATGATTCCCTGCTTAAGGCCTTCTTATCAACAAACATACCAAATAGAAACATGCCTGTCTCAAATTCAAGACTTCTATCCATCTGTCTTTTCTGGACAATCTTGCTTTCCATGACTTCAACACATCAACTTTCCTTCTCAAAAGAAAAGCATCCAGTGCACCCAAACACACCATGTCCAAAGTTGCTCTGGGCCTGTTCCCACATTATTTTAGGAGCCTAGAATATCTGCTTTTCACCTGTCCTAATCTGACAACTCCGAAGTCCAGTCTCCTACCTTTCTAGATTTCCCTCAAAGTTGCGGTGCCTTGTTTTTTATCTTGTGAAGGGAAAATGAAAGTGTTCATGAACTTTAGTACAATGGCTGCCTGACCTATGGAAAAGGTTTAATGTTTTCATGCAGTTTATTCCATCTAAGCTAAACTGCATAAAAACATTAAAACAGACTTTCATTCTAATTGGACAATTTTAAGAAGTATTTTACTCCCAGACTCATAAAACAAGCCTACAGCCAGGCACAGTGGCACACACCTGTAATCCCAGCACTTTGGGAGGCTGAGGTGGTGGATCACTTGAGGTCAGGAGTTCAAGACCAGCCTGGGCAACAAAGTGAGACTCAAACGCTAAAATAAAAAATAAAAATAAAATAAAATAAAATAAAATAAAATAAAAAAATTAGCTGGACGTGGGGCACCGGCCTGTAGTCCCAGCTACTCAGGAGGATCGCTTGAACCCAGGAGTTCAAGGTTACAGTGAGCCATGCCAGCGCTACTGCACTCCAGCCTGGGTGACAGTGAAACCCTGTCTCAAAAAACAAACAAAAGGAAGACTACAACACTACTTTTTTAGTTCTGAAGCACTCTAAAGTACATTTTAGATTAATAATTTCCAAACCAAGAAAATGAAAGCCTAAATTAATTATAAGACCTCAAACAGAAAAAAATCTTTTAAAACAATCGATACCATGGAATTTACATACATTCTATTTGGTCAATGCAGAGACATAGATCTTTGTTCTGAAGTTCAAATTTAAATGTAAGGCTTCAGAGCCAGAAAACATCTAAAATTATACCCATGACTGACAACTGGCCTAGGCTCAATGTCTTTGGAATTTGCTCTACTAAATTTGCTACTGTTTCAATGTATTCCCTCCAAAATTCAACTGTTGCCAATGTGATGATATTAAGAGGTAGGACTTTTAATAGATGATTAGGCCAAGAGGGCTCCTTTCTCCTTCATGGGATTAAGGCCCTTATGAATGAGGCTTCACACATTGGACCAGCTTGCTCTCCTGCCCTTCTGCCTGCTACCATGTGAGGATAAAACAAGAAGGTCCTGAGACACCAAATGTTGATATTTTCATCTTGGATTTCCCAGACTCCAGAACTGTCAGAAAATAAACGACTGCTCTTCATAAATTACTCACTCTCTGTTATTCTGTCACAATACTATGAAACAGACTAAGACAAATTTGTTTGAATGATTTTTCAGCAAGAGACAGTTTCACTACTTCTGGCAGGTAGTCTCTAAAATATTCTGAAATTCTCCTTTTATGCAAACATAAAATTTTTTAAACTCAGTAGTGTCTCTTCCAAAAAATAACCAAATACAGGTTAAGTACTGATTAGTATTAAATATAATTTTAGTGTTAAAACTTAAGAGCTTTTGTTTTCCAGAAAATAAAATCCAAGAATTCAGATAAAAAAAATTTGCACAAAGGCATATCATGAGTTAGAGGTAAAGCCAGAATTTATAAATTACATTCCATTCCAAATAAGATGTGCTTTCAATTATTCCATATTAATAGTTATTTATAAAGGAGATTAGAGAATTACTCAAATGACCAAAAGAGAAGATATTTATGATATGTATATATATATATTTTTTTTTTTTTTTTTTTGAGACAGAGTCTTGCTCGTCACTCAGGCAGGAGTGCAGTGGCACGACCTTGGCTCACTGCAACCTCCACCTCCCAGATTCAAGCAATTCTCCTGCCTCAGCCACCTGAGTAGCTGAGATTACATGTGCCTACCACCACGCCCGGCTAATTTTTGTACTTTTAGTAGAGACAGAATTTCACCATGTTGGCCAGGCTGGTCTCAAACTCCTGTCCTCAGGTGATCCACCTGCCATGGCCTCCCATAGTGCTTGCTCTGATTTTTAGAGTTTCCAGTTTTTCTGCTCTGTTTTTTCCCAATCTTTGTGGTTTTATCTACCTTTGGTCTTTGATGACGGTGACATACAGATGGGGTTTTGGTGTGGATGTCCTTTCTGTTTGTTAGTTTTCCTTCTAACAGTCAGGACCCTCAGCTGCAGGTCTGTTGGAGTTTGCTGGAGGTCCACTCCAGACCCTGTTTCCCTGGGTATCAGCGGCGGAGCCTGCAGAACAGCAGATATTGGTGAACAGCAAATGTTGCTGGCTGATTGTTCCTCTGGAAGTTTTGCCTCAGAGGAGTACCCAGCCATGTGAGGTGTCAGTCTGCAGCTACTGGGGGGTGCCTCCCAGTTAGGCTATGTGGGGTTCAGGGACCCACTTGAAGAGGCAGTCTGTCTGTTCTGAGATTTCAAGCTGCGTGCTGGGAGAACCACTATTTTCTTCAAAGCTGTCAGACAGAGATATTTAAGTCTGCATAGGTTTCTGCTGCCTTTTGTTTGGCTATGCCCTGCCCCCACAGGCAGAGTCTACAGAGGCAGGCAGGCCTCCTTGAGCTGCAGTGGGCTCCACCCAGCTCGAACTTCCCAGCCACTTTGTTTACCTACTCAAGCCGCAGCAATGATGGGCTCCCCTCCCCCAGCCTCACTGTCGCCTTGCAGTTTGATCTCAGACTGCTGTGCTAGCAAAGAGTGAGGCTCCGTGGGTGTAGGCCTTCCAAACTAGGTGTGTGATATAATCTCCTGGTGTCCCATTTCCTAAGACCGTTGGAAAAGCACAGTACTAGTGTGGGAGTGACCTGATTTTCCAGGTGCCATCTGCCAGCCCTTGCTTTGAATAGGAAAGGGAATTCCCGGACCCCTTGTGCTCCCTGGGTGAGGTGATGCCTCGCTGTGCTTTGGCTCATGCTCAGTGCACTGCACCCACTGTCCTGCACCCACTGTCTGACACGCCCCAGTGAGATGAATCCAGTACCTCAGTTGGAAATGCAGAAATCCCCTGTCTTCTGTGTGGCTCATGGTGGGAGCTGTAGACTGGAGCTGTTCCTATTCAGCCATCTTGGCTCCACCCCCGTTCTCTAACTTTTGACAGAAAAGTGTTTGGAATCAGAGTTTTTATCTAATTTTTCAGATCCTACACTGCCACCTAGTAAGATAGGATTTTTCTCTGTGTAGAGCCTTGTCAGCCCTTTGCCCAAAACGTCTAGTTTCTAACTTTCTCTTCCTCCCATGTCCCGCTAATAATTATAAGACTCTATGTCCCATCTGTAAGCAGAAAATCTCCACTTTCAACAGTCAAAAAGAAGCTGCCCTTGAGAGACAAATTCCAACCTCATTGCTGAAGTTTTTATAAAAGAAGGAAAAGAATGGAATCTCTTTTTTTTTTTTTTTTTTTTTGAGGCAGCTGTTCTACATCCAGCTACATTGATATCTAAATAAGAAGAGAATGTTAATTTTCAAAGTCAGTCCCTATTATTTACGAGGATGTCAATGTTTTGCTAGGACCACAGTAAGGGAAGCCAGGGATAGTATAAAGACTCAAACTCTATTAAAGACTCTTGCTGCCATCTAACTACTGCATAATCTCTCTTAAGCTTCCCACATACCTGGAAGGTTTTGGGTTGAATGGGCTTAGGAGACAAACAACGAATTATATATATATATATGTGTGTGTGTGTGTGTGTGTGTGTGTGTGTGTGTGTGTGTATAATTTTACATATGTGTGAGGAATTATATATATATAAACATATATAGACATACATATATACACATATATACATATACACACACGTGTGTATATGTATATATGTGTGTAATATATATGTTTGTATGTGTATATATAAACACATTTATAGACAGAGCATGCATATATATGTAAATATACACACTCACTTATATGTGTGTCTGTATGTGTGCATATATGTGTGTATATATACACGTGTTATATATACACATACATATGTGTATGTGTATACGTATATACCTACATATACACATACCATCTATACACACATACCAGAGTGTATATGTGTACATCCAGAAACTCTGGGTATTACATATGTGCATATTACATATGTGCATATTACATACATATATGTACACACATACATATGTGTGTATGTGTATATGTATATATATACACACATATAGAGATATATATACACATATACATATACATATGTATCAACACAAGTGTAAGGTTTCAGCAAAATTTTAGTATATAAAAGCAGACCGATTTGCCAGCAAGTTGCTACATGATTTGAGAGCTATTAATGCACAGATTAAATCAATGGGTGCATTACAGCAAGGTCTGCCGTTCCTGGCAGCCATTCCAAGTGACTCACCTCCCATCGTAGCAGATCTCAAAGATTATTTCCTTACTGTACCCTTACATGAGAAGGATAAGCAAAGTTTCACCCCAAAGCATGCTCACCGGTCCTACGCTATTTCAGCGTTTTGTAGGACAGTCCTTAAAGGAGCCTCGTAATATATTTCCTACTGCCTACATAATTCATTATATGGATGAAATTCTTTTGGCTGCTCCAATGGAAGAGTTATTACACCAATTGCTGAGAGAAGCAAAACAGGGGGACATCTCAAAATAGTTCAACAAAAGGTAGAAGCAACCTCCCCATACCAATACTTAGGCACTATTGCTACTGAAACAAATGTTTGACCTCAGAAAGCAGTCCTCTGTAGGGACAGATTACAAACCTTCAGTGATTTCCAACAACTATTAGGAGATATAAATTGGCTGTGCCCAATCCTAGGTATTGCTACTCATCAACTCAAACACTCAGGCACTCCATGGAAATTCTTCATTAGGAGCAATGGGCTTAGGAGACAACCCAGTTGCTGGTTTGTCTAAGGAGGCTGAAGCTGAGTTACAGCTTGTAGAGTAGATTCTTCAGCAAACACATGCCTCCTGGCTACAGCCACAAAATCCCTTGGTTCCCTTTTTTCTCTCTACCCCCCATTCTCCAACAGGACTTTTAGGCCAGATCATAGAAAAATATGTAATTGTAATAGAATGGCTTTGTTTGAAATTCAATCAGAGAGTAAAATCTCTGCAAGTTTATCTTTCTTTAACTACTCAGTTTATAACAAGGGGTAGGGATAGATCAAAAATGCTTAAGAGATATGATCCACACAAAATTATTGTTCTCCTTTTAGAGCCAGTCTACAAGTATGAGGAGAAATATTGGATTCCCAGCAACAGGCTGCAGCATGGGAAATGTTGACTGTGTGGCAAATTGCTCTTTCAGGTTGTGTAGGAATAATACATAAACATTATCCCTCAGACAAAATTTTGCAATTTTAAAAATTCAGCCTTTCATCTTCCCTGTGATTCCTCATCACAAGCCCATTTCAGGCAGCCAGACCTATTTTACTGGTGGCTCTTCCAAAGGTCGCAAAGCTACTTATGGTACTAAGCATGCTCAAACAATAAAAAACCCCGGAGTTTCAGATCAACGCTCAGAACTAATGGCAGTTATGCAGGTTTTAGAGCTCACTGGTTCATCTCTTATTAACACTCTCTGTCATTCAGCCTATGTTGTAAATGTAGCCAGTCATATTGGGACGACCACTATTAAAAGCACCCTGGAACCAGAGCAGTTTAACTTGTTTCTAAGACTTTAACAAGCTGTTTGCTCTTGTGCTGCTTTTTATATTTCTTATATTTGCTCTCCCACACAACTCCCTACACCACTATTTCTAGGTAACAATAGAGCCAATAAATTGGTTTGTTCTGCATTTCAACAAGCTCAACCTTCTCATATATTACTGCATCAAAACTCTGCCTTTACTCGTATGTTTCATTTGCCTCACAGCCACGCTGCAGCCTGTACAAGCCTGTCCTGCTTGCCAGCATGTCACTGGAGTCACACTCACAGAAGGCTGTAACCCATGAGACTTAGCTTCAAATGAAATCTGACAGATGGATGTTACTCACAAAGCTGCCATTGGTAAGTTCTCCTTTGTTCATGTGACTACAGACACTTATTCTCATATGCGGCATGCTACATGCAAACCAGGTCACACAGCTGGTTATGTGTGATGACATTGTCTGTCATCATTTGCTCATATCGGGGGGTCCCTAAACAATTAAAAACTGACAATGGACACACTTATGTTAGTCATGCTTTTTAAAATTTTTTACAGCTATGGTCAGTCACTCATAAAACAGGAATTCCTTACAAACCCCAAGGACAAGGAATTATAGAGCGGGCAAATCAAACATTACAAGGTGTGCTGAAAAAAACCGAAAGGGGAAACAAGAGATCAGTTACCACCTCAAACAAAATACATTTACTTTTACTTTAATTAATTTTTTTACTTATTTACTTTAATTTTTTGACTCCTGGCACAGATAGTAAGACTATGGCAGAACGACACTGGTAAATGTCATAGGGAAAAAGTAAAGTATACCCAAAAATATTATGAAAATCCCCCTAAGGACGATGGAAATGCTCAGGAGATTTACTGATGTAAGGATGAGGGTATGCTTGTGTTTTTACAGGAGACGGATAATCTGTGTGGGGTGCCTTCAATGTGTTTGTGACCATGTAAAGGAAGACTGGAGAGAGCCATGGATCCCAACTATGAATCCGACTCCTCCATTACAAGGCATGAGTCAGTTGAAATTGCTGGAGCACCAGGGTCAGGCAAACACCCCCGATGTCACGTTTATGGCCATGCTACCTGCAACATCCTGTGCAGTAGGTTTTCCTTGTGCAGAGACAAAAACATATTGGGCCTATATTCCCAATCCCCCAGTATTATGGACTGTAATTTGGAGTGACACTCCCCCTGACATCTATCATGATCATGAAGCATGGGCACCAGGACCCCTAACACCCCCTGACAAACAGTTATTAGACTCTCAGAACAATGATTATCAATTATGCTGCTCCATTGGAGGGACTTCCTTCATGAGTCACACAGCGTACATCACTCAACTGCAGTGGCCTTGCAAATTAATCCCAAGTATGGCTGACTTACCATCGAAAAAAAATATGTACCTATTAGGCCTTAGCTCTATTACCATTACCGGTGTAGCTACTAATCTCTCCCAGCCCCATCCCCCAAATCGTATTAATTATACAGAATGAGCTCTCTTTGATAATTCTTACCCCCCCCTCCTTGGACCCAGTGTCTTGGTGCCCTAGCTAGACAAGAGTACATGCTAATCGGAGACATTATTTTCTAGGTCCCTGTGGTCATTTAGATGGGAGAGATGAGAATCCGACCTCATGGCATAAACTTCGCTGACACTGGTCAGCATCTCTTCACTGCATTGCGCTGGGATTCAATCCCAATCTGCAGCAAGTTTAACTTGGCATGGAACAGGCTTTAGCCCAACTTTGCCTCAATGGCATTACCAAGGAAAGAGAGGTCCAACTCAGGAGTCGATAGGGAAGGCAGCACTCCACTATATGAATGGCAGCATTTGTGTCGGAACACTATCTAATTTTAATAATTGTGCTGAACACAGTTTTAATGTTACCGTTGTGGAAAACATTACCACTCAATTTACAATTTGTGTTTTTGAACTTATGTTTTTCTGGCAGCAAAGAGGACCAACTCCAGGTAAACGATGCCCGATTGACTTGTGATTCCTGTCAACTGTATTATTCCCTTAATCATAGCACAGTACAAACATACAGCATATCCACCCTAGTAATTCTAGGTCACAATCCCGGATTATGGATTCCTGTAAATCTGCCTGAGGCTTGGGTGGCCACCTCTGGTTTCCATTGTGTAAACTTTTTTCTTAGTCAGCTTATTCGTTGTGCTTGTAGAGCCTTAGGCATGAAAATTTTTCTGAAAGTCTCCTTAGGTACATTAATAACTTCTGTTGTGGCGTCCTTAGTAGCAATGTACAGCTCCATTCAAATCACAGCTCAATATATAGAAAATTGGATGTGTACAGCCGACCAGGCATGGATGCTTAAAAATTAACTTAACACTGAGATACACATGGAAGTAGCAATGTTAAAGAATTAAAGATTACAGTTCTGTGGCTAGGAAACCAAGAACAAACTTGCAGTTGCGTCAGCAATTGCATTGTCATTTTAAGCATACTCATATTTGTGTAACCAATTTGGAATAAAACCAAAGGGAATATCCATGGAAACTTCATTTACAAAGCAAAATTCTAAACTTGAAAAAGCATACTCAAGTAATACAGCCATCTCTGAAAACTTGGGCAGAATTCCAGCAAGGTTTAGAGAGCCTTAGCGTTTGGACCTCCTCCAAACATCACCTAAATGTCTTTTTTGTGATTATCAGAGTAACGTTTTGATGTCTCTCTTTTATGTTCATTGTCTGTAAAAGCAGCTGGACCACCAAACAGCAGTGGAGAGTTGCACAGCCTGCAATGATCTTTACTCAATTAATGCAAAAATAAAAAGGAGGAGATGTTGGAGGCCAAAAGAATGAGGGTCGTGACCAACTCAGTAATGACTGGAGGGTCTATGAGCAGAGAGGAAACTGTTCTCATGAAAGCAGCATGTTGGCAACTGACACACCACGTCTGGTGTCAGAAGGAATGCTGAGGGCAGTCATGCCCCAAGCACAGTCTTTCTTGTGGTTATATATAGGAACATCTGAAGCCTGTAGTATATAGAAAGCAATTACATGAGCCTGTGATAAATCAAGCAGCTGACCAACAATTACCTTTCCTCCCTGTTGATTCTGCCTAATAAATATGAAGGCCTGTAGAAGCTCAGGGCCTTTGCTGATTAGAAGCAATGAGCCCCCGACCCTTCTTTTAAAACAGACCTTTTTTGTCTCTGTCTTCATTTCTGCATTCAACCCCCTTCGTTTCATCCCATGTAACGACATGTGGCAGTAACTGACTGCCACACCGTCTCTATTAAAAATACAAAAAAAAAAAAAAAAAAAAAAAAAAAATAGGTGGGCTTGTTGGCAGGCACATGTAATCCATGCTACTCCAGAACCTGAGGCAGAAGAATCCCTTCAACCCAGGAGACAGATGTTGCAGTGGGCCGAAATCACGCCTTTGCACCCCAGGCTGGGTGACAACGTGTGACTCCATCTCAAAAAAAGCAGAAAACAAAAAAGAAGAAACCAAAACCATACAAAACAAAACAAACAAAAACTATGTTCTGGTTAAGAGAACTGAAAAAGCAAGCCTCAGGCTAAGAAAAATCTAGGAAACACATCTGAAAAGTGACTTCTATGCAAAATATACAAAGAAATAAGATGACCCAATTAATAAGTAGAGACCTGAGTAGATACATCACCAAAACAGATATGGAGATGGAAAACCCGGTGCACAAAATACTGCTTGCTGAGCCCCTGTTACTTCTTCTGAAGGCTGAGGCTCCAAGCCATTTCCTGAGGAGCAACAGTGGCTGCCAGAGTGACAGTGGCTCCATAGATCATCCCCACCTACCCCAGCTCTACCTTTCTTCCAGGTTCCAAGGATTTCCCAGACATTGAGCATGCTCACGAGGAAAGAGCCAGAAGCTGGATATTTTATTTCACAACTTTTCTTAAAATTCTGGATGTCAACCAGTATCCTTTGGTTGGAAGTTTTATATTTATCCTAACAATCTTGAGGCACTGACAAGTATTAGGAAAGATGATTTTCAACCTACGTTTGATTCCATGAAGAAATAAAGGAATTGGTGTGGCCAGGCATGATGGCTCACATCGGTAATTCCAGCAGTTTGGGAGGCTGAGCCAGGTGGATGTCCTTAGGTCAGGTGTTTGAGATCATCCTGGTCAACGTGGTGAAACAAACTCTCTACTAAAAATGTAAAAAATTAGCCAGTACCGGTAGTGGTGTCTGGGTCCTGTAAACGCAGATCCTCAGGAAGCTAAGACAGGAGAATTGCATGAACCTGGGAAGCTGAGGTTACCAAAGCCGAGATCATGTCATTGCACTCCAGCCATGGGAACAGACCAAGACTCCGTCTCAAAACAAACAAACAAACAACAACAACAACAAACAGAACAGAACAACAACAAAAAAAGGACTCAATTACATTTTTAGGCAGTTATTTTAGAAGGCTTGGTACAATGCATTACTATTTTGGTATTCTCAAGACAGAAAACACAGTAACGCTAGTAAGTAAAAACCAAACAGCAAGTCACTACAAATTCATGGGATTAATTTCATCCGTCATTCTTCCTGGCTTTTATTTAAAATGTGTAATGTTGAAATAATCAGACGTTTTACTTGTGATACCTAAATGCAAGAAGAAACACCAGTTACTGAACCATTATTAAATGAATCTCAGTCTTCAAATTTGATTCTGATGCAGTGGAATGTTTTGTGAAAGATGGAAAACTAACAGACCAAACACACGTGATTTCAAATTTTGGCCTACTTTTGTAGAAGCAGATTTAAGAACCAAAACCTTCATAGTTCTAATTTTTGTCAGTGATTCAGCATTGCAAGATATGTAGTGAAACTGAAATCAGAGATTTTTTTCAATTCCAACAGAAACTAGTTTGTACTCTGGACATTCGTGTTGCTCCCTTGAAATCCGTAAAGAAATCACGTGATTGAAAGGGACTTTTACACAGTGAAAATCTGCCAATACACCGCATTATCTTATTAGCTACAGTTCACTATTTTATTGTAGTCACCATAAGATTAGAAAAAAAAAAAAAAGCAGATAAATGACTATGTGTACTAGAATTATTTTATTTTATTTTATTTTATTATTATTATACTTTAAGTTTAGGGTACATGTGCACAATGTGCAGGTTAGTTACATATGCATACATGTGCCATGCTGGTGTGCTGCACCCATTAACTCGTCATTTAGCATTAGGTATAGCTGCTAAAGCTATCCCTCCCCCGTAACCCCACCCCACAACAGTTCCCCGAGCGTGATGTTACCCTTCCTGTGACCATGTGTTCTCATTGTTCAATTCCCACCCATGAGTGAGAATACGTGGTGTTTGGTTTTTTGTTCTTGTGATAGTTTACTGAGAATGATGATTTCCAATTTCATCTATGTCCATACAAAGGACATGAACTCATCATTTCTTATGGCTGCATAGTATTCCATGGTGTATATGTGCCACATTTTCTTAATCCAGTCTATCATTGTTGGACATTTGGGTTGGTTCCAAGTCTTTGCTCTTGTGAATAGTGCTGCAATAAACATAGGTGTGCATGTGTCTTTATAGCAGCATGATTTATAGTCCTTTGTGTATACACCCAGTAATGGGATGGCTGGGTCAAATGGTATTTCTAGTTCTAGATCCCTGAGGAATCACCACACTGACTTCCACAAGGGTTGAACTAGTTGACAGTCCCACCAACAGTGTAAAAGTGTTCCTATTTCTCCACATCCTCTCCAGCACCTGTTGTTTCCTGACTTTTTCATGATTGCCATTCTAACTGGTGTGAGATGCTATCTCATTGTGGTTTTGATTTGCATTTCTCTGATGGCCAGTGATGGTGAGCATTTTTTCATGTGCTTTTTGGCTGCATAAATGTCTTCTTTTGAGAAGTGTCTGTTCATGTACTTTGCCCACTTTTTGATGGGGATGTTTTTTTTTTTTCTTGTAAATTTGTTTGAGTTCATTGTAGATTCTGGATATTAGCCCTTTGTCAGATGAGTAGGTTGCAAAAATTTTCTCCCATTTTGTAGGTTGCTTGTTCACTCTGATGGTAGTTTCTTTTGCTGTGCAGAAGCTCTTTAGTTTAATTAGATCCCATTTGTCAATTTTGGCTTTTGTTGCCATTGCTTTTGGTGTTTTAGACATGAAGTCCTTGCCCATGCCTATGTCCTGGATGGTAATGCCTAGGTTTTCTTCTCGGGTTTTTATGGTTTCAGGTCTAACGCTTAAGTCTTTAATACATCTTGAATTAATTTTTGTGTAAGGCGTAAGGAAGGGATCCAGTTTCAGCTTTCTACCTATGGCTAGCCAGTTTTCCCCGCACCATTTATTAAGTAGGGAATCCTTTCCCCATTGCTTGTTTTTCTCAGGTTTGTCAAAGATCAGATAGTTGTAGATATGCGGCATTATTTTCTGTTCCATTAATCTATATCTCTGTTTTGGTACCAGTACCATGCTGTTTTGGTTACTGTAGCCTTGTAGTATAGTTTGAAGTCAGGTAGCGTGATGCCTCCAGCTTTGTTCTTTTGGCTTAGGATTGACTTGGTGATGTGGGCTCTTTTTTGGTTCTATATGAACTTTAAAATAGTTTTTTCCAATTCAGTGAAGAAAGTCTTTGGTAGCTTGATGGGGATGGCATTGAATCTATAAATTACCTTGGGCAGTATGACCATTAATTTTTTCATTTTTTACTAAGTAGAGCTGAGAGTATGTTTTTTAAAATTGGTTTTCTGTGGCACAACACATGTATGCTTTTTGGCAGCAATCATAGATTAATGAACAAACAATAACAACAAAATAATGCTCAACAACACCTGCTGTTCGGGGAAGGCAAATTAAAATAAGAGTGTGAGCACTAAACAGCTATACTATGTCTAAATTTCTTTTTAAATATACTCAAAACTGCAACAGAAAATCTCATTCATTGCTGAAGGAATGCATAATTGTACAGCAACTTTAAAATGTGGTTGTTTTCTTCTGAAACAGTTTGACAGTTTTTTCCAAAGGTGGACATGGTCTCATCATATAGGCTGACAATTGTTAACACTTAGGTATCTAGACAACTGATTTGGAAACTCACATCTAACCAAAAACCACAAGCATTTATGTATAACGGCTCTTTTGACAATGTCCACATACTTGAAGGAATCACGATGCCCTTCAATATTAACCAAGCCAGGTAAATTCTTAAAATGAAATACTATTCATCAAACAAAAGGAGTGATTCATGAAGTCATGCAAAGCCATGGATGAAGCGGGCATTCATAAAGCAAAGTGATAAGAGCCAGTCTGAAGAGGTGACATACTGTATGATTTCATTTCTATTAGATTACAGAGAAGAAATATTTATAGAGACAGTAAACTGACCTGCAACTTACAGTTGTTTTTAGCGGGCCGGTAGTGAGTTGAAAAGGAGAATGCAATTATGGAAAGGAGCACAAATGGGCCAGATGAGAATAGACTCATTCTGCTTGATGAGATCCTGCTGGGCATGTGGAAGAGTCAAGAGTGTGTATAATGCCATGAATAAATAAATAGTCTTCTACTCATGATAGGAGAGGAGCGTCTTCTTTCATCACATATGGAACTATTTTAGGACAGTTTCTGAGGAAGCTTTTGTTGTAAGTGGAAAATCATACATAAACAAATGTACCATTTCAAACACTGAGTGTATAATTTGGAAGCATTAACTATGCTCAAATTGTGCAAACATCACCACCATTTCACAATCTCACCAGCAATGTACAAGAGTTCCAATTTCTCTGCATACTCTCAAACTTTTCTTTAAAAAAGAAAAGAAAAGAAAAGAAAAATTCTAATGGGGATAAAGTGGTAATCTCATTGTGGTTTAGATATTCCTGCATTAAGTGGCTAGTGAGTTTGAACATCTTTTCATGTGCTTATTGGTTGTGGATTTGTAAATGATTTCTTGGCTATATCACTGAATGAACACAAAACATAAGAAAAACTAGATCACTTGAACTTCATCAAAACTAAACACTTTTGTGCATTAAAAGACACTGTCAGTATAGTGGAAAGAAAACCAACAGCATGGAACACAATATTTGCAAGTCATATATATGGTATATATTCAAATCACCCACTTGGATCTCTTCCAAATGCACTCTTCTTTTTTTCTTACTCTAAAACATTTTAAATAAACATCGCCTTTTGCTGTGAAACCTTTCTCAGTCTGCTTTGCTACTTTATTCCCCTCAGTCAAATTCTTTCTCCTGAGGAGGCAAGAGTTGAGGTTACTGCAGACCATGATAGATTTGATGCCAGTAACTCAGATAACTTCCACTGGTAACAGGTCGAGGGACTGCTGGACAGCGTGGTGGGAGTTCATGTCTAGTGTGTGGCTGGCCTGGCCCCAGGCAGTTCTGGACTGTGGAGGGACTAGAACCCCATGCTACAAGCACTCTGTGGAAAGAGAGCTCACATTGCTGAGAGAATGCTGAGGAAGAAATTTTGTCTTTTTAGTGAGGTTAAATTCCTTCGCATAATATAAAATTAACTGTTTCTTAATGAATTCCTTAGTGATCTTTAGTACGTGCATATTTGTGTGCAACTACCACATCTTAGTTCCAAAGTATTTTCATTATTCCAAAAGGAAATACCCTACTTATTAAGAAGCTCCTACCCAATCTGTCCTCTTTCTGACACCAGTACCAATAATCTGCATTTTTTCTCTATGGATTTACCTACTCTAAATATTTATATAAATAGAATCATACACTATGTGACTTTTGTGCTCTGCTTCTTGAGCCAAAATTTAAGTTTCTTCACATTGTAGCTTTAGAGTTGTAATCCTTTTCACAGCTGAATAGTATGCCGTTGTATGGACATACTACATTTTGTTTCTTATTTTTTTGTTGCTGGACATTTATTGGGTGTGTTTCAGATTTTAGTTATTGTGAATGCTGCTATGAACATACGTACACATATTTTTGTTTGAATAGCTCTTTTACATTTTTTTTGTGTGTATATAGCTTGGAGTGGATTTTGGGCGTTCTATGGTAATTTTATATTTAGCTTTTGCAGAACCACCAAACTATTTTCCACAGCAGCTGCAGCATTTTTCTTTCACATTTTCCCACTTCCATTTCAACCATTGTTAGCTTTTTTTTCCCTGCAATTATAATGTGTGTGAAGAGGTATCTTACTGTAGCTTTGACTTGCATTTCCACTAGGTTAAAATGTGCAGGTGGCATAAGAGTTGGAGGAGCAAGAGGAAGGCTGAGGACAGCCATGTGGAGAGGATAGGCAAGCTCCAGGGGAGAGAGTGGCTGTGGCAAACTCTGCCCGGTCTCAGCTCCAGCAGTGAATGGAAAGCAAGTCCATGATTGTAGTGTGGATTTTCTCACAACCTAGCTATTTCAGCAAGGAGAGCATGTGATTTGGGGTACTGCACCCTCTCTTCTCATAGGTCCCCTATAATTCAGTCCTCACGAGGCACCTGCCTGGAGCCAACCTGGTCTCTGCTACCAGACAAAGGAGACCCTCATGCCCTGGGAACCTGATCCTGGTGGTCCCTAATGGACACAGGCCTGGAGGGAGGAGCACAGCCCATATGTGCTATAACAAAGACTATAAAGTACAGAAGTGGATGCTACATTTAGCCCAGTCACCCCAGGCCACATGAACCAGGCTCACCACTCACGGGCCTCAGCCTCCCTCTGTGAGAAAGGAACTGCCACAACCATCAATCTCAACAGCCTTTCCAGGATTTAATAGGCCAAACAACTTGGAATTCTGCTGATTTTAAATGCTGTTGTCATTCCAGTTCTCACACAACCCAAGCGCCAGAGACTGGAGTCGGAGTCTGCAGGTTGCTTTCTCCTGCTGGTGTGGAGAATGTGCCAACTCAGTCTCCACTTGTGGCTGGTACACAGAGTGCTTGACCACTGACATTTAATTATTTCCACTTTTCTTTCTAAAGTTTAACAAAGAGTGTCTGTGGTGTAAGCTGTCACTAACTTCCCTTCCTTTGGGCCTTCCAGAGACTACCTCAAAACACATGTCACTCTCAAGCACAAGCTACTGTTGATTTGGTTAACTCTGGGTTCACATTTAGAAAAGCTGTGGCCTCAGAAAACAAATTCCTTTGGTTCTAATTATATGAGGCTGTACAATGAGCATTAAGATGGCCCTGAGCTTAGACCCGGAAAGCTCTGGATGCAAGGCTCAGTCCTCTCTTCTGCAGAAAAGAGTCATGACCTAATACTCTAGCCAGCTGCCCAGAGCCTTCTGTAATCCTAAACTGGCTAGCCATAGGTAGAAAGCTGAAACTGGATCCCTTCCTTACGCCTTACACAAAAATTAATTCAAGATGTATTAAAGACTTAAGCGTTAGACCTGAAACCATAAAAACCCGAGAAGAAAACCTAGGCATTACCATCCAGGACATAGGCATGGGCAAGGACTTCATGTCTAAAACACCAAAAGCAATGGCAACAAAAGCCAAAATTGACAAATGGGATCTAATTAAACTAAAGAGCTTCTGCACAGCAAAAGAAACTACCATCAGAGTGAACAAGCAACCTACAAAATGGGAGAAAATTTTTGCAACCTACTCATCTGACAAAGGGCTAATATCCAGAATCTACAATGAACTCAAACAAATTTACAAGAAAAAAAAAAAAAAACATCCCCATCAAAAAGTGGGCAAAGTACATGAACAGACACTTCTCAAAAGAAGACATTTATGCAGCCAAAAAGCACATGAAAAAATGCTCACCATCACTGGCCATCAGAGAAATGCAAATCAAAACCACAATGAGATAGCATCTCACACCAGTTAGAATGGCAATCATGAAAAAGTCAGGAAACAACAGGTGCTGGAGAGGATGTGGAGAAATAGGAACACTTTTACACTGTTGGTGGGACTGTCAACTAGTTCAACCCTTGTGGAAGTCAGTGTGGTGATTCCTCAGGGATCTAGAACTAGAAATACCATTTGACCCAGCCATCCCATTACTGGGTGTATACACAAAGGACTATAAATCATGCTGCTATAAAGACACATGCACACCTATGTTTATTGCAGCACTATTCACAAGAGCAAAGACTTGGAACCAACCCAAATGTCCAACAATGATAGACTGGATTAAGAAAATGTGGCACATATACACCATGGAATACTATGCAGCCATAAGAAATGATGAGTTCATGTCCTTTGTATGGACATAGATGAAATTGGAAATCATCATTCTCAGTAAACTATCACAAGAACAAAAAACCAAACACCACGTATTCTCACTCATGGGTGGGAATTGAACAATGAGAACACATGGTCACAGGAAGGGTAACATCACGCTCGGGGAACTGTTGTGGGGTGGGGTTACGGGGGAGGGATAGCTTTAGCAGCTATACCTAATGCTAAATGACGAGTTAATGGGTGCAGCACACCAGCATGGCACATGTATGCATATGTAACTAACCTGCACATTGTGCACATGTACCCTAAACTTAAAGTATAATAATAATAAAATAAAATAAAATAAAATAATTCTAGTACACATAGTCATTTATCTGCTTTTTTTTTTTTTTTCTAATCTTATGGTGACTACAATAAAATAGTGAACTGTAGCTAATAAGATAATGCGGTGTATTGGCAGATTTTCACTGTGTAAAAGTCCCTTTCAATCACGTGATTTCTTTACGGATTTCAAGGGAGCAACACGAATGTCCAGAGTACAAACTAGTTTCTGTTGGAATTGAAAAAAATCTCTGATTTCAGTTTCACTACATATCTTGCAATGCTGAATCACTGACAAAAATTAGAACTATGAAGGTTTTGGTTCTTAAATCTGCTTCTACAAAAGTAGGCCAAAATTTGAAATCACGTGTGTTTGGTCTGTTAGTTTTCCATCTTTCACAAAACATTCCACTGCATCAGAATCAAATTTGAAGACTGAGATTCATTTAATAATGGTTCAGTAACTGGTGTTTCTTCTTGCATTTAGGTATCACAAGTAAAACGTCTGATTATTTCAACATTACACATTTTAAATAAAAGCCAGGAAGAATGACGGATGAAATTAATCCCATGAATTTGTAGTGACTTGCTGTTTGGTTTTTACTTACTAGCGTTACTGTGTTTTCTGTCTTGAGAATACCAAAATAGTAATGCATTGTACCAAGCCTTCTAAAATAACTGCCTAAAAATGTAATTGAGTCCTTTTTTTGTTGTTGTTCTGTTCTGTTTGTTGTTGTTGTTGTTTGTTTGTTTGTTTTGAGACGGAGTCTTGGTCTGTTCCCATGGCTGGAGTGCAATGACATGATCTCGGCTTTGGTAACCTCAGCTTCCCAGGTTCATGCAATTCTCCTGTCTTAGCTTCCTGAGGATCTGCGTTTACAGGACCCAGACACCACTACCGGTACTGGCTAATTTTTTACATTTTTAGTAGAGAGTTTGTTTCACCACGTTGACCAGGATGATCTCAAACACCTGACCTAAGGACATCCACCTGGCTCAGCCTCCCAAACTGCTGGAATTACCGATGTGAGCCATCATGCCTGGCCACACCAATTCCTTTATTTCTTCATGGAATCAAACGTAGGTTGAAAATCATCTTTCCTAATACTTGTCAGTGCCTCAAGATTGTTAGGATAAATATAAAACTTCCAACCAAAGGATACTGGTTGACATCCAGAATTTTAAGAAAAGTTGTGAAATAAAATATCCAGCTTCTGGCTCTTTCCTCGTGAGCATGCTCAATGTCTGGGAAATCCTTGGAACCTGGAAGAAAGGTAGAGCTGGGGTAGGTGGGGATGATCTATGGAGCCACTGTCACTCTGGCAGCCACTGTTGCTCCTCAGGAAATGGCTTGGAGCCTCAGCCTTCAGAAGAAGTAACAGGGGCTCAGCAAGCAGTATTTTGTGCACCGGGTTTTCCATCTCCATATCTGTTTTGGTGATGTATCTACTCAGGTCTCTACTTATTAATTGGGTCATCTTATTTCTTTGTATATTTTGCATAGAAGTCACTTTTCAGATGTGTTTCCTAGATTTTTCTTAGCCTGAGGCTTGCTTTTTCAGTTCTCTTAACCAGAACATAGTTTTTGTTTGTTTTGTTTTGTATGGTTTTGGTTTCTTCTTTTTTGTTTTCTGCTTTTTTTGAGATGGAGTCACACGTTGTCACCCAGCCTGGGGTGCAAAGGCGTGATTTCGGCCCACTGCAACATCTGTCTCCTGGGTTGAAGGGATTCTTCTGCCTCAGGTTCTGGAGTAGCATGGATTACATGTGCCTGCCAACAAGCCCACCTATTTTTTTTTTTTTTTTTTTTTTTTTTTTGTATTTTTAATAGAGACGGTGTGGCAGTCAGTTACTGCCACATGTCGTTACATGGGATGAAACGAAGGGGGTTGAATGCAGAAATGAAGACAGAGACAAAAAAGGTCTGTTTTAAAAGAAGGGTCGGGGGCTCATTGCTTCTAATCAGCAAAGGCCCTGAGCTTCTACAGGCCTTCATATTTATTAGGCAGAATCAACAGGGAGGAAAGGTAATTGTTGGTCAGCTGCTTGATTTATCACAGGCTCATGTAATTGCTTTCTATATACTACAGGCTTCAGATGTTCCTATATATAACCACAAGAAAGACTGTGCTTGGGGCATGACTGCCCTCAGCATTCCTTCTGACACCAGACGTGGTGTGTCAGTTGCCAACATGCTGCTTTCATGAGAACAGTTTCCTCTCTGCTCATAGACCCTCCAGTCATTACTGAGTTGGTCACGACCCTCATTCTTTTGGCCTCCAACATCTCCTCCTTTTTATTTTTGCATTAATTGAGTAAAGATCATTGCAGGCTGTGCAACTCTCCACTGCTGTTTGGTGGTCCAGCTGCTTTTACAGACAATGAACATAAAAGAGAGACATCAAAACGTTACTCTGATAATCACAAAAAAGACATTTAGGTGATGTTTGGAGGAGGTCCAAACGCTAAGGCTCTCTAAACCTTGCTGGAATTCTGCCCAAGTTTTCAGAGATGGCTGTATTACTTGAGTATGCTTTTTCAAGTTTAGAATTTTGCTTTGTAAATGAAGTTTCCATGGATATTCCCTTTGGTTTTATTCCAAATTGGTTACACAAATATGAGTATGCTTAAAATGACAATGCAATTGCTGACGCAACTGCAAGTTTGTTCTTGGTTTCCTAGCCACAGAACTGTAATCTTTAATTCTTTAACATTGCTACTTCCATGTGTATCTCAGTGTTAAGTTAATTTTTAAGCATCCATGCCTGGTCGGCTGTACACATCCAATTTTCTATATATTGAGCTGTGATTTGAATGGAGCTGTACATTGCTACTAAGGACGCCACAACAGAAGTTATTAATGTACCTAAGGAGACTTTCAGAAAAATTTTCATGCCTAAGGCTCTACAAGCACAACGAATAAGCTGACTAAGAAAAAAGTTTACACAATGGAAACCAGAGGTGGCCACCCAAGCCTCAGGCAGATTTACAGGAATCCATAATCCGGGATTGTGACCTAGAATTACTAGGGTGGATATGCTGTATGTTTGTACTGTGCTATGATTAAGGGAATAATACAGTTGACAGGAATCACAAGTCAATCGGGCATCGTTTACCTGGAGTTGGTCCTCTTTGCTGCCAGAAAAACATAAGTTCAAAAACACAAATTGTAAATTGAGTGGTAATGTTTTCCACAACGGTAACATTAAAACTGTGTTCAGCACAATTATTAAAATTAGATAGTGTTCCGACACAAATGCTGCCATTCATATAGTGGAGTGCTGCCTTCCCTATCGACTCCTGAGTTGGACCTCTCTTTCCTTGGTAATGCCATTGAGGCAAAGTTGGGCTAAAGCCTGTTCCATGCCAAGTTAAACTTGCTGCAGATTGGGATTGAATCCCAGCGCAATGCAGTGAAGAGATGCTGACCAGTGTCAGCGAAGTTTATGCCATGAGGTCGGATTCTCATCTCTCCCATCTAAATGACCACAGGGACCTAGAAAATAATGTCTCCGATTAGCATGTACTCTTGTCTAGCTAGGGCACCAAGACACTGGGTCCAAGGAGGGGGGGGTAAGAATTATCAAAGAGAGCTCATTCTGTATAATTAATACGATTTGGGGGATGGGGCTGGGAGAGATTAGTAGCTACACCGGTAATGGTAATAGAGCTAAGGCCTAATAGGTACATATTTTTTTTCGATGGTAAGTCAGCCATACTTGGGATTAATTTGCAAGGCCACTGCAGTTGAGTGATGTACGCTGTGTGACTCATGAAGGAAGTCCCTCCAATGGAGCAGCATAATTGATAATCATTGTTCTGAGAGTCTAATAACTGTTTGTCAGGGGGTGTTAGGGGTCCTGGTGCCCATGCTTCATGATCATGATAGATGTCAGGGGGAGTGTCACTCCAAATTACAGTCCATAATACTGGGGGATTGGGAATATAGGCCCAATATGTTTTTGTCTCTGCACAAGGAAAACCTACTGCACAGGATGTTGCAGGTAGCATGGCCATAAACGTGACATCGGGGGTGTTTGCCTGACCCTGGTGCTCCAGCAATTTCAACTGACTCATGCCTTGTAATGGAGGAGTCGGATTCATAGTTGGGATCCATGGCTCTCTCCAGTCTTCCTTTACATGGTCACAAACACATTGAAGGCACCCCACACAGATTATCCGTCTCCTGTAAAAACACAAGCATACCCTCATCCTTACATCAGTAAATCTCCTGAGCATTTCCATCGTCCTTAGGGGGATTTTCATAATATTTTTGGGTATACTTTACTTTTTCCCTATGACATTTACCAGTGTCGTTCTGCCATAGTCTTACTATCTGTGCCAGGAGTCAAAAAATTAAAGTAAATAAGTAAAAAAATTAATTAAAGTAAAAGTAAATGTATTTTGTTTGAGGTGGTAACTGATCTCTTGTTTCCCCTTTCGGTTTTTTTCAGCACACCTTGTAATGTTTGATTTGCCCGCTCTATAATTCCTTGTCCTTGGGGTTTGTAAGGAATTCCTGTTTTATGAGTGACTGACCATAGCTGTAAAAAATTTTAAAAAGCATGACTAACATAAGTGTGTCCATTGTCAGTTTTTAATTGTTTAGGGACCCCCCGATATGAGCAAATGATGACAGACAATGTCATCACACATAACCAGCTGTGTGACCTGGTTTGCATGTAGCATGCCGCATATGAGAATAAGTGTCTGTAGTCACATGAACAAAGGAGAACTTACCAATGGCAGCTTTGTGAGTAACATCCATCTGTCAGATTTCATTTGAAGCTAAGTCTCATGGGTTACAGCCTTCTGTGAGTGTGACTCCAGTGACATGCTGGCAAGCAGGACAGGCTTGTACAGGCTGCAGCCTGGCTGTGAGGCAAATGAAACATACGAGTAAAGGCAGAGTTTTGATGCAGTAATATATGAGAAGGTTGAGCTTGTTGAAATGCAGAACAAACCAATTTATTGGCTCTATTGTTACCTAGAAATAGTGGTGTAGGGAGTTGTGTGGGAGAGCAAATATAAGAAATATAAAAAGCAGCACAAGAGCAAACAGCTTGTTAAAGTCTTAGAAACAAGTTAAACTGCTCTGGTTCCAGGGTGCTTTTAATAGTGGTCGTCCCAATATGACTGGCTACATTTACAACATAGGCTGAATGACAGAGAGTGTTAATAAGAGATGAACCAGTGAGCTCTAAAACCTGCATAACTGCCATTAGTTCTGAGCGTTGATCTGAAACTCCGGGGTTTTTTATTGTTTGAGCATGCTTAGTACCATAAGTAGCTTTGCGACCTTTGGAAGAGCCACCAGTAAAATAGGTCTGGCTGCCTGAAATGGGCTTGTGATGAGGAATCACAGGGAAGATGAAAGGCTGAATTTTTAAAATTGCAAAATTTTGTCTGAGGGATAATGTTTATGTATTATTCCTACACAACCTGAAAGAGCAATTTGCCACACAGTCAACATTTCCCATGCTGCAGCCTGTTGCTGGGAATCCAATATTTCTCCTCATACTTGTAGACTGGCTCTAAAAGGAGAACAATAATTTTGTGTGGATCATATCTCTTAAGCATTTTTGATCTATCCCTACCCCTTGTTATAAACTGAGTAGTTAAAGAAAGATAAACTTGCAGAGATTTTACTCTCTGATTGAATTTCAAACAAAGCCATTCTATTACAATTACATATTTTTCTATGATCTGGCCTAAAAGTCCTGTTGGAGAATGGGGGGTAGAGAGAAAAAAGGGAACCAAGGGATTTTGTGGCTGTAGCCAGGAGGCATGTGTTTGCTGAAGAATCTACTCTACAAGCTGTAACTCAGCTTCAGCCTCCTTAGACAAACCAGCAACTGGGTTGTCTCCTAAGCCCATTGCTCCTAATGAAGAATTTCCATGGAGTGCCTGAGTGTTTGAGTTGATGAGTAGCAATACCTAGGATTGGGCACAGCCAATTTATATCTCCTAATAGTTGTTGGAAATCACTGAAGGTTTGTAATCTGTCCCTACAGAGGACTGCTTTCTGAGGTCAAACATTTGTTTCAGTAGCAATAGTGCCTAAGTATTGGTATGGGGAGGTTGCTTCTACCTTTTGTTGAACTATTTTGAGATGTCCCCCTGTTTTGCTTCTCTCAGCAATTGGTGTAATAACTCTTCCATTGGAGCAGCCAAAAGAATTTCATCCATATAATGAATTATGTAGGCAGTAGGAAATATATTACGAGGCTCCTTTAAGGACTGTCCTACAAAACGCTGAAATAGCGTAGGACCGGTGAGCATGCTTTGGGGTGAAACTTTGCTTATCCTTCTCATGTAAGGGTACAGTAAGGAAATAATCTTTGAGATCTGCTACGATGGGAGGTGAGTCACTTGGAATGGCTGCCAGGAACGGCAGACCTTGCTGTAATGCACCCATTGATTTAATCTGTGCATTAATAGCTCTCAAATCATGTAGCAACTTGCTGGCAAATCGGTCTGCTTTTATATACTAAAATTTTGCTGAAACCTTACACTTGTGTTGATACATATGTATATGTATATGTGTATATATATCTCTATATGTGTGTATATATATACATATACACATACACACATATGTATGTGTGTACATATATGTATGTAATATGCACATATGTAATATGCACATATGTAATACCCAGAGTTTCTGGATGTACACATATACACTCTGGTATGTGTGTATAGATGGTATGTGTATATGTAGGTATATACGTATACACATACACATATGTATGTGTATATATAACACGTGTATATATACACACATATATGCACACATACAGACACACATATAAGTGAGTGTGTATATTTACATATATATGCATGCTCTGTCTATAAATGTGTTTATATATACACATACAAACATATATATTACACACATATATACATATACACACGTGTGTGTATATGTATATATGTGTATATATGTATGTCTATATATGTTTATATATATATAATTCCTCACACATATATAAAATTACACACACACACACACACACACACACACACACACACACACACATATATATATATATATAATTCGTTGTTTGTCTCCTAAGCCCATTCAACCCAAAACCTTCCAGGTATGTGGGAAGCTTAAGAGAGATTATGCAGTAGTTAGATGGCAGCAAGAGTCTTTAATAGAGTTTGAGTCTTTATACTATCCCTGGCTTCCCTTACTGTGGTCCTAGCAAAACATTGACATCCTCGTAAATAATAGGGACTGACTTTGAAAATTAACATTCTCTTCTTATTTAGATATCAATGTAGCTGGATGTAGAACAGCTGCCTCAAAAAAAAAAAAAAAAAAAAAGAGATTCCATTCTTTTCCTTCTTTTATAAAAACTTCAGCAATGAGGTTGGAATTTGTCTCTCAAGGGCAGCTTCTTTTTGACTGTTGAAAGTGGAGATTTTCTGCTTACAGATGGGACATAGAGTCTTATAATTATTAGCGGGACATGGGAGGAAGAGAAAGTTAGAAACTAGACGTTTTGGGCAAAGGGCTGACAAGGCTCTACACAGAGAAAAATCCTATCTTACTAGGTGGCAGTGTAGGATCTGAAAAATTAGATAAAAACTCTGATTCCAAACACTTTTCTGTCAAAAGTTAGAGAACGGGGGTGGAGCCAAGATGGCTGAATAGGAACAGCTCCAGTCTACAGCTCCCACCATGAGCCACACAGAAGACAGGGGATTTCTGCATTTCCAACTGAGGTACTGGATTCATCTCACTGGGGCGTGTCAGACAGTGGGTGCAGGACAGTGGGTGCAGTGCACTGAGCATGAGCCAAAGCACAGCGAGGCATCACCTCACCCAGGGAGCACAAGGGGTCCGGGAATTCCCTTTCCTATTCAAAGAAAGGGCTGGCAGATGGCACCTGGAAAATCAGGTCACTCCCACACTAGTACTGTGCTTTTCCAACGGTCTTAGGAAATGGGACACCAGGAGATTATATCACACACCTAGTTTGGAAGGCCTACACCCACGGAGCCTCACTCTTTGCTAGCACAGCAGTCTGAGATCAAACTGCAAGGCGACAGTGAGGCTGGGGGAGGGGAGCCCATCATTGCTGCGGCTTGAGTAGGTAAACAAAGTGGCTGGGAAGTTCGAGCTGGGTGGAGCCCACTGCAGCTCAAGGAGGCCTGCCTGCCTCTGTAGACTCTGCCTGTGGGGGCAGGGCATAGCCAAACAAAAGGCAGCAGAAACCTATGCAGACTTAAATATCTCTGTCTGACAGCTTTGAAGAAAATAGTGGTTCTCCCAGCACGCAGCTTGAAATCTCAGAACAGACAGACTGCCTCTTCAAGTGGGTCCCTGAACCCCACATAGCCTAACTGGGAGGCACCCCCCAGTAGCTGCAGACTGACACCTCACATGGCTGGGTACTCCTCTGAGGCAAAACTTCCAGAGGAACAATCAGCCAGCAACATTTGCTGTTCACCAATATCTGCTGTTCTGCAGGCTCCGCCGCTGATACCCAGGGAAACAGGGTCTGGAGTGGACCTCCAGCAAACTCCAACAGACCTGCAGCTGAGGGTCCTGACTGTTAGAAGGAAAACTAACAAACAGAAAGGACATCCACACCAAAACCCCATCTGTATGTCACCGTCATCAAAGACCAAAGGTAGATAAAACCACAAAGATTGGGAAAAAACAGAGCAGAAAAACTGGAAACTCTAAAAATCAGAACACCTCTCCTCCTCCAAATGAACGCAGCTCCTTACCAGCAGTGGAACAAAGCTGGATGGAGAATGACTTTGACGTGTTGAAAGAAGAAGGTTTCAGATGATCAAACTACTCCGAGCTAAAGGAGGAAGTTCGAACCCATGGCAAAGGAGCTGAAAACCTTGAAAAAAAAAATTAGATGAATGGCTAACTAGAATAACCAAAGCAGAGAAGCCCTTAAAGGACCTGATGGAGCTGAAAACCATGGCACGAGAACTACGTGATGAACGCACAAGCCTCATTAGCCGATTTGATCAACTGGAAGAAAGGGTATCAGTGATGTAAGATTAAATGAATGAAATGAAGTGAGAAGAGAAGTTAAGAGAAAAAAGAATAAAAAGAAATGAACAAAGCCTCCAAAAAATTTGGGACTATGTGAAAAGACCAAAGTGACATCTGATTGGTATACCTGAAAGTCACGGGGAGAATGGAACTATTATCTGGGAGAACTTCCCAAATCTAGCCAGGCAGGCCAGCACTCAGATTCAGGAAATACAGAGGACGCCACAAAGATACACCTCAAGAAGAGCAACTCCAAGACACATAACTGTCAGGTTCACCAAAGTTGAAATGAAGGAAAAAATGTTAAGGGAAGCCAGAGAGAAGGTAGGGTCACCCACAAAGGGAAGCCCATCAGACTAACAGCTGATCCCTTGGAGAAACTCTACAAGCCACAAGAGAGTGAGGGCTAATATTCAACATTCTTAAAGAAAGGAATTTTCAACCCAGAATTTCATATCCAGCCAAACTAAGCATCATAAATGAAGGAGACATAAAATCCTTTACAGGCAAGCAAATGCTGAGAGATTTTGTCATCACCAGACCTGCCCTAAAAGAGCTCCTAAAGGAAGCACCAAACATGGAAAGGAACAACCAGTACCAGCCACTGCAAAGACATACCAAATTGTAAAGACCTTCAAGGCTAGGAAGAAACTGCATCAACGAACTAGCAAAATAACAAGCTAACATCAAAGTGACAGAATCAAATTCACACATAACAATATTAACCTTAAATGTAAATGGGCTAAATGTTCCAATTAAAAGACACAGACTGGCAAATTGGAAAAAGAGTCAAGACCCATCAGTGTGCTCTGTTCAGGAAACCCATCTGATGTGCAGAGACACACATGGGCTCAGAATAAAGGGATGGAGGAAGATCTACCAAGCAAATGGAAGACAAAAAAAGGCAAGGGTTGCAATCCTAGTCTCTGATAAAACAGACTTTAAACCAACAAAGATCAAGAGATCAAATCAATAAGAAGAGCTAACTATCCTAAATATATATGTACTCAATACAGGAGCACCCAGATTCATAAAGCAAGTCCTTAGAGACCTACAAAGAGACTTAGACTCCCACACAATGATAATGGGAGACTTTAACACCCCACTGTCAACATTAGACAGATCAACGAGACAGAAAGTTAAGAACGATATGCAGCAAATGAACTCAGCTCTGCACCAAGTGGACCTAATAGACATCTATAGAACTCTCCACCCCAAATCAACAGAATATACGTTCTTTTCAGCATCACACCACACCTATTCCAAAACTGACCCCATAGTTGGAAGTAAAGCACTCCACAGCAAATGTAAAAGAACAGAAATTATAACAAACTGTCTCTCAGACCACAGTGAAAGCAAACTAGAACTCAGGATTAAGAAACTCACTCAAAACTGCTCAACTGCATGGAAACTGAACAACCTGCTCCTGAATGACTACTAGGTACATAACGAAATGAAGGCAGAAATAAAGATGTTCCTTGAAACCAACAAGAACAAAGATACAATATGCCAGAATCTCTGGGACACGTTCAAATCAGCATGTAGAGGGAAATGTGTAGCACTAAATGCCCACAGAATAAAGCAGGAAAGATCTAAAATTGACACCCTGACATGACAATTAACTAGAGAAGCAAGACCAAACACATTCAAAAGCTAGCAGAAGGTGAGAAATAACTAAGATCAGAGCAGAACTGAAAGAAATAGAGACACAAAAACCCCTTCAAAAAGTCAATGAATCCAGGAGCTGGTTTTTTGAAAAGATCAACAAAATTGATAGACTGCTAGCAGGACTAATAAAGAAGAAAAAAGAAGAATCAAATAGACGCAATAAAAAATGACAAAAGGGATATCACCACCGATCCCACAGAAATACAAACTACCATCAGAGAATACTATAAACACCTCTACACAAATGAAGTAGAAAACCTAGAAGAAATGGATAAATTCCTTGACACATACACCGTCCCAAGACTAAACCAGGAAGAAGTTGGATCTCTGAATAGAAAAGTAACAGGCTCTGAAATTCAGGCAATAAGTAATATTGCAAAAAAAAGTCCAGGACCAGATGGATTCACATCCGAATTCTACCAGACGTACAAGGTGGACCTGGTACCATTCCTTCTGAAAAGAGTCCAATCAATAGAAGAAGAGGGAGTCCTCTCTAACTCATTTTATGAGGCCAGCATCATCCTGATACCAAAGCCTGGCAGAGACACAGCAAAAATAGAGAATTTTAGACCAAAATCCCTGATGAACATCAATGCAAGAATCGTCAATAAAAAACTGGCAAACCGAACCCAGCAGCACGTCTAAAAGCTTACCCACCGTGATCAAGTAGGCTTCATCCCTGGGATGCAAAGCTGGTTCAACATATGCAAATCAATAAACATAATCCAGCATATAAACAGAACCAATGACAAAAACCACATTATTATCTCAATAGATGCAGAAAGGGCCTTTGACAAAATTCAACAGCAGTTCATGCTAAAAACTCTCAATAAATTAGTTATGGATGGGATATCCATGACAAATGCACAGCCACTGTCATACTGAATGGGAAAAAACTGGAAGCATTCCCTTTGAAAACTGGCACAAGACAGGGATGCCCTCTCTCACCATTCCTATTCAACATAGTGTTGGAAGTTCTGGCCTGGGCAATCAGGCAGGAGAAGTAAACAAAGGGTATTCAATTAGTAAAAGAGGAAGTCAAATTCTCCCTGTTTGCAGATGACATGATTGTATGTTTAGAAAACCCCATAATCTCAGCCCAAAATCTCCTTACGCTTATAAGCAACTTCAGCAAAGTCTCAGGATACAAAATCAATGTGCAAAAAATCACAAGCATTCTGATATACCAATAACAGACAAACAGAGAGCTAAATCATGAGTGAACTCCCATTCACAATTGCTTCAAAGAGAATAAAATACCTAGGAATCCAACTTACAAGGGATGTGAAGGGCCTCTTCAAGGAGAACTACAAACCACTGCTCAATGAAATAAAAGAGGTTACAAACAAATGGGAGAAAATGCCATGCTCATGGATAGGAAGAATCAACATCATGAAAATGGCCATACTGCCCAACGTAATTTATAGATTCAATGCCATCCCCAGCAACCTACCAATGACTTTCTTCACAGAATGGAAAAGTTCATATGGAACCAAAAAAGAGCCCACATTGCCAAGTCATTCCTAAGTCAAAAGAACAAAGCTGGAGGCATCATACTACCTGACTTCAAACTATGCTACGAGGCTACAACAACCAAACAGCATGGTACTGGTACCAAAACAGAGATGTGGACAAATGGAAGAGAACCAGGCACTCAGAAATAATGCCACATATCCACAACTATCTGATCTTTGGCAAACCAGACAAAAACAAGAAATGGGGAAAGGAATCCCTATTTAATAAATGGTGCTGGGAAAACTGGTTAGCCATATGTAGTAAGCTGTAGCTGGAGCCCTTCCTTACACCTTATACAAAAATTAATTCAAGATGCATTGAAGACTTACATATTAGACCTAAAACCATAAAAACCCTAGAAGAAAACTTAAGCAATACCATTCAGGACATAGGCATGGGCAAGGACTTCATGTCCAAAACGCCAAACACAATGACAACAAAAGCCAAAATTGACAAATGGGATCTAACTAAACTAAAGAGCTTCTGCACAGCAAAAGAAACTACCATCAGAGTGAACAGGCAACCTACAGAATGGGAGAAAATTTTTGCAATCTACCCGTCTGACAAAGGGCTAATATCCAGACTCTACAATGAACTCAAACAAATTTACAAGAAAAAAACAAACAACCCCATCCAAAAGTGGGTGAAGGATATGAACAGACATTTCTCTTTTTCTTTTTTTTTTTTTTTTTTGAGACGGAGTCTCGCTCTGTCGCCCAGGCTGGAGTGCAGTGGCGGGATCTCGGCTCACTGCAAGCTCCGCCTCCCGGGTTCATGCCATTCTCCTGCCTCAGCCTCCCAAGTAGCTGGGACTACAGGCGCCCGCCACTACGCCCGGCTAATTTTTTGTATTTTTAGTAGAGACGGGGTTTCGCCGTTTTAGCCGGGATGGTCTCGATCTCCTGACCTCATGATCCACCCGCCTCGGCCTCCCAAAGTGCTGGGATTACAGGCGTGAGCCACCGCGCCCGGCCGACATTTCTCAAAAGAACACATTCATGCAGCCAAAAAACACATGAAAAAATGCTCATCATCACTGGCCATCAGAGAAATGCAAATCAAAACCACAGTGAGACACCATCTCACACCAGTTAGAATGGCGATCATGAAAAAGGCAGGAAACAACAGGTGCTGGAGAGGATGTGGAGAAATAGGAACACTTTTACACTGTTGGTGGGACTGTCAACTAGTTCGGCCATTGTACAAGTCAGTGTGGCGATTCCTCAAGGATCTAGAACTAGAAATCCCATTTGACCCAGCCATCCCATTACTGGGTATATACCCAAAGGATTACAAATCATGCTGCTATAAAGACACAACCAACGTATATTTATCGCGGCACAATTCACAATAGCAAAGACTTGGAACCAACCTAAATGTCTAACAACGACAGACTGGATTAAGAAAATGTGGCACATATACACTATGGAATACTAGGCAGCCATAAAAAATGATGAGTTCATGTCCTTTGTAGGGACATGGATGAAACTGGAAACCATCATTCTCAGCAAACTATGGCAAGAACAAAAAACCAAACACTGCATGTTCTCACTCATAGGTGGGAATTGAACAATGAGAACATGTGGACACAGGAAGGGGAATATCACACTCCGGGGACTGTTCTGGGGTGGGGGGAGCGGGCAAGGATAGCATTAGGAGCTATACCTAATGCTAAATGATGAGTTAATGGGTGCAGCACACCAACATGGCACATGTATACATATGTAACAAACCTGCACGTTGTGCACATGTACCCTAAAACATAAAGTACAATTTAAAAAAAGAAAAAAATATTCTTCCATCGTTTTATTTTGAGGCTATGTGTGCCTTTGCACGTCAGATGTGTCTCCTAAATAAAGCACACTTAGTGTATTTATATTTAAGATTAATATTGTTACGTGTCAATTTGACCATGATATGGTGATGCTAGCTGGTTATTTTGCATATTCTTGATGCAGTTTCTTCATAGTGTTGTTGGACTTTTTATTTGTTATTTTTTGCAGTAGCTGTTACCAGATGTCCCCTTACATATTTAATGTTCCCTTTAGGAACTCTTGTAAGGCACTCATGGTGGTGACAAAATGTTTGTACACTTAACTTGTCTGAAAATTATTTTATTTCTCCTTTGGCCATAAAGCTTAGTTTGGATGGCTATAAAATTCTGGTCTGAAAATTCTTTCCTTTAAGATCGGTGAATATTTGCCACCTCTCTCTTGTGGCTTGTAGGGTTTCTGCAGAATTATCTGCTGTTAGTCTAATGGGCTTCCCTTTGTAGATAACCTGATCTTTCTCTCTGGCTGCTCTAAACATTTTTTTTTCCTTTTTTTCTACCTTGGAGAATCTGCCAGTTATGTGTCTTGGGGGTTGTCTTCTCATGAAGTATCTCAGTGGTGTTCTCTATATTTCCTGAATGTGTACATTGGCCTGTCTTTGTAGGTTGGGGAATTTCTCCTGAATAACATCCTGAAGTTTGTTTTTCAAGTTGGTTCAATTGTCTTCATCACTTTTGGGTACACAAATCAATCACAGGTTTGGTCTTCTCACATAATCCCATATTTCTGAGAGGCTTTGTTTCTTCCTTTTCATTCTTTTTTCTCTAATCTTGTCTTCATGCTTTATTTCATTAAGTTTATCTTCAATCTGTGATATTCTTCCTTCTGCTTGATTAATTCAGCTATTGATCCTCAGGTACGTTGTGCAAAGTTCTTGCCCTGTGTTTTTTAGCTCCGTCAGGACATTTATGTTTTCCTCTAAACTAGTTATAATCATAATTATTACTATTTTTGAGACGGAATCTCACTCTGTCACCAGCCTGAAGTGCAGTGGTATCAACTCAGCTCACTTCAACCTCCACCTCCCATGTTCAAGTGATTCTCCTGCATTAGCATCCTGAGTAGCCTCTCTTCACTGAGAGTTGTACACTTCTTGGTATTGCACGTCAGCAGATAGATTTGTCTTCTCTCAACTTAAAGCTGAGGACACATCTCAACAACCTTCCTGCATATAGAAGCTACCCACTCTAAAAAATCTCCTCTCCACTGAGGGCTTCAGAGACATTGTAGCAACCTGTCAGCCAATGGCACTTGGTCACTCTAGGTATTCTCTTAACTGAGTGTTGTGTGGTTGTAGGTATGTCCTGTTTGTGAAATGGAGTTACCTCCTTTCTGTCTCCTGAGAGCTGTACCTTCACTCAGTGCAGCTTCTATTTACCTTAATTATTCTCCAGTTGCCCACAAAGCTTATTCTTCCTAGGCATGGGACAAGAACTCAGAACCCACTTAAGGGCAAAACTATAAGATTAGTAACAAAAACTGGTCTGAAACACACAAACCCCCACTTGTCACATTTCTGATTACTGGGATTTAAAAAATAAAAAAGGATAGAAGAGGTTCAGTCCTTAAAGGAGCCCAGACTTAAACATTTTCAAAGCCAGGGCTGTGACACCATTTTGGGGGCTTTGCAGTTTCTGGCATTTTTAAGCTTCTGGATGCCGTTGTATTTCTGAGCAGTGAGGAAAAAAAGGCTTTTGCTATGCTGATTCAGCCAAAGGCTTGCAGGGAGCTGGCACCACCTGGGCTTTCTCACCTTATCATAGCCAACATGCTCAGCTGTGTGAAGTGGCTGGACTCAACAGTCGCTCACTCAGGCTTCTCTCTCTGCTCTGGGTCTGTCTCACCCACAGTAAAAATAGAATCTGAGCACATAGTTTGAGGTGAGTGCAACCTGTCAAAATGAGTGGCAAATTTAGCCCAGCAGGCCCAAGAGAAATTTTGGCAAAGGTGCTACCATCCACTGAGATTTTTGGCTGGGAAAGCGATAGTCTATAGATCCTGCAACAAAAGTCACTGTGATCACCAAGGACCAGTAGATTATTCAATCATGCCCATGTAATGGAGCCTGCATAATAACCCAAAATGGCAGGCTTCAGAGAACTTCTGGAAATCTGAACTTATAGAGTATCCTAGACAATTGTGTGCACATAAAACCAGACATTAATCATTTTAAATGTCTAAGAATATGTACGTGTTTTTCCTTTGTTTTGAAGGAAGTTTCTGCATTTAATCATGTGTGCAGAATTTTAGCTTACTAAATAGAATATAATCTAAGTTAATCTAAAAAGCACACTTTATGACCATTAAAACTTAGATATTTCTACCTAAATGATTCCATGATTGACTAATCCTGCTCAAGGTTTCCTTTAAAGAGGTAGTTCTTTATTCATGTTAACAGTGTAAGATCTAGAGCCTTATGCAAAAAACAAAATACAAATCAACTGATATCTCAGCAAAAGTTCTAACCATATGTTCAGTTTAGAATTTTGTGTCTCTGAGATATTTGTGACTTGGTAAATTCAAATCACCATCTCAGTTGTTTTTGTGTCTCTGTTTAGGGGAGGGCAGCAGAAACTGCCTCATACCCCATTAGACTCTGCATTCTAGGATACTTAAAATTAAATAATAATAATAATAAACACTATTACAGACTTTCAGTCATCCAAGTCTAACAAAAAACAATTCTAGTCTTTTATATACTAGTAGCCATAGATAAAAATTAGAGCTCTTCCAGGCGCGGTGGCAAAACCTGTAATCCCAGCACTTTGAGGGGGCTGAGGTGGGTGAATCATGAGGTCAGGAGATCGAGATCATTTCAGCTAACATGGTGAAATATCGTCTCTGGTAAGAATAGAAAAAAATTGGCTGGGCATGGTGGCAAGCACCGGTTGTCCCAGCTACTTGGGAGGCTAAGGCAGGAGAACGGCGTGAACCCAAGAGTCGGAGGTTGCAGAGAGTGGAGACTATGCCACTGCATTCTAGCTTGAGTGACAGAGTGAGATTCTGTCTCAGAAAAAGAAAAAAAAATAGAGCTTGCAAGAACAGTCTGATGCTCATCTGTCTGCTCTTATATTTGGGCTTGTGCATAAAGTAATGATATTTGGACAAAAAAAGCTGTTTCATTATTTATTTTACAGTTACAGTGCTTGAAGTGAATTGATAATATTAAATAAGTACCTTGGATATTTTCAGTCTCCTTTCAAGCCTTATCTATGGTTGAAATTGTTTTGGGCTATGAACATGGATTAGGGCATCTTGCAGCTAACGATGTATGCCGCTTAGCTCAGTTCTTGGGTCCTGAGCAGATAATTAGAACTCATCAATTTTTCTTTGTACATATTTGACCATGGATTCTATCCCTTGCGCTGAGGCCCAGAATTTTTTTCAGCATTTCACACTTTCTCCTTGGCCCGTTCCAACATCATTTTAATTTTACAGCGAACAAAGGCCTTACCTTTCTCCAGAACAACTGGATTACAAGAGGAAAGCTCTTTAATTTGGATCATAACCTCTTGTGTGAAATTTTCAGTCCAAGACACATAAGAGACCAGGCCCTTGGCACATGCATCCAGTGCTGTCAGCTTTCTCCCACCAAACCACATTTCACTGGCTGATGCTCCACCCAGCATCTTGGGAAATGCAATGTTAGAACAGCCACCTGAACTCTGTCCAAATGTCATAAAAGAAGTTTCAAGCCAAGCCTTTCTGTTAGCCCCAAAGCAAATCACAAAGAGGCAATATGGATGCACCTAGTCAAATTACCGTGCTACTGCCTGATGCAAAAATAGGTTTCTTAAACTGAATAAAACTATGTGCCAGGTCTTTGCGGTGTCCCCCATTTCAATGCTTGCTCTCTTTCTGTCATTTCTTAAATGCACACAAAATCAAGACCACAGCAAAGGACACTGCTGGCTGCACTGAGCAGGGAGCACAAATTTGCTGTCATCCACAGAAACCCTATTCAGGGCATTCTCAATTTCTTTCATTCGCTCTGTATTTAGTGAGATATTCTCTGTCAACCTAGTTGATAGTAATTTCTGGGTAGTGAAGCTCTCTTTCCTCACCACAATGTCTCTGAATCTGCTGGCATTTTCTGTTAACCTTAGTGTAAAGTACATCCTTTTGATAAAAGGCTGTTTTTTTTCAATCATCAATAATCTTTATTTTCCCATCTCTCCCTCTTCAAACAGCTATATGAATGTTTTTTGTTCCATTGGCTGTTAATGGATTCGTTAATACCAATGTACCTTCCTTGTTAACTGAGCCCGTAACCATGGAAGTGATAATTGAGCCAGACACCAGAGACATTAGTGGGTGTATCTGGGACCTATCCTTTCTTCCAGCCTCTTCTGCACTGGAATCTGACAAATCTCTGATGGGCTTCTCTGCTGCCATCTTGTGCACCACCATGTCCAGCTGATGTGACACAATAGGGTCCAGTTTCCCGAGTCCCGGAAAGCCACTCAGTGAGTTCTTGCTGTTAAATGGGCTCTGAAGTGCAAGTGTCTTGAGGGGTTAACTTCCTAGCTTCACATTTTTGGGTCAAAGAAAGGTAAAGCTGCATTTATCCTAACGTTGTGGCCAGCAGCATACATCTGGCTGTGTTTGGATGTGTGGTGTTTGCGAGTCATTAGCATTTTAGAAACGTTCTTAGAAAAGCTGATGTAGGTAGATCCGAACATTCCTTTTCTGGCATTGTTTGAAAAACTTCTGCTCATTCCAGTCCACGACTTTTTTTTTTTTTTTTTAGATGGGATCCCACTCTGTCACTCATGCTGGAGTTCAGTGGTGCGATCTCAGCTCACTGCAATCTCCACCTCCTGAATTCAAGGGATTCTCCTGCCTCAGCCTCCTGAGTAGCTGGGATTACAGATGCATGCCACCATGCTCAGCTAATGTTTGTATTTTTAATAGAGATGCGGTTTCACCATGTTGTTCAGGCTGATCTGGAACTCATGACCACATAATCTGCCTGCCTCAATCTCCAAATGTTCTGTGATTATAGGCGTCAGCCATCACACCCAGTCCCATGTCCTTTGTCTCCATTTTTCTGTCATCTGTTAAAGTCATAATATTTCTTACAATTTACGAAGTTCTGTTCCAGTTGCCCTGTGTCACCCTGTTTGTCATAGCATTTCCACTGAATGAAATACTATGTCTTCCCATTTTTGTCTTGTCTTTTGTCAACAATATTTTGAACCTGAAACTTTTGGGAAGCTAGAAGGAAAGAGAAGGTATTGAAGCAGCTGCTGTGTCATCTTTCTTTCAGTTGAGTGTCTACATAGTCACTGCATTCTGCCTCCAGTGCTTCAGCAGATCTTGGGTACAGATGAGCCTCTTCCAGTTTGTGGCCTGTGGTGTAGAAAGAGATGTGTGAAGAAGCAACTATGCTATGTCCCTTAGGCTCTCTACATTTACTCCATGGTTGGACAGCTCAGGCTTCCTTTTACGGTGCCAAGATGGCCCACTATGTAGTCTCAGCTAAGAGCAGCTGAATCCACTACTCTTAATTTGCTGGTATAGTGCAGAAAGCTTCTACCTGCCTGGTACTTTTCCTTTGTGGCTCTTCTAATGATTACATTAAACATTCTAAAGTTAAAACACTTCTAAATTCATGTTAGTTTACTCTTGCTACCATAAAAAAAGGGGGGGGTTTATAGCACAACCCCTTCTATTTCACCTATTGAGTTCGCAAAATTATACCTTTAGGCACCGTATGCCAGAAACACAAGCTAGTGAGTTTCTAAAATATATAATAGTGACTTAATTATGTGGAAAACCAATTGTGGAGGTGCATTTTTTTTATCTTTTATATTTATTTATTTATCTTTTCCTTAATCTTTACTTATTCACACTGCTGCATTTTTTTATCTTTTATATTTATATATTTATCTTTTCCTTAATCTTTACTTATTCACACTGCTGTTTCATGTCTATTCATTTTATCCTAAAATACACCATAAAGCATTTCTTAAAGGGTAGTCTACTGGTAAAAGACTGCAGCTTTTACATGGGAATTTTATAATATCTCTCTCACTTTTGATGGGCATTTAGTGTAAACATGAGATTTCTGTTAAAAGTTTTTTTCTTACAGCATTTGGAATATATTAGTCTACTACTTTCTGACCTCTGAATTTTCAGAAAAGAAATCCACTGATTACTCATGGGGGTTCTTTTTACATGACCAGTCACTTCTCTTGCTATTTTCAAGTTTCAAGTTGTTTTTGTTTTAGACAGGTTAATTATCAAGTAAGTTTGAATGTATTTGAGTTTATGCTGCTTGGAGTTTGTTGAATTTCTTTGGTGTTTATTTATTTCCTCAAATTTATGACCTTCCTGACCACTACTGTTTTAGTCTCCTTTAGGAGGACTGCTTGATGGTGTTCCACTGGTTTCTAGGTTGTTTTCACAGTTATTTATTTATTTATTTATTTGTTTATTCCCTTCTTGACTTAACAATTTCAACTGCCCTTTTCTTAGATCTGCTGATAGTTTGTTCTTCTATCTTCTCAAGTGTCCTTTTAAATCTCTGTAGAGATTTTTTTTTTTTTTATTGAGTTTTGCTCTGTCACCAGGGTGGAGTTCAGTGAGGCAAACTTGGCTGACTGCAACCTCTACCTCCTGATTTCAAACAATTATCCTGCCTCAGCCTCTCAAGTAGCTGGGACTACAGGCTCATGCCACCACACCCTGCTAATTTTTGTATTTTTTAGTAAAGACAAGGTTTCACCATATTGGCCAGGATAATCTTCATCATTTGACCTCATGATCTAACCGACTTGGCCTCCGAAAGTGCTAAGATTGCAGGCGTGAGCCACTGTGCCAGGCTGTAGTAAATTTTAGTGACAGTTGTTTAACTTTTCAGCTCCAGATATATATGTATAGGTATATATATAATATATATACACACACACATATATACACATATATATTTATATTATATATTAAATAAAATATATTATATATAATATAGAAATATATTTTTATGTATTCTATATATGTAAACTAAAGTCTAACATAATCTAAAGTCTAAGATATATGTATATATAGATTAGATAGATAGACAGATATATTAGAGAGAGAGAGAGAGAGAGAGAGAGAGAGAACTACTGAACCTGGCCTAGAATTTCCTTCTTAGTTTTACTGTAAGTTTACTTTATTGTAAGTTTTGTTTATTGTAAGTTTACTGTCTATTAATAATTTTTTTATATTCATGGCTTTCTGTGCTTTTCTTCATTGCATTAGCTTTCTAAAAAAATCATTAAATTTAAAAGTTATTTTTTAGTTAGCCTGCCATTTGGGCCACCTGGGAAAAGCTTCTGTTAGTGATTTTTTTTCTTTCTAGGGTGAACCACACTTTCTTTCTTTCTTTTTTTTTTTTTTTGAGAGGGAGTCTCGCTCTGTTCCCCAGGCTGGAGTGCAGTGGCGAGATCTCGGCTCACTGCAAGCTCCGCCTCCCAGGTTCACGCCACTCTCCTGCCTCAGCCTCCAGAGTAGCTGGGACTACAGGCGCTCGCCACCACGCCCGGCTAATTTTTTTAGTAGAGACGGGGTTTCACCGTGTTAGCCAGGATGGTTCTGGATCTCCTGATCTCGGGATCCGCCCACCTCGGCCTCCCAAAGTGCTGGGATTACAGGAGTGAGCCACCGCGCCCGGCCGAACCACACTTTCTTATTTCACCTTATGCTATGTGATTCTGTTGGTGTCGAAAACAGGCATATAAATTTTCAAGTGTTGTACCTTTGAAAATCAGATTTTCTCCCTCTGTAGCTTGCTAGGGATTTGTTTATTCATCATCTAGGCTATTTCTGTCATGACAATCAGTCTTACTGATTTTGTTGGGGGTTTTTCTTGAGGCTGCATCATTTTGGAGCACAGATGTGTAGCAACACATTTTATTCTAAATTTTCACGTACATATGTTTTCTTTGAATGTTTTCTCTATCATTCTCTGGCCTCTAAAGAGAAAAAAAAAACAGAAAAATTAGGAAAGAAAGGCTCTGCCTTTGTAAATCGTCTGAAAGTTACTTGAGTAGCAGGAGAAAAAGCCTGTAAAAGGTTTGGAAAATGAAAAATGACTGTTCACCACTCGCAGGACCTCCGTAATAAGAAACAGCAATCGGTTAGCCAGTCCTCCTGAGATTTGGAGGATAAGGTCATTTTTGCCTATCGTGGCTATTGCCAGCTGCTCCAGAAGTATTTGCAAGGCTGCACACCACGGCAATAGTTGATAGGAATAAATAACTGCTGTTGACCTATGCTATAAAGTTGATCGAACTTAATTGTTGTTGACTTTACAAATCGTGTTTTGAAAGCTTCAAAACTTCAGATAGGATCTATAATTCCAAACTATTTGCGTCATAGCGATTCTGCCACTGCACATATTGAAGAGTTGAAGGGACAGATGCATAGTGCTCTGTAATCCATTGTCTCGTTTTTGCAAGAACCTGTATCATTTTATTTTCAATCTCTCTCTTTGCACTTAAGGTAACACTTGCAGGGAAATCACATATGTGAACCCTTCTTTTAAAGGTACATTTGCATCATTCTGTGCCTTTTTATGAAGGAGCTCACATTTAAAGTTATTAAACGTAAAAAACTATTCACTCTGATATTTAATTACTTGCTTTCTGTATGTTCTTTACCTTATTTGAATTTTTAAATTTCTCCTTTCATCTTTCAGAAAAATTTCTTAATTTCTCAAAACTTTCTTCTTCTATATATTTTATATTATATTTAGTTACATTTGGGACCTCAATAAATATTCTAAACTTAAAATAGCCTACGTTGGATAATACTACCTTATTTAAATAATCTAAAGTCTAAGTTCAACAATATAAAGGTACTCTGCTCCTGCACTTTTCTATTCTTCTCAAATTATATTATATTGTCTCAGACTATGTCTCCACTCACAGAGTGTCCATGAAATTAAATCTGTATTTTTTTTGTATGTAATAGCTGCCTATAATAAGCATAATAGTAGTAATTATCTTTGCTAGGTAATAGTAATAGCTTTTATTGGTGGGGGGAGGGTTAGACACACATTTCTTTAGCTTATTTTTATCTAGACATTTTCTGCTTGTGTATTATTTTACAGGTTATAAATGTTCTTCATTTCTCCAAGGTGTCTTCTTAGTTATTGGCAGCTTAGTATCCACTTAAATAGCATTTTGTATAAGAGCAGTATACAAGCTATTATTTAAAAAAACTGAATATGTATTATCAGATTGTCAATTATATGAAGTAACTGCATTGTTGGTTCTCAGGAAACTAAATGTTTGTGACCAATTCCTGGCATTTTCAACCAAGAGTGACTTCTGACTTTGGCAAAACAGAAATAAAAATGACTAATCAATTCATCGTTTATTCTCTAGAAAGACTAGAACAAACACAATAAATTAGCACATAAGGGCTGTTTTACTCCTTCTAGAATCAGGAATCAGGGCCTCAAATTGAAAATGTGGATTTCAGTTTTGCAGGCTTCATCTGTGTCTGGGAGGCAGTATGACAATCCAAAACATTAACTGTTTTAAAATTGTCTCTCTTGATTAAGTGTTTCCTTGGTTGATGTGAACTATTGGTGAACTATTGGTTTCCTGGGTGTAGACGGTTTTTTATTTGTTTGAGATTTCTTTGAATGGTTTGACGCTGCCTGCTCTGCAATTTTGTTTCAGTTTTATTTGTGAAGCATGAACTGTTTTCTAATCTCAGTTTATTTTTATTTAGGAGATCTAAATTTTGTCCCATGAAAATGTTGTTTCAAATGCTGAAGTTAAATGTTACACTTTTAATTTGGGTTTCTAGATTTTTTATTTGTTTGTTTTAGTGGTTATAGTGTAAGGTTTTTTGTTTGCTTTATATTAATTGATCCTATCAATTTCATATAAAATGCATGAGGTAAAATTCTCTATTGAGTACAGCTTGGACTCATGTGAGACAAGCATAAAATAATTAGTCTCTAAAGTGACTGTGAAGTAAATATCTAAATAAAATAATAAGGGAATAATCACACAAGCATGCATCAAGATCAACAAGTTTGATGACCTCCACCAGACGTCTGCTTAAATTGTTTGAAAAACAGCCAGGTCACTGTGGCTGGAGCAGACCGTGGAAGGCAAACAGTTATAGACATTGAGCTCATGGAGGTAACAGACAGTCCATGTGAGTGGCTAGGGTTTCTGTAAGTCAATAGATTTTACTTTCTTTTTACCCTAAGCCTGGTTCATGACTAGAAGTGGAATTGGTAAGGTGGTTACTAGCATCTAGCCCTGAGAGATTAGAAAAGCTGAAAAATATCTTAAAATCTAGAGTCTCAGGCCTCTCTTTGATAAATTAACAGTGATAGATCATCTCTCCAGAAAATTGTACATAAGAAAAGCACACTTTGATTTTATATTTTCAAGATTACTTAACTCAATCTTTGGTTTCTATAAATCAGAAGAATTTTAAGAAGCTTTTGTAAAGTTCTGTTGATTCAAGTTAAGGTAAGTGTTAGTAAAGCGAAGTCAGTTGAGTTAGTCAATGATTACAAAGTAAACCATATATTTCTTTTTCTCCCCTTTCCTTTTCCCATTACTTTTTAAATATTTCCGTAAAACACTAGTATAGCAAAGAAAAAACAACAACAACAACAAAAAAACGAAGCCAGGCAGCCTCTGTTTTGTGGGTGGCAATTAAGAAAACACAACGAATGGCTTTTGGGATAGAACTAAACTTGACTACAGCTGGAAGGCATACAGAAAAGACATACACACTTGTGGATTGGCACACTACATTATGCATGCACAATGGGCATAATATTTATCGTAAGGCAAAAATTAAATATGTCTGATGACATAAAAGTTGCTGAGCCATTATAATAACGAAGCCCAATGAAAACAAAGATTTCAAGGATTATAGCTGGGGTTAGAGAACTCTTGCTTTTGCTAAAGTTGTTGAGTAGAATTAACACTGAGGTATCTTCTACTGTTCTAAAATTGTATTTGATAGAAGATTTTTATAGTGGGAATCTTTGATCTCAATTAGTTATGCTCTCTCATGTTCTAAATTAACCAGAAATAAATACATTCACAAAAATTTACATGAGCCAATTAGAGAAAATAAAAACAAGTGAATGAAGAAGTAGCTGTAATAGAAAAATGTATGTGGAAATGTTAAGATAAATCAAAAAAGGAGGTTAATTCATACAGTGTAAAATCTTTTACATTTGATTACAAAAATTGTTTTGTAGTTCATGAGGCTCATCTCATGAATTTACATTTTTCTGCCAGATTTATATTCACTAAAAGCTGATTAGAGTGTGCCCACAAGAATAAGGTGGATCTGCATTCCACAGCTCACTGATTCAAAGATTGTTTCGGGGAAAAATTCCAACAGATACACCCAGGATTAATACCCTGTATACCTCAATCCAACGAAGTCAACACTCAGTATTAACCATCACAAATCCACCCCTTGACAACTTGAACCACTACACGTCTCCTAAGAGAATACCTAATTTTCAAGTAAAGAAAATAATAACATCATAATTACACCTAACGTAATACAACTGTCTTTGTTAAAACCAGTAATTCACCAATCCCAAATCTAAACACTATTATGTGAAGTTAACCATACTCAAATGTTGATTTGATGTCAATAAATCTAATGTCACATAATAAAGAAAAAGAAAAAATGAAGGTACTATTACATGTGTATACATACACAAACTTTTTTTTTGACAAAAAGAGGAACTATTTAGAACAATTAACGTCCTCATTTCTGCAGCTGGTCACCTGGTTGTAGCTGGTGTTGATGTCTACCTTCTTCTACCAACCTTTATGTGTTCCCTTTGCGTTCAACAAGCACCTCAGCTGAGACCCCTAATACCTTTCCTTTCTTCTTTCTTTCCTTTCTTCCTTCCTTCTTTATTTCCTTCCTTCCTCCATTCCTTCCTCCCTTGTTTCTTCTATTCCTTCCTTCCTTCCTCCCTCCCTCCCTTCCTTCCTTCTTTTCTTCCTTCCTTTCTTCCTCTCTCTCTCTCTTTTCTTCTTTCTTTCTTGTTTGTTTGCTTTCTGGCTGGCTGGCTGCCTGGCTGGCTGGCTGGCTGGCTTGCTTGCTTGCTGGCTTGCTTGCTTGCTTGCTTCCTTTCTTTTCTGTTGGAGTAACCCAAACCTTAACTCCTGAAGGTTCTGGATCATTTACAGTCCTGTCAAAATTAGGCTGTTGTAATTTTCCGTTGATCTTAATCTCAGGGCAGTTAAATACTATCAGGCACCTTAATGGATCTCCTGTGTTCCATGTATATTCTTCCATACCTCCGTTGTAAAATAGTAGACTGATTTTATCTTGCTAATTCAAGTCAGTCACCACAGCCAACACTGTCACTTCCTTAGCCTGTTGACTGAAAGGCAGGAGTAGCCCAAAATGCCAAGGGGACAATCTTCACTGTCAGTTTAATGGAAATGTCATTCTGTCTCCTGGTGGCAACATTTCTCCCTCTGGAACTAAGACCTGTAAGCCTGTGGAACATAATGTAAAGGAAACAGGAAGCAAACATTTTGCTAGTGGATCACTAGGGGTGATGGTGAGTGGGGACATTTTCACTTCCACACCTTGATTTCTGTACCCAATAATTCTGGCTATGGGAAAAAGAGTATATGTTCAACACTGATTCAAAACATACATTGCCTTCTGGAGAACTTTTCCCCAGGTTTGCAAAGTCTTGTCACATGGTTGGTATTGTAATTGTAACTTTAAAAGGCCATTTCACCATTCTATTAATCCAGCTGCCCTAGGATGATGGGAAGCATGGTAAGACCAACGAATTCCATAATGCAGGAGCCCACTGCCACACTTCTTTAGCCATAAGGTGAGTGTCTTTGTCAGAGGGAATGCTGTGTGGAATGCTATGTTGGTGGATGAGGTATTTAGCGTGTCCACAGATGGTAGTCTTGGCAGAAGCATTGGATGCAGAATAGGCAAACGCATATCCAGTGTAAGCACCCTGAGAAACGGTGCCATATGGACGGATCAGTGTTGGACTCTGTTGCTTGCAAATGGGGCATGCAGCAGTGGCCATAGCCAGGTTAGCTTTGGTGAGTAAAAGTCCATTTCGCTGAACCCATGCATAATCTTCACCCCTGCAATCATGGCCACTTTGTTTATGGGCTCTCTGGGTGATGACAGCAGAAACTCGGGAGAGAGGCTGAGTGGTTTCCACAGGATGGTTTATTCTATCCATTTGCTTACAAAATTTTTCCTCTTCTGAGGTCACCGTTGTTGAACACTTACATGAAATATAAATATCCTCACAGTTTTTGACCACTCAGAGAGGCTAATCTACATAACTCTCTCTTAAATTACTTTGCCACTTATTTACTGATAATGCTTCTTCCAAGTTCCTGATCATCCAGCCAAAGCATTGGTTATGGCCCATGAACCAGTATATAATCACACATCTGGTTATTTCTCCTTGGCATTCAGTCTACTGGGAAGAGGTCCCTTCACCACTGTTCTTCACGGATATCCCAGCAAAAATCTGTACTGCTGCAGCTGTTCATTCTTGGGTGGTGGCTCCATATATGGTGCAGAACCATCTGGAGCCAGGCCATAGTCTCCTCTTATTCTGTCAACTGACCATAGGGAACTAGCCATGAGACCATCAGTGCAGGTTGGAGGGGAGAAGGCATGGTGGCAAGACTGGAGAACATGAGCATTTGAGTCAGTGACGCATGTAAATTACTTGTGCCTTCAGGACTGGCTTGAGACTGAGCACATATGTACCACTTCCATTTGATGATGAAATTCTGCTATGGACAACCCACTTTATGGCTAGATGGATCAGAAAGCACCCAGTTCATGATAGGCATTTCAGTTCACTTGGTGACTTGATGACTTATAGACAAGGGTACAGTTTCCACCAAACCCAGTAACAGGCCAAGAGTTGTCTCTCAATAGGACAATGGTTATCTGCAGAAGATGGCAGGGCCTTACTTCAAAATCCTAGAGACCTATGCTGTGATTCACCTGTGAGATCCTGGCATTAGGTTCCAAAGAGCACCCCTATCTACCACTGACACCTCAATCATCATTATATCTTCTGGGTCATACGGCCCAAGTGACAGAAAAGCTTGCCTGGATCTTCTACAGAGCTTTCTCCTGTTCTGGACACTATTCACAACTGGCAGCCTTTTAAGTCACTCAATAAAAGGGGGAGAGTAACAACCTCACATAAGGAATATGTTTTCTCCAATATCCAAAGAAACTCACTAGACATTGTCCCCCATTTTTTTGTTTGTATGAGGGGCCAAATGCAGCAAATTGTTCTTTACCTTAGAAGGAATATGTCAACAGGTCTTACACCACTGGACCCCTAGAAATTTTACTGAGGTAGAAGGTCCCTGAATTTTAGTCAGATTTATTTCCTATAATCTGGTATAAACATGCCTCACCAATAAGTCCAGTGTGTTTGCTACTTCTTGCTCACTGGATCAAATCAGCATAATGTCATCAGTGTAACAGACAAGTGTGATATCTTGCATGAGCCAAAAGAAATCAAGATCTCTCTGAAAAAGATTAAGGCACAAAGGTAGAGAGTTGGTATACCCCTGAGGTAGGAGAGTAAAGGTGTATTGCTGGTATTGTTGGGTGAAGGCAAATTGCCTCTGGTGGGTCTTATGGACAGGAATGCAGAAAAAGGCATTTGCCAAGTCAATGGCTGCATACCAGATGCCAGGAGATATATTTATTTGCTCAAGCAATAAAACCACATTTGGTACAGCAGCTGCAATTCGAGTCACCAAGTGGTTAAGCTTACCAAAATCTCCTGTCATTCTCCAAGATCCACTTGTCTTCTGCACAGGTTAAATGGGAGAGTTGCTTTCAGACGTGCTGGTAATGACCAACTGTGTGTCTTTCAAGTCGTTAATGATGGTACTAACCTTCACAATCTCTCTGGGGTTGTGATATTGTTTTTGATTTACTGTATTTTCAGATAGAGGAAGCTCAAATGCTTCCATTTGCCTTTTCCCATTTTAGTAATCCTCACCCTACAGGTCAGGAAGCAAATGTGGGGTTCTACCAGCAGCTAAGTGTGTCTATGTCAATAATGCATTCTGGCACTGGGAAAATGACCTTAGGATGACTCTAGGTACACGCTCGACCCACTGTAAGTCTGACGGGGGCTAAAACTTTATTAATTGCCTGACCTTCATAAGGTTCTATTTTAACTGTAGAACCACAATGATGTTTCGGGTCTCCTGGAGTCAGTATCAGCTCAGATCCAGGGTCCAGTAGCCTGAAAATTCTGATCATTTCCCTTTCTTCCAGGCATAGTTACCCTGACAAAATCCAGGCGTTACTTAAGGAACAATGAGAGAAAGATTCACTGCATAAATTGTTGGTAATGGAGTGGGGTCTTTCCTCAAGGGGATCCAGCCTCCCCTTCATTCAAGGGGTTCTGTGTCTTTAAATTGGCTCTGGTATGGAAATAGGTTGAGAAGCTGTGGTTCTGTTTTTATAATTTAGAATAGTTCTTCATCTATTTGACACCAAAGTTTTCTGTTTCTATAACTTAAGTAGGAATGCAGTAGGCTTTCTATCAATTTCACTTCCAGGAACACCTTGATTAATTAGCCAGTGCCAGGGTTCTACAGGTGTCAGACTCTTCTGATTGCTGCTTTGCGACAGCTGTCCATTATGGTACCTACACCCACCTTGCCTTTGATGGTCGAGTGTTGCCACTTGGTTCCTGCCACCTTGGGATTCAATTATCCCTAGTGTATTTAAATGTTATAGTTAGTGGCTGCAGTTCCCGCCCTTAGATCTGACACACAGAGAAGAGTAATTACAGAGCTGTTCAAAGATGCAGGTACTGCTCTGCTTCACAAGGCATTGATCAAGAATATATCCTCTGGACTCTCTCAGCTGGGATGAGTAGGTCTAAAGTGAACTAATCTACTCCACCATTCCAATCTCCCAAGGCCTTTGGATTTCATCCTTTACTTTAAACCAATGGAGAGCGGACATTTATAGAGCTCACTCACAGTGGGCCATCTTTGAATTCATATTTTAGCTAACCAAGCAGATAAACTATGAGAAATTCTTAGCTCCCTGTGCTGCATCTTTAAATGCAGAGTCCCTACTAGGTCAGCCCTAGTCAATAAATTCAGCCTGATACAACCCTGTGTTCCTTCTGCTATTATCCCATACCCTTAATATCCATTTGCTTCTGTGTTCTCTAGCCTGCTGTTCATGTATATTATAGAACTCAAACAGTTGTTCTTCAGTTTACCACAACTTCTCATGGGTTGCACTCTCAATATCACCGTAAAGAGCCCGCCAGTACTTTAGTTTAGTTATAGGCTTAGAACCAAACAGAGATGTTGGGGGTGGCCTCTGAGAAGAATCAACATTATCATACCTGGCAACTGACTCAGGGGAGGCTATCACTGTGGCCTCAGCCAGCACATGGTTTATCTCTATAGGTAGAGGTGGAAAGACTGAAGGCAGCATGTACCTCTCTCTTCTGGGATGCAGAACAATAATTTGAGATCAGCTGACTATCAGGGCTGAATGACCTGTAACACAACTATGGATAAAACTCGCCCCCTTGCTTATCGTAGTGTGGAACACAAAAATAAGAGGACAGCTGTGGCCCTTCAGGGTGCACAGACTTAGGGGCTCTCGATGCCATGACTGTGACACCCTCTTAGGGGCTTTGCATTTTCTGGCATCTCCAAGCTTCTGGGCCCCACTACGTTTCACAGTATCAGCTGTGGATGCTGCCTGCAGTATGCCTGGCCCAGCTGCTGCTTCTCAGTGAGACGGAACTTCTGCTGGCACCTAAAATTTCTTGTTTTGCCACAGCTGGCATGCCTGGATGAGTTTAGTGGTTGGAGCCCACACTTGCTCATACAACACTCACCACTCCACCATGCTTGCCCTTGGCAGGTGATAAATGCTGGCTCTTAATGCAAGCTGAGTGCAGCCTGTCAGGCAGAGTGGGTAGAACACATGTAGCAGGCCTGGGAAAAACTCAAGCAAAGGCACCACTGGCCACAGGGGTTTTCATCTGGCAAAGTGACTCCCCTAAAATTCTGTAACAAAAGAAGCATAGCTAATTGTGTTTAAATGCCTTACTTCTCTTAAATCCTGAGACACTGATAATTGAGTGTCAATACCCTGAATATTTTCATATTTTATCCTTATTTGGAAAGTATTATATTTCAACATTATTTAGAAATAAAATTTGCATAATTGGTATTTGCGTTGAACCACCTGAATCCCAAGAACATATTTGCATGGAACCACCTGATTCTCACAAAATATATTTCTGAAATATAGGCATTGGGCTTCAGATTAGCATTCTTTTAGCAGATTATGAAACTTGCCAATGGAACACAATTTCTAATCCCTGGATTTTGACATTATATACTCACATACTTTTTTTTTTTTGTGGAGGCACTTTTGCTGTGCATTGTAAGAGGATGAGCAGCATTTCTGACCTTTTCCACTAAGTGCAATAGTAGCATCCTTTTTCCATGGTTGAAATGTCCAAATATCTTAGTGTCTTCTGGAAGCTAAATTGTTGACATTGACTATTCTAAAGAGTTATGAAGAATGAATAAAAAAACCAGTTTTAACAATTTTGCAGAGGCCATGCAGGGTGGTTCACACCTGTAATCCCAGCACTTTGGGAGGCCAAATTGGGAGAATCACCCTAGGTCAGGAGTTGGAGACCAGTCTGGCCAACATGGTGTAACCCTGTCTCTACTAAAAATACAATAAGTAAACAAACAAACAAAATTAGCTGGGCATGGTGACAGTCGCCTGTAATCCCAGCTACTCGGGAGGTTGAGGCCAGGAGAATTGATTGAAACCAGGAGGCGAGAATGAGCTGAGATCATGCCATTGCACTCCAGCCTGCATCACAATAGCGAACTCTGTCTTAAAAAACAAAACAAAACAAAACAAAACAAATACACAAATTTTATATGAGATCTTATTTTTATCTAACTTTCTGCTGTTCTAATATCCTGTCACTTACGCAATGAACCAGAATGTCCTGCATGTACCCTGGAACTTAATACAAAACAAAGTTAAAGAAATTAAATAAAACTAGAAAGGCTTTCTTTTCTTAGAAGTGAGGTTATAGTAACTGAAATGTGTGCCACACTTTATTTAAGACATTTTCTAATTACAAATCAGGGTTGTCACAAACTGCATTGAAAAGCAAATAAGTAGAATATCTCAATTCTTAATTGATCAAATTTATTTTCTTTTATTCTTAGAATGGAATCCCACACTGTCTCTTTGGATGGTGTGCAGTGGTGCAATCTTAGCACACTGCAGCACCCTGCCTCCCAAGTTCAAATGTTCATTCTTCCTCAGCTTCTTGAATAGCTGAGATTACAGGTATGCACCAACACACTCGAAGGGTTTTCACCATATTGGCCATGTTGTCTCAAACTCCTGGCTTCAAGTACTCTGCCTGTTTTGGCCTCTAAAAGTGCCGGAATTACAGGCATGAGCCACCAAGGCTTGCCGGCCCTCGTCTGAGTTTCCAATTGAGAAATACACTGGTCTTACAAACCTTATTTTTTATATCATATTTTTGATGAGTTTCATTTTATGTCTCATAATTCACAAAGATAATTTAAGTGCATTGTCTCTCTATTGGAAATGAATTTATTTCCATTAATACATAATTAAAAGAGTAGGTTTATGTAGAAAGTCATTTTTCTATGGTGAAGAGTTCTCACATCTTAGAAATTGCTTTACATATCTCATTTGGAAAACTCATTGCATTTATTGATTACACTTGCATTTTTTTTTCCTTTGCATTTTCTTTTGTAAGAGTATTCTAAATTGTTTCAAGATACAATAAGATGTTTAATTATGTCAAATAAACTTAAAAGGTATTTTCTTCGAAAGACAACTTTTTCTTAAGCTATGTTTCTACTAATACTGTGTGATTACTTTTTGTATGTTACTAGGAATTAATTGATGTTTAAATCTTCCCAGCATCCAAAGTTCATCTGCAATATTTAAGAAATAAAGAACTGCTAGCAGAGCAGGCTGTTCTGGTCCATAGTTCACCCACTACCGTCAACCCTGGTTTTGAGCTACCTGCAGCACAAGATTGGCTGGGTAAAAAAATCTCAAAAAGATATCAGTCTGTTTGATGGAAATATATTACATAGACAAAGAAATGACTAGTGGGTATTTAAAATCATAAAGAGGTTTTTTATCGTTAATAACAGTTTTGTTTGAAATTCTATATTTACATTTAGAAAAAATTAACTCATCGCTTTTGTGTTGCTTTGTTTTTAATCAACTAGCTTAACATTTTGTAGCCATCAGGTATATAATTAAAACCATTTCTATCAGAGAATATTATTTTTTTAAATAAGATGTATTACTTAAATGCTCTCATATATGGTTTTGGTAATTTAACACAGTGGAATTGATTTAATCATATACAAAAAAATAGTAAGACTGTTGAGTAAGAAGAAACCAAATTTAATGGTACAAAAAGTTTATACTAAAAATGTATACATTAAAAAGATTTTTCTAACCCAAACATTGAAGTTGCTTAATGTTGTTTTAGTTAAATTCCAAGAGAAGTATTATTTTAAAATCATAATGTGAAAAGAGATCATCTGAGTGCATGTTATTACTTTTAAATGTCCACGTCAATTAAACAAAATGGATAGCAATGTTCAAATCTTACGCAGAACTGAAACTCATAGCGAGAGGTAATGTAAGTAAATTGAAAAACAATAGGCCAGGCGCGGTGGCTCACACCTGTAATCCCAGCCCTTTTGGGAGACCAAGGAGGGCGGATCACAAGGTCAGGAGATCGAGACCATCCTGGCTAACAAGGTGAAACCCGTCTCTACTAAAAATAGAAAAAATTAGCCGGGCGTGCTGGTGGGTGCCTGTAGCCCCAGCTACACGGGAGGCTGAGGCAGGAGAATGGTGTGAGCCCGAGAGTCGGAGCTTGCAGTGAGCCGAGATCACACCACTGCACTCCAGCCTAGGCGAAAGAGGGAGACTCCGTCTCAAAACAAACAAACAAACAAAAACCATAAAATTTAGTTCATTTCAAGGGAAATCAGAGAGTTACAAATATAATTAACAACAGTATTCTGTACAGATATTTAATTGAAAATGTGAAATTATGTTAGTTTATATGTTTCTCTCTGTGAGTATATTTTTTGGTACATTGCAGGAGTTTCTAGCTAAACTCACTGTTTAAAAGGACAGATCTTTATTTGTCCTGTGGGATCTATGTAAAGAGGAGAGTTTCCTTTTTAAAAACACAGACTTTTGTTAATTTATTTAACTATTGTATTGGCAGAATAAATAAATATTTTTAAAATTTTTTTAAGCAACCACTACTGTTATGAAACGTTAAGTCAATCTTTTCTTTCCTTGTGGTTAATGTATATTTCCAAATATATAAGACGGCATGCAATAAAAATTATTAACTTGCCATGAATATTGTATTTCTGGTCCAGAGATGTTTTTTGAAGTATATGCACGTCTTCATACATAGAGCTATTTCCTCTTCTTCTTCTTCTTCTTCTTCTTCCTCTCCTCTTTTTTTACAGAAATGAGAATATAAAATATACAATATAGTTATTTGTTTTTTACTTAGTGACACACCTGTCAATACATGAAGATCTGTTTATTTCTGTTCTGTGCTACATAACTTGGCATTCAATGTACTCTAATTTATGCAGTCCACATCTAAGATGGATTGATGTGTAAGTTGTGTTCAGTTTTATAAGATAGAGAAGATTTCTAGTTCTCACAGGGATTTTAAATACACCGCCTAATTGACTTTATCTCATAATAAAATGAATATAAATTAATCATCACTATGTAATGAGGAAAAAAGCAGATATTTATGTGAAGATTATAGTTTTTAGGTTTGAGAACAATAACTTGTATGCAGTGCTCAGTTTGAACTGAGAAAACTCTAATGTCCTATTTATATAAATTTCTGATGACATTGTATTGAATACACTTATTTTAAGTACAAAAGTTTTTCAATCAGTTAACACACAATGATTAAAGTTAAGTCTGTGTTAGCACTTGGAAATTTAATATTATACCACCTTATATGACTTTTTCAAATAAAACTGTTACAGAAGCAATGCCATTAAAAATGCAGAATTAAGATATCTCTAGTTAATGGTGCATATATTGGATCATGTTTCTGATGATATAAAAATTTAAGGTACCATTTGAAGAGTGCTGTGTTAGCCTGATAAAGTGAATTTCCCAGCCTGATTAGAAGAACTATGGACAGAGTCATCATTTTTGTAGCATAAGCATAGTTCTTCTTCTCTGAGGTTGTGAAACACTCAGATAGTAGGAATATTTGCCCCCGATCAGACCCTGCCCACAAAAATGACTTGTGGGACTCAAAGAGGCTGGTGTGACTAGTCACATAAATTGTGTGATCTAGCAACTATACATAATCTTAGTGGTTAGAAACAGTAGCTCTACAATTAGAAACACATGTGATGATGTAGACAATGATGGTTCAAAGATGAGTAACAAAGGTGTGAGTTAAATTTTAATTATTTATTTGTTTTTAATATTCTGATACCAGGTACTGTTTTTCTTCCTGAGATTACTGTACTTTCATGAGATTTTGTAAGGACTGCATTTTGACAATATGGCTAGAATGTCTGAGATACTATGAATGGCATATTTTTCATGCTCACTATCTAATAACTTGAAAGTTTACTTGATAATTTTTATTATTTTTTGTTTGTTTTCAAAGTATAATTGATACAATCATATTTGTATGACATGGTAAACGCAATTCAGAATTTTAAGAATAAAAAAATATTTATTTTAATAAGTATATTCTCATCTTGTATTTGAAGTATGCTATTTAATTTTTAACTTTAATTTTATCTGTGTTATATAAGTTGTGTTTATTTTTAGGATTTTCTGTATATTTTCCTCAAATTAGCTATTTTTCTGCTTAAGAAAAAAATCGTTTTTCAGATAATGCTACATGGACCTGTTATCAACATTATTTCACAATTACAATAAGGCTACTAAAGGTATAAAAGCACCTGGTTGAAAATAAAAAGTATTCGGTTGATCATAAGGCAGCAAAAAGTTAGGCTTTAGTGGCAGATCACATATTTAAGATGCAGCTATTAAGTAAGTTAATACAGGAAACCTGAATTTTGGAAATGTTTACACTCAAACTGTTTACCATTCCTTTACTTTTTTCGCATAGATATTGATAGAAACTAAAGAAAGAAATTAGAATATTTTAACTGTAGTAAACAGTTCCAAAATTTCTACATTTCTTTTCCTCAGTGGTCAGAAATAACTTTGCCTTCAAATAACATCTTGGCACTTAAAGTTTACAGAGATTACAAAACACACACTTGCCTCTGCCTTTCTAGATATGACAGATCACACTATGCAGACATTACAACTTGGGTAACATTCCTTTTAGTAGGATCTCATTATGGGATGTCCACTCTTACTTGGTTAACAGCCACTACTGGACAAAAAGATAGAATTTGGTTCTTGACCCTCTAGCTCGTTTTTCCTCTAGGGTTTGGAATTGAAAACTGATCGAGATGGCAAATTGTACTGGCAAGAAGCGAATGAAGTAGACAGAATATAGCATTCAAATTAAGTCCCCACCATTGTGCTTAGTTGCTTGTGCTTTATGTTGTCTCAGCCCTTTACTGTGGCATGCATGTCTGCCTAGCTACTTTTCTGTGCCATGAACTTCATCAGGACATGAAGCAGATAATTTTTATTTCTCTGTCATAAACCTCAGATGCATACCAAAGCATAGAGAAACATGTTGCATATGTGTAAAACAGCTGTATTTTGTTCTGTAGCTACAAGGAAATTATGACCTTTGGAGCTTCTGTGTATGCTCTCGATCCTTCCACAACTACTCTTAAGGGCCATATTTATTGATTTGTAATAATTCTCAATACATCACATAAATTATACCATGTAAATATCAAAAATGCATGATACTCACAAGAAGACACTGCATTCCAGGAGAAAAAAGTACTTAGTTCTTGTAAGTTATTTATGGCAGAGCACTGATTTCTTTCCAATCTTGTCGACTTGAGAAGATTGTAGTCTATTTTCTTACCTGTGAGGTATGTTATTATTTTATTATTTCTACTGATAACTTTTCTGTATACTCTTTATGATGGTCCACCTGTGAAATAAACACTAACGCTAAACATTAAACACAGTAAGTTCTTTGAAAATACTACAAAAATTGCGAATCATTTCATTAACTCAGTTTTGGTATATATTTCATTCAACTACTTTCACAATACTTTTAAAGATACTGCCTTTTGGCTTCTAGAGTAAGGCTCATCCTCACGATGATGTATTTAAGTATTATCATAAATGTGAAGACAAACTAGCATTAAACAAGACAGAAGATAGTAAAGAGTACAATATTGGTGTCCTAAGACAGCTTCAGGTCAATCTTTTGATTTAGCTGCTTTCTGACTACAATTCTACGTACCCAAAAGTTTTTGGAAACAGTTCAGGTAAATTATGGGTGAGTTATCATTTAATTTTGATGAAATCAACTCTACATAAACTGAAATTTTTAAATATATCTTAAAATCCATAATGCATTTGATGTTAAATATTTAAACAAAAGTAATATTATAGCTGTCTTTCTTGGTCACTTCTACTAGTATTATCCCCATAGAAAGAGACAAAAATTGTCACAGCAAAGACAGGCCATGTATTCTTTCATCACTTAAAATATAATTAAATTCTTATTATAATAAGATTTCTACTCTATATATAAACTAAACATTAAAATGTAGCCATTTCCTTGATCTAACAGTTGTCTAATGAAGTAAATCTCAATTATATAATTTTATCTCTATAAGTGTTAGAACACATCTGTAAAGATTTTCCTTAAAAAGTTGACCATGGTGCTGTCATCACACATAATAAAAATTATTTCATAAGCTTGGGCAACATGGCAAAAACCAGTCTCCACAAAAAATACAAAAATTACTCAGGTGTGGTGGTTTGAGCCTGTAGTATCAGCTACTTGGGAAGGTAAAATGCCATTTCATTCACTGACTTTCGGTGTATGCTTAAAGTTCCTTCATTACTCTTTTCAAATTAGATTAGTGCATCAATGATGTCTTTTAGTTTCTAGAGTAATGTTTATCCATGAGATTATGTATATCAAAGATCAACATTACTCAACATCAAATAAACATTTTTTCTTATCAAATGAACGTTTTCATCACTGTCAAGATAGTACCCCTTTCTAGCCCTGCAAGAAAATATATATATATGATAAACTTATATGTACATATATAATGTGTAACTTTATATAATACATATGTGTATGTGTATATATATGCATATATGTGTGTGCGTATCTATATATATATTTGCAAATATATATATACAACATATATAAATGCAAGCTTGTGCCAGGCACGTTCCTTCGCACTGGTAGTCTTAACATTTTGGGAAGCCAAGGCAGCCAGATTACTTGATTTCAGGAGATCAAAACCAGCCTGAGTAACGTGGTGATATATCATCTCTATTAAGATGCAAAAAGCTAGCTAGGTGAGTGTAATTGTCTGCACCTGTAGTCCCTGCTACCTGGGACAGCTTGTTTTAGAAACTAGAAAGAGCTATATGTTACAGTATACAGTAAAAAGTTGTGTGACAGTGTTTTATTGTCATGCATGCCACAAATTAGACCTGTTTATTGTTCTTTCAGGAAGGTAATTCATAGATATCTCAGAGGTAGAAAGAAAAAGGGATCTTCTGATTTCTGGGCTTCCTTCTGTTTCACTCACAGCAGCTCCCTTCTCTGTATTAGCATATCACTTAGATTTCTTTTAAATGTCTGCAGTGCACCTGTAATGCACTGACTCCCCATTGTATCTCTCAGTTTGAGGTTCTAGATTCCGTAGCTAAACTGTAAACTTAGGGTTGTAAGTGTAATTTGCATACGTAATTCTTATTGAACTATTTCGGTTCTATAGCCTCACGTGTGACCAACACTCCCTTTTTCTTGCATCAACAAGTTATTTTCATTTATTTGATCTACTCAAGACATTTTTTTTCTGAAATCTAGTCAACATTTCTGTTCTTTTTCATTCAAATTACTATAACACTATGAGTTTCTGTCTTCAAAACTTTTACTCAATAATTTATGTGTGCATGCATCTATGTGTGATTGTTTGCAAACAATTGGCACAAGGGACCTGTTTTGTGAAAGACAATTTTCTATTATCTTCACTGGAAAACCAAACCAAACAAAACCAAACAAAAACATGAAGAATATATATTTATAATTTATTTCTTTAAAATATCTTTAGGTACAAATATGAAAAATATTTTAACACTTTAAATGTGGACATTAACAGTCATCAAAATCTTCTTGAATCTTTGGTATAGTATATCCAATGGAAGGGGAAAATCCACATTGTTGTAAAATGGGATAAAATGTATGTTTTTTTCAGTTTTGAAAAAAAAAAAGATCTCATTCAACAAAACCAGAAGACATTAGAGTTGTTTGTGCTCATCCACAAAATTAACTTCTGGTTTCTCTTTACTGTTTTAGTGGTATCAGACAGGTAGTTAAGATGATAACTTGTTTAAAGGAAAATAATATTGACAAAATACAGTGACTGACTTGAGGAAAAATGATTGTTATTAAATGAATAATTTTGGATGTAGACGATCTCACAGAGGGTTCTCATCTGTCCTCTATGATAAATTGCAATTTAATGATTGAATATTGAAGAGTTGACAGAAGAAAATATTATTCTTTTTCTATTACAGATACCTCTTCATTTTATGCGGTTACAACAGATGTTAACAACCACGAGTAGTTTCACAAACAGATTTCATTCTTTAGGCCTAACCAGCCCATTTTACCTCTTTGGAACTTGTTTGGGAGATGGAATGAAGAACTATCTTGGGAGACGTAAGCTAAATAACATGGATGTCTTTCTTGGCCTTCATAACTTCTCACCTCCAAGCTGTCTGCATTGCTGTGAACTTAGCTGTCATTTAGATTGTGGTTCATTTGTAACATCATATTGCCTGCTCTTCACATCTCTGAGAAATGAAACAATTTATTTCACCCTTTCACTCTTAATGCAAACCTCTTAAAATAACTATATATAGGTCTTAATGTTGTATTTTATTTTATTTACTCATTTTTTATTTATTTTTGAGATAGAGTCTCACTCTGTCACCCAGGCTGGAGTGCCGTGGCCCGGTCTATGCTCACTGCAACTCCAACTTCCAGGTTCACGCCATTCTCCTGCCTCAGCCTCCAGAGTAGCTGGGACTACAGGCGCCAGCCACCACGCCTGGCTAATTTTTTAGTATTTTTAATAGAGACAGGGTTGAACCGTGTTAGCCAGGATGGTTGGGATTTCCTGACTTCGTGATCTGCCCATCTCGGCCTCCCAACGTGTTGAGATTACAGGCGTGGGATTACAGGTCACCGCGCTCGGCCAGGTCCTAAACGTTTTTTTTATAAGACAGTGAGACCGGCCTGGCCAAAAGGGTGAAACTCCACCTCTGCTAAAAATATGAAAATTAGCCAGGCGTCGTGGCATATGCCTGTAAAATTAGATACTGGGGAGGCTGAGACAGGTGAATTTCTTGAATCTGGGAGGCATATGTTACAGTGAGCGGAGATCCTGCCATTGCACCGCAGCCTAGGGGAAGAGAGCAAAACCCTATCATCTCAAAAAAAAAAAAAAAAAAAAAAAAAAGAAAGAAAGAAAGAAAAGAAAAAAAACTGTGAGAATTAAACACATTAGTGTCTGTGTGTCTCTTAGTGTATTACCTCTTCTTTAAGTGCTATAAATATCAGCTGCTATTATTGCTTATCATGTATCTTCAATTTACTCACACCAAATTCTGCTTCATAGCATAAAAGAAAACAGAACAGTAACAGTCAGATAGTAGTGGCTATATGGAACCACAAAAGCATCAGTGTCTGTGTCAGTAATCTTTTGTAATTTATGACAAATAAGTGACCTTTTACACCTACAGATTCTGCAAACATAGATTTCTTAAAACCTAAACTGTACTCAGTGTAACAATTTAGATTTGCTTCTTATGATAAGTAATTTGTGTTTGGCTTGTAGGAGTTTTTACAAGGTATCGAATGTGTTTAATCTATTTCTTCAGTCTTCTTGTTCTTTCTTTATGAAATCATTAGATCTAATTTATATGAATGTGTTGCCTTTTTGGTTTAGTTATTTCAAGGTAAAATATTTAAGATATCTTTACCTTAGAATATTGGTTTTTAATATATGGAAATATGGAAGAGCATTTATGTATTATATTAATTATTACTTTTTACTTAAGCAGTTTGAAATACGAGTCAGTGAAGTAATCACTAAGATTTGGCTTAACTAACAAATATTTTATTAACAGCTTGAAAATACAAATGTTTTTGACTATATATATAATTTTTTTTGAACAGTAGAATTATTTTCTGCATGAAGGAAAAGAATTTTCTATGATTAGCATACAAATTGCCTCTATATTCATCATTACCACAGGATGTTACACCAAAAAATGTTTGTGTTCCTGCCAGTGACTGGTACATGGCTTTGGATTTCACTCATAATGTAATTATAATTGGTTTGATTGTCTATTATGCCACTTTATATTTCCTAACAGTAAAATTATTATTTCAATTTTTAAATACACGAAAAACATTTTTGCGGTAATTGTGTGAGAATTCTTGGTAAACATAAAATTCTCTAATCTAAATATGCATTTTTTAATTAAAAATTATCTCTGTCTTCAAAAAATTTGTATCATAGCTTATTCTACTTTATCATTCAGTATTAAGCTTTATCTATTCTAAACAAAATCTTTACTTATAATTTAAAAAGTGGATCAGGTTTTACATCAGATTTTGTTTCTCATGTTGATAATTCCAATAATTTGGAAGGGCAAGGAAAAAAGGACAATTGAGGCCAGGAATTTGGAACAGAGTTTGGCAAAATCCTGAAACACCATCTTTATAAAAAGTTTTTTAAAATGAGAAGATGTGGTGGCTTAACACTGGTAATCTTGTCACTTAATGAGGCCAAGATGGGTGGATCACTTTAGGCCTAGGATTTGAGGCCAGCCTGAGTAACACTGCAAGATTCTGACTCTAAGAAAAAATTAAAATAAATATATAAATTAAATAATTAGCTGAGCCTACTGGCCTTTTCTTCTAGATGTAGCTAATTGGGAGGCTGAGGAAGCAGGACGACATAAGTCCAGGAGTTGGAAGCTGCAGTTAGTGACGATGGCACCACTGTATTCATTCCAGCTGGAGCACTAGAAAATTGTCTCTTAAAAAAAGTAAAATGGCTTTAGTCTTAAGTTAGTACAAATTATACAAGTATAGAGTACATTATAATAACTTGACTTCACAACTCTTTCTGCCTTGTTTTTATTAAAAGATGTTAATAAAATGTTGCTGAACTAAAAAGTGTTTGATATACATTTTCAGAGACCTACGTATACTTGCATTTTATTTACTTCTTGACTTGACTGTGAAACTGAAGTTTCAGAGCTTTATTAGTCAATATGACATTTGTACTATATTTGTACATTTTCATGCACTTATAAAGACATACGCTAGACTGGGCAATTTATAAAAGGAAGAGCAGTTTATGGACTTAGAGATTTATGTATCTGCCAAGGCAAAGAGGAGCAAGTCACATCTTATATGATGGCAGCAAGCAAAGAGAGAGCTTGTTCAGGGAAACACTGATGTTTAAAGCCATCAGATCTGATGAGACTTATTCACTGTCACAAGATCAGAACAAAAAAACACCTGCCCCCACAATATGGTTACTCCCTATCTCATCCCCCTCCACCACATGTAAAAATGTAAGATAAAATTTCGATGGGGACATAGTCAAATCATATCATTCCAACCCTGGCCCCTCCAAAATCTCAAATCCTCACATTTCAAAACCAGTCATGCTTTTCCAATAGTACTGCAATGTCTTAACTCATTCAAGCATGAACTCAATAGTCCAAAGTCTGAGATTTTATCTGAGACAAGGCAAGTTTTTTTCTGCCTATGAACCTGCAAAAATTAAAGCAAGTTAGTTACATCCTAGATACAATGAGGGTACTGGCATTGGGAAAATACAGGCATTCCAAATATGAGAAACTGACCAGAATAAAGGGATTACAGGCCCTAAGTACATCTGAAATCTGATGAGGCACTAAAAATTTAAGGCTCCAGGATGATCTTCTTTAACCTAATGTCTCATATCCAGGTCATGCTGATGCAAGAGGTGGGTTTCTATGGTCTTGAGCAGATCCCCCCATGAGGCTTTATGGGGTACAGCCTTCCTCCCAACTGCTTTCACCATCTGGCATTGAGTATCTATGGGCTTTTCTGGGCACACCATCAAGCTGTCAATGGACTAACCATTCTGAAGTCTGGAGGATGAAAACCCTCATTTCCCATCCCCACGATCATCATCTATGTCACTACCTGTGTTTTCAATGGTAGAAATGCTGTTGCCGATGACAGGGATCAGGTATAGCTGCTGGATCACAGAATGTGTTTGATAAGTAGCTCCAGCGTCTTTGAGTCCCACAAATACTTTTGTTGGGTGGGGTCCAACAGGGGCAGATAGTCCCACTCAGTAAATGTTTCACAAGCTGAGATAAGAAGAAAAAAAAAACGCTTTCTTTGAAAGAGTTATAGAAGATGGCGTAGTATTAAATTTTCATGTGTTAAACACAGACTTAACTTTGATCATTATGAGTTTGCTCATTAAAAACTTTTGCACTTAAAATGATTGTATTCAATTCATTGCCATTAGAACTTTACATTAAAAAAATGAGAGTTTTCCCAGTTTTAATTGAGCACTTCCTTTAAGTTATTGTTCTGACTCATAAAGCTATAACTTTCATGTAAATATCTGCTTCTTTCCTCAGCAAATAATGATAATCACTTTGCCTGAACTCAGAATTTTGTTGTGAGATGAAGTCAACGAGATGGTGTGTTTAAAATTATGGTGGAAGTGTAAATTCTTCTTTATTTAGTGTAAAACTGAATACCACTTACACGTCAATCCATCTCAGTGGTGGACTGCATAAATTAGAGCACACTGAATTGCAAGTTATGCAGCTACAAACAAAATTAAATGGATCTTCATATACTGACAGACGTGTGACGAAGTACAAAACGAAGTTAACAATATAGTCTATTGTATATATTCATTTGTGTAAAAAATAAATAAATAGCTATATATATGGATTACTGCAGGCACAGAGATAATCTCTGGAACAGGAATATAAAATTGGTGGTCAGTTAATAATTGTTAGTATATATCATCCTATATAGTGAAAATATATATAAACTATGTAAAACAGTTAGCTAAAGCATTTAACAACAGCAGTGTTTGTTTAAAAAAAACTCATTTGCAAATATATATTTACCATGTCAATACAATCATTAAATAAATTAACAAAAAAAGTGTTTTTTAAAAGCAAGTTTTTCCCTCTACATAGATCTCACAATGCAAATGAAGATTTGATCTTTTAAGCAGTGAGTTAGCTGGAAACTCCTACAATGTGTTAAAAAAATACTTACATGGAAATATATATATATATATATAAAATTTCGTATTTACTAATTACAGGCCTATACTGAATATGTTTGTTAATTACATACTTAACACTTAGCTTAATCTTGAAATACACTAAGTTTTATGTTACTGTATGTTAATTTGCTTACATTACCTTCCACTTTGAGTTTCAGTTCTGTGTAAGTTTAAACATTGCTACCTTTTTGTGGAACTTATTTGGATATTTAGAAGTAATAAAGTGCACTCAAATGTTTCCTTCTAATATCATGATTTTCAAAACCATTCCTCTTTTAGAATTTAATTAAAATAACAAGCAACTTCAGTGCATACATTTTAAATATAACATTTTATAGCATTAAGTTTGGCCCCTCGTTAATGTAACATTTCCATATTTTTTCACATATGATAAAAACAACTCATGTGTTAAGTTACCAAAACCAGCTACAGGAAACCATTAAAGAAAGGCATCTTCTTCAAAAAAATTGTATTCTCTCACTAAAGTTCTTCTACTTACATACCTGATGACTACAAAATGTTGGGCTAGTTGACCAAAAACAAACAAACAAAAAAAAGTGAGTTACTTCTTTTTCTAAATGAAAAAAATAGTATTTCAAACCAAAGTAAATGAATATTAATGAATAAAATCAGATTTATAATTTAAACCACTCACTAGTTATTGCCTTGTCTGTGTCATATATTGCAGTCAAAGAGCCTACTCTCATTTTTAGATTTTTTTACGCAGTCAATAGCTGGCGCAACAAGTAGCTCAAACTAGGATTCATGGTAGTGGGTGACCTACCTCTTGGAAATGCCTGTTCTGCTGGCAGTTCTTACTTCTTATACATTGCAGGTGAACTATTGATGCAGGGAAGAGGAAAACATAAATTAATTTTAGGAAGAGAAAGTAATCATAATATTATTTGTAGAAAACCTAAATTAAGAAAAACCTGTTTTCTCAAAGAAAATACCTTTAAGTTTATTTGATATAATTAAACATCTCATTGTATCTTCAAACAATTTTGAATTTTCTTACCAAAAAAGATCCTTAAAAAACAAACATTTATGTCAAGAAATGTAGTTTCCAAAGTAATATTTTTAAAGAAATTTCTAAAACCCCAGAGTTTTACACAAAAGAAAAATGATATTCTAAATAAACTTTCTCTTTTAATTACATATAAATGGATACACATTCATTTCCAATGAAAAGAGAATGCATTAAAATTATATTATTTTTCTTGACTTATGAGACATATGAAGAAACTCATAAACGTATGATATAGAAAATAAAGTTTTGCAACATGGATAAGTTTCTCAATTAGAAATTCATTCAACTGCCAGACATCCTGACTCACACCTATAATCCCAGGACTTTCAGATGATGAGGCAGGCAGATTACTTGACATCAGGAGTTTGGGACTAGCCTGGCCAACATGGTTAAACCCCATCACCTGTGTTGGTGCACACGTGTAATCTCAGCTAATCAAATGGCTGAGGCAGATTAATCCCTTGAAGCTCGGAAGCAGGGGTTGCAGCATGTCAAGATTGCACCACTGCACTCCAGCTGAAGACACTGTGTAAGATTCTATCCTCAAAATGAAAGAAAAGAAATTCAATCAACTGAGAATTGAAATATACTACTTATTTACTTTTTGGTGCAGTTTGTCAAAACTCTGATTTATAGTTATTTTATAAAATCTCTTAAATAAGATGTGGCACATATTCCAAAGTTACTATAACTGCTACAAAAATGAAAGCCTTTTAATTTTAATTTAATTTAATTTAAATTTATATTAAGTTTCATGATATGTATGCAGGACATGCAGATTTATTTCACAGGTAAACGTGTGCCATGGTTGTTCACTGAACCCATTACCCCATCACCTAGGTATTTATCTCTGCATAAATTAGCTATTTGTCCTGAAGGTGTTGTTTTCCCACTTTCTTTATCCAGTCTGTCACTCATAGGCATTTGGGTTAATTCCATGACTTTGAATTTGTGAATAGTGCTGTAATACACATACACAGGCATGCGTCCTTGTAATAGAATGACTAATTTTGCAGGTGCTATACACCCAGTAATGAAATTGCTGAATCCAGTGGGATTGGGATTCTGAAAGACTAAAAGTGTGAATCACCACACACTTTTCCACATTGTCTGTACTGATTTACATTCCAAAGAACAATGTAAAAACATTCCTATGACTGCACTAGCTCACTACCATCAGTTTTTTCATGGGTATTAACTTATACGATAAAGATAGCCATCAATTTTGTTTCCACAAGACACAAACATATTTGGGCATTTCTTCCATGGGGAAAAAAAAAAGGCATTTACAATTGCACTTAATGGAAGAGGCCCAAAATGCTGCTCATCATCCTGCAATGCACAGCAAAAGCTCCTCACATAAAGAAATTTTATGAGTACAAAATGTCAAAATCAGAAATTCTGTTTCATCAGAAAGCTTTATAACACAGTGGAAGAGTGCTAACCTGAAGCCCAATGCCATGGGTTACAGAAGTATATTCTCAGAGACTAGATGTCTGTGCAAGTAAGAGGGATAGGATGTTTCAGTGGAAATACCAGTCTTTCAACTTTAATTTCCAAAAGATTTTGAAATATAATGATTTTCAAATAAGGTTTAAACATTCCAAATTGTAGGAGACTGAATTTTAAGTAGTTCAAGATCCAACAGAAGAAAGGCATTTAAACGCAACTAGCTATGCTCCTTTTGTCATGAGATTTTGGGAGAGTCACCTTGCCAGTTGAAAACCTCTGCGGCCAGTGGTGCCTTTGCCTGCGTTTTCTCAGGCCTGCTAAGCTAGCTTTACCCACTCTGCCTGACAGGCTGCACTCAGCTTGCATTATGGGCCAGGATTTAACACCTGCCAAGGGCAAACGTGAGGTAGAGTGGCAATGGTGTTTGAGCAAGTGTGGGGTCCAGCCGCTATAGACAGCCAGGCCTACCAGCTGTTGCAAAGCAAGAAATTTTAGGTACCAACAGAAGTACCATCTCACTGAGATGCAGCAGCTGGACCAGGCATACTGCAAGCAGCTTCCACAGCTGATACTGGGGAATGTAGTGGTGCCCAGAAGTTTCAGGATGCCAGAAACAGCAAAGCCCTAAAGAGGGTGTCACAGCCCTGGTTTTGAGATAGCCTAGCTGTCCTCTTACTTTTGTCTTTCACAACGTGATGAGCAAGAGACATTTTTTTCCCTGTTTGTGTTACAGTTCTTTCAGCACCACCATTCAGTGATTCTCAAATAATAGTTCTTTATCCAGGAAGAATGAGGTAGATGGACACGTGGAGAGTGAGACATTTATAGACAAGATTTACTGAGGGACAGAACTCAAAAGAGATCCTGATTGGGTAGGTCTTCTCCACAGGCTGGATGTTCTGATGAGTGTCCAGCTCTCAGTGGAGAGACGGCTTTAGAGTGGGCAGCTTATCTTTACAGGCAAGTTGTCAAGGCTTAGTGTCCAGCTCTCAGCAGGAAAGAAACCCTGGACTTGGTAGCTTCTCCATCCAGCTGGTCATATTGTGAGATGTTAAGCTCTCCACAGAGTGAAGACCCTGGAGTGGGTAGGTCTACTTCACACCTGGTGGTTCCAAGATTGGCTAAGCCTTCAGCAAAAAGAAGACCCTCGACTGGGTAGCTCCTCACTCTAGCTGGTCATCCCATTATCTCCCCAGCTTTCAGCAGATACTGTGGTGGGTAGCTCCAGCCCACTGCTGATAGTCCTGACATCTCCTAAGCTTGCAGGAGAGAGATGGCCCTTGGGTAGGTAGCTCCTCTCCACAGCTGGTAGTTTGAATAGTCCTCAAATGTGGCTGAGTCCAGGAATATTATTTGCTTCAAAGGAAAGAAAGTGCTTGCTGATTGGATTATTTGGCAACCATGCGTGCGTTTTAGAAAAAAGCAAAAGTGGTTCCCATTCTTGTCCATCAGCCTAGAACCTAGACTTCAGGCTGTAACTGGCTTGAAGGTGGAGCCTCAGTGGGGACCAGCAAATTTATCGCCAAGAGCCTGTGATGGCTAACACTGAGTATCAATTTAACTGGATTGAGAGATACAGAGTATTAGTTTGGCATGTGTCTGTGTAAGTGTTGCCTAAAAGAGATTAACACTAGGGGCAGTGGGCTGGAGAAGGTAGTTCCACCCTTAATCTGGTGGGCACAATTGCCCTGTAATTGCTCTTCTCTGGAAACCACAGTCATGCAACGACAAAATTTAAATATGTTGAGAATAGTTGGATCCCGATGTGACAGGGGTCAAGTGGCACCACTCAAACATCAAAGGTGTGGGTACAGCGAAGGGATAGTGGCAGTCAAATATTATGACTCCTGTAGAGCCTTGCCATTGGTTAATTAGTCACGGTGTTCGTGCAAGTGAAATTGATGGAAAGCTTACTGCATTCATACTTATGTTATACATACAGAAATCGTTGCGTCAAAAGGACAAATCACTATTCGGAATGATGAAAACAGAGAAGTACGGCCCCTCCATCAATTACCAGGCTAGAGACAGTTTAAAGACCGAGAATCCATCGAATGAAGAGGAGGCTGGGTTCCCTTGACCAAGAAACCCACAACACAACTGACTATTTATGCAGTGAATCTTTACACAATCTTTCCCCAAGAAGACCTCCAGGCTTTACCAAAGTAATTGTGTACTAGGGAAAGGGAAATAGTCAGACTTTGGAGAAACTACTGGCCACTAGCTCTGTGCTGATGTGGGTTCCAGGGGACCCAAAATGTTACTGTGGTCCTGCAGTTAAAGTAGGAGCTCAGGGAGGTCAGGTAATTAATAGTGCTTTAGCTTATTAGGTCAGATTTACAGAGTGCCCAGTGAGTCCCTGGAGTCATCCTGTGGTCATTTTCCCAGTGCTAAATTGCATAACTGGCATAGATATACTTAGCAGCTGGCAGAATCCCACATTTCCATGACCTCCAAGGTGAGGGCTACAACAATAGAAAAGGTTAAATGGAAGCCACAAGAGCTGCCCCTACCTAGAAAAATAGTAAATAAGAAATGATATCAAAACCCTGAGAAGATTGTGAAGATGGGTGCCACCATCAAAAATTTCAAAGATGCTGGATTGGTAATTACCAGCACATTCTAATTCAACTCTCCCATTTGGCCTGTGCAAAAGACAGGTGGACCTTGGATAATCACATTGGAGTATTGCAACTTAATACAGTTGTGAATCAACATGCAGCTGATATTCTAGATATGGTTTATTTTTTGAGCAAATTAATACATCTCCTGTCACATGGTATACAGCCATTCACTTGGCCAGTGCCCTTTTCTTTATTCCTTTCCATAAGGACCACCAGAGGCAATTTGCCCTCAGCTGGCAAGGCCAGCAATACACATTTATTAACCTTGTTCAGGTGTATATTAACTTTCTGGCTTCCTGTCATAATCTTACTCAGAGAGACCTTGATTGCTCTTCACTTCTGTAAAGTATCACAATGATTTCATCCATCTCATTGATGAAATTAGGCTGATTTGATGAGTGAGCAAGAAGTAGCAAGCACATTTGAATTATTGGTGAGACATTTATGTACCAGAAGATGTGAAATAAATGTGACTAAAATTCAGAGACCTTCTACCTCCGTAATGTTCCTAGAGGTCCAGTCTTGGGAAGCCTGTCAAAATATCCTTTCCAGGGAGAAGAACAAGTTGTTGTGTGAGGCCCCTCTTATAACCAAGAAAGAGGCACAATACTTACTAGGCCTAGTTGGATTTTTGAAGCAGTACCTTTTTTATTTGAATATGTCCCACTGGCCCACTTATTAGTGACCCAAAGGGCTGCCAGCTTTCAGGGGCATCCAAAACAGGAAAAGACTCTGCAACTACTTCAGGCTGTGTTGCAAACCCCTCTACTCTTTGGGCCATATGAACCAGGAGATTCAATGATGCTTGAAGTTTCAGTGGCAGATAGGAATGTTGTTTGGAGCTAAATAACTGTGGCAGCAGTGTCCTGCTCATTAAATCTACTTGTCTTACCATGTTTCCCATTATCCTGAAGGAGCTGGATAAATAGAATGGTTAAGTGGCTTTTTGAAGTTACAATTACAATGCCAACGATGTGACAATACTTTGCAGTGCTCCCACAGGTGAATCAGACCATACATCTCTAGGATTTTGAAGCAAGGCCCTGCCATTTTCTGCAGATAACTAGTATTCTTTGGAGAGACAGCTCTTGGCCCATTGCTGGGCTTTGGTGAAACATTTCAATGTTGGTCATCAAGTCACCATGTGAACTACACTGCCTATCATGAACTTGGTGCTTTCTGACCCATCGAGTCTTAAAGTGGGTTGTGCACAGCAGGATTTCATCATGAAATGGATGTGGTATACATGTGGCCAGGCTTAAGCAGGTCCTAAGGCACAACTAAGTTACCTGAGAAAGTGGTTCAAATGCTCACGATCTCCACTGCAGCCACCCCATCTTCACTCCTTCAGCCTATGTCGATACCCAAATGGCCAGATTTCTGACTATATACTGATTCATGGTCCATAGCTAATGGTTTGTCTGGGTGTCAGGCACTTGGTAGATGCATGATTAGAATATTGGTGAGAAAGATATTTGAGGAAGACGTATGTGGACGGACCTTTGTGAGTGGTCAAAAGCTGTCAAAATATTTGTATTCCATGTGAGTTCTAACCAACGAGCAGCCTTAGTAGATAAAGAGTTTAATAATCAAGTGGATAAAAACACTGGTTCCAGGGACACCACTCTGCCTCTTTCCCCAGCCACCCCTGTCATTGCCCGATGAGTCCATGAACAAAGCGGCCATGGTGGCAGAAATTGAGGTTACACATGTGCTCAGCAACATGGACTTCCACTCACAAAGCCTGACCTGGCTATGGCCACTGCTGAGTGCCCAATTTGCCAGTACCAGAGGCCAAAACTGAGCCCTCAGTATGGCCCAGTTTCTTGGGGTGATCAGCCAGCTACCTGGTGACAGATTAATTATACTGGAACTCTTTCATCAAGGAAATGGCAGAGGTTTGTCCTCACTGGAATAGCCACTTACTGTGGATATGGGTTTCCCCATTCTTCATGCAATGCTTCTGATAAGACTACCATTCATGAACTCACAAAATGCCATATTCACCATTATGGTGTTCCACACAACATTTCCTCTGACCAGTGCACTAACTTTACAGCTAAAGAAATGTGGCAGTGGGCTCCTGCTCATTAAAACGCTGGTCTTACCATGTTTCTCATTATCTTGAAGCAACTAAATTAATAGGATTGTGAAGTGGCCTTTTGAAGTTACAATTGCAATGCCAACTATGTGACAATACTTTGTAGGGCTGTGGCAAAGTTCTCCAGAAGACCATATGTTCTCTGAATCAGCATCCAATATATGGTATTGTTACTTCTGTAGCCAAAATTCGCTGGTCCAGGAATCAAGCGATGGAAGTAGAAATTTCACCACTCACTATCACTCCTGTGCTTCACTAGCAACATTTTTGTTTCCTGTTTCTTATGATATTATGTTCTGCTGGCCTAGAGGTCTTAGCTCCCCAAGGAAAAGCGCTGCCACCAGATGAAACAAAACTGATTCCATTAAACTGGAAGTCAAGATTGCCACCTGGACACTTGGGCCTCCTCCTACCTTTACGTCAGCATTGTAAAAAGGCAGTTACAGTGTTGACTGAGGTGATTGACCTGAACTATCAAGATGAAATCAGCCTACTCCTCCACAATGGAGGGAAGAAAGAGTGTGGCATAAAATACAGAAGATGCATTAAGATGTGTTCCAGAATTACCATGACGTGCAACCAAGGTCAGTGGAAAACTACAACAGCCCAATTCTGACAGGGCTACAGTTGGATCAGACCCTTCAGGTATTAAGGTTTGGGTCACTCACCAGGGTAACAACAACAAAAGGAACAACAACAACAAAACAATAAAAACCGCAACCTGCTGAGGTGCTTGAGGAAGATAAAAGGAAGGCAGAATGGGTGTTAGAAGAAGTTAGTCATCCATATCCGCTATAAACAAGTGACCAGCTGCAGAAATGAGGACGTTAATTGTTTTAAGTATTTCGTCCTTCTTTTGTTAAAAAAAAAAAAGTTTGTGCATGTATACACATGTACTAAGAAAATTTTTTTTATTTTCCTTTATCATGCTACATAAGATTTATTGAGTTCTTATCAACATTTGTGTATTGTAAACTTTATGAAATAGTGTTTGGATTGGAGATTGCTGCATTCCTGGTTGTAAGAGGATAATTGTATTATGTTAGGTGTAATTATTACCTCATTTCTGTCTGCATTTGAAGATTATGTATTATAGCAGGAGATGTGATTTGATTCGAGTTAACAAGGGGTGGACTTGTGATGCTTAATACTGAGTGTCTCATTCATTGGATCGAAGGATAGAGAGTATTAATCGTGGATGAGTTTCTTGGGTGGTTCACCCCCAAAAATTAACATTTGAGTCAATGGGAAGATCTACATTAATCTGATGGGCACAATCTCATGAGCTTCTAGCGAATATCAAGCAGACAGAAACATGTCAAAAAGCGAGATGGGACTAGCTTCGAAAGCATACATCTTTCTTCTATACTGGATACTTTTTCTCTCAGACAGTGGGCTCCAAGTTCTTCTAGGTTTGGGACTCAGACTTGCTCTCCTTGTTCCTCAGCTTGCAGGCAGCCTATTGTGATCATGTACGTAAGTACTTATAACCTCCCATAAATATTTATATATACATATACACAGGCACACACACACACTCACACATATACATGCATATATAAAAATATATAAAGGGATGGAAAACTAAACAGTCTGTAAGTATTTTCAAAAAGTATTCTTTTTTTATTATACTTTCAGTTTTAGGGTACATGTGCACAACGTGCAGGCTAGTTATATATGTATACATGGGCCATGTTGGTGTGTTGCACCCATTAACTCATCATTTAACATTAGGTATATCTCCAAATGCTATCCCTCCCCACGCCCCCCACCCCAAAACAGGCTCTGGTGTGCGATGTTCCCCATCCTGTGTCCATGTGTTCTCATTGTTCAACTCCCAGCTATGAGTGAGAACATGCGGTGTTTGGTTTTTTGTCCTTGAGATAGTTTGCTGAGAATGATGGTTTACAGCTTCATCCATGTCCCTACAAAGGATATGAACTCATAATTTTTTATAGCTCCATAGTATTCCATGGCACATATGTGCCACATTTTCTTAATCAAGTCTATCATTGTTGGGCATTTGGCTTGGTTCCAAGTCTTTGTTATTGTGAATAGTGCCACAATAAACATACGTGTGCATGTGTCTTCATAGCAGCATGATTTATAATCCTTTGGGAATATGCCCAGCAATGGGATGGCTGGGTCAAATGGTATTTCTAGTTCTAGATCCTGGAGGAATCACCACACTGACTTCCACAATGGCTGAACTAGTTTACAGTCCCACCAACAGTGTAAAATTGTTCCTATTTCTCCACATCCTCTCCAGCACCTGCTGTTTCCTGACTTTTTCATGATCGCCATTCTAAATGGTGTGAGATGGTATCTCATTGTGGTTTTGATTTGCATTTGTCTGATGGCCAGTGATGATGAGCATTTTTTCATGTGTTTTTTGACTGCATAAATGTCTTCTTTTGAGAAGTGTCTGTTCATGTCCTTCGCCCACTTTTTGATGGGGTTGTTTATTTTTTTTTTCTTGTAAATTTGTTGGTGTTCATTGTAGATTCTGGATATTAGCCCTTTGTCAGATGAGTAGGTTGTGAAAATGTTCTCCCATTCTGTAGGTTGCCTCTTCACTCTGATAGTAGTTTCTTTTGCTGTGCAGAAGCTCTTTAGTTTAAACAGATCCCATTTGTCAATTTTGGCTTTTGTTGGCATGCTTTTGGTGTTTTAGACATGAAGTCCTTGCCCATGCCTATGTCCTGAATGGTATTGCCTAGGTTTTCTTCTAGGGTTTTTATGGTTTTAAGTCTAACATTTAAGTTTTTAATCCATCTTGAATTAATTTTTGTATAAGGTGTAAGGAAGGGATCCAGTTTCAGCTTTCTACATATGGCTAGCCTGTTTTCCCAGCACCATTTATTAAATAGGGAATCCTTTCCCCATTGCTTGTTTTTCTCAGGTTTGTCAGATAGTTGTAGATATGTAAGATTATTTCTGAGGGCTTGGTTCTGTTCCATTGATCTATATCTCTGTTTTGATACCAGTAACATGCTGTTTTGGTTGCTGTAGCCCTGTAATAGAGTTTGAAGTCAGGTAGCGTGATGCCTCTGGCTTTGTTCTTTTGGCTTAGGATTGACTTGGCGATGCAGGCTCCTTTTTGGTTCCATATGAACTTTAAAGTTTTTTCCAGTTCTGTGAAGAAAGTCATTGGTAGCTTGATGGGGATGACATTGAATCTATAAATTACCTCAGGCATTATGGCCTTTTTCATGATATTGATTCTTCCTACCCATGAGCATGGAATGTTCTTCCATTTCTTTGTATCCTCTTTTATTTCATTGAGCAGTGGTTTGCAGTTCTCCTTGAAAAGGTCCTTCACATCCCTTGTAAGTCAGATTCCTAGGTATTTTATTCTCTTTGAAGCAATTGTAAATGGGAGTTCACTCATGATTTGGCTCTGTGTTTGTCTGTTATTGATGTATAAGAATGCTAGTGATTTTTGTGCATTGATTTTGTATCCTGAGACTTTGCTGATGTTGCTTATCAGCTTAAGGAGGCTTTGGGCTGAGACAATGGGGTGTTCTAGATATACAATCATGTCATCTACAAACAGGGACAATATGACTTCCTCTTTTCCTAATTGAATACCCTTTATTTCCTTCTCCTGCCTAATTGCCCTGGCCAGAACTTCCAATACTATGTTGAATAGGAGTGGTGAGAGAGGGCATCCCTGTCTTGTGCCACTTTTCAAAGGGAATGTTTCCAGTTTTTGTCCATTCAGTATGATATTGGCTGTGGGTTTGTCATAGATATCTCTTATTAATTTGAGATACGTCTCATCAATACCTAATTTATTGAGAGTTTTTTGTATGAAGGATTGTTGAATTTTGTCAAAGGCCTTTTCTGCATCTATTGAGATAATCATGTGGTTTTTGTCTTTGGTTCTGTTTATATGCTGGATTACATTTATCAATTTGCGTATATTAAACCAGCCTTGCATCCCAGGGATGAAGCCCACTTGATGATGGCAGGTATGCTTTTTGATGTGCTGCTAGATTCGCTTTGCAGTATTTTATTGAGGATTTTTGCAACAATGTTCATCAAGGATATTGGTCTAAACTTCTCTTTTTTGGTTGTGTCTCTTCCAGGCTTTGGTATCAGGATGATGCTGGCCTCATAAAATGAGTTAGGGAGGATTCCCTCTTTTTCTATTGATTGGAATGGTTTCAGAAGGAATGGTACCAGCTCCTCCTTGTAGGTCTGGTAGAATTCGGCTGTGAATCCATATGGTCCTGGACTTTTTTTGGTTGGTAAGCTCTTGATTATTGCCACAATATCAGAGCCTGTTATTGGTCTATTCAGAGATTCAACTTCTTCCTTGTTTAGTCTTGGGAAGATGTATGTGTTGAGGAATTTATCTATTTCTTCTAGATTTTCTAGTTCATTTGCATAGAGGTGTTTGTAGTACTCTCTGATGGGAGTTTGTATTTCTGTGGGATCAGTGGTGATATCCCCTTTATCATTTTTTATTGCATCTGTTTTGTTCTTCTCTCCTTTCTTCTTTATTAATCTTCCTAGCAGTCTACCAATTTTGGTGATCTTTTCAAAAAACCAGCTCCTGGATTCGTTAATTTTTTGAAGCGTTTTTCTGTCTCTATTTCCTTCAGTTCTGCTCTGATCTTAGTTATTTCTTGCCTTCTGCTAGCTTCTGAGTGTGTTTGCTCTTGCTTCTCTAGTTCTTTTAATTGTGATGTTAGGGTGTCAATTTTGGATCTTTCCTTCTTTCTCTTGTGGGCATTTAGTGCTATAAGTTTCCCTGTACCCACTGCTTTGAATGTGTCCCTGAGATTCTGGTATGTTGTGTCTTTGTTCTCATTGGTTTCAAAGAACATCTTTATTTCTGCCTTCATTTCGTTATGTACACAGTAGTCATTCAGGAGCAGGTTGTTCAGTTTCCATGTAGTCGAGCGGTTTTGGGTGAATTTTCTAATCCTTAGTTCTAGTTTGACTGCACTGTGGTCTGAGAGACAGTTTGTTGTGATTTCTGTTCTTTTACATTTGCTGAGGAGTGCTTTACTTCCAACTATGTGGTCAGTTTTGGAATAGGTGTGCTGTGGTGTTGAAAAAAAATGTATATTCTGTTGATTTGGGGTGGAGAGTTTTGTAGATGTCTACTAGGTCCGCTTGGTGCAGAGCTGAGTGCAATTCCTGCGTATCCTTGTTAAATTTCTGTCTCATTGATCTGTCTAATGTTGACAGTGGGGTGTTAAAATCTCCCATTATCATTGTGTGGGAGTCTATGTCTCTTTGTAGGTCACTAAGGACTTGCTTTATGAATCTGGCTTGCTCCTGTATTGGGTGCATATATATTTAGGATAGTTAGCTCATCTTTTTGAATTGATCCCTTTACCGTTATGTGATGGCCTTCTTTGTCTCTTTTGATCTTTGTTGGTTGAAAGTCTGTTTTAGCAGAGACTAGGATTGCAACCCCTGCCTTTTTTTGTTTTCCATGTGCTTGGTAGATCTTCCTCCATTCCTTTATTTTGAGCCTATGTGTGTCTCTGTATGTGAGACGGGTTTCCAGAATACAGTGCACTGATGGGTCTTGACTCTTTTTCCAATTTGCCAGTCTGTATCTTTTAATTGGAGCATTTAGCCAATTTACATTTAAAATTAATACTGTTATGTGTGAATTCGGTCCTGTCATTATGATGTTAGCTGGTTATTTTGCTCATTAGTCGATGCAGTTTCTTCCTAGCCTTGAAGGTCTTTACATTTTGGCACGTTTTTGCAGAGCCTGGTACCGGTTGTTCCTTTCCATGTTTAATGCTTCCTTCAGGAGCTCTTGTAGGGCAGGCCCTGTGGTGACAAAATCTCCTAGCATTTGCTTTTCTGTAAAGGATTTTATTTCTCCTTCACTTATGAAGCTTAATTTGGCTGGATATGAAATTCTGGGTAGAAAATTCCTTTTTTTAAGGATGTTGAATACTGGCCCCCACTTTCTTCTGGCTTGTAGGCTTTCTGCCAACTGATCAGCTCTTAGTCTGATGGGCTTCCCTTTGTGGGTAACCCGACCTTTCTCTCTGGCTGCTCTTAACATTTTTTCCTTCATTTCAACTTTGGTGAATCTGACAATTATGTGTCTTGGAGTTGCTCTTCACGAGGGCTATCTTTGTGGCATTCTGTGTATTTCCTGAATCTGAATGTTGGCCTGCCTTGCTAGATTGGGGAAGTTCTCCTGGATGATATCCTGCAGAGTATTCCAACACTTGGTTGGAAACCAAGTTTCCAACTTGGTTCCATTCTCCCCGTCACTTTCAGGTACACCAATCAGAAGTAGATTTGGTCTTTTCACATACTCCCATATTTCTTGGAGGTTTTCTTCATTTCTTGTTATTCTTTTTTCTCTAAACTTCCCTTCTTTCTTCATTTCATTCATTTCATCTTCCATCACTGATACTCTTTCTTCCAGTTGATTGCATTGGCTCCTGAGGCTTGTGCATTCATCACGTAGTCCTTGTGCCTTGGCTTTCAGCTCCATCAGCTCCTTTAAGGACTTCTCTGCATTGGTTATTCTAGATATCCATTCTTCTAAATTTTTTTCAAAGTTTTTAACTTCTTTGCCATTGGTTTGAATTTCCTCCTGTAGCTCAGAGTAGTTTGATCATCTGAAGCCTTCTTCTCTCAACTGGTCAAAGTCATTCTCCATCCAGCTTTGTTGCATTGCTGGTGAGAAGCTGTGTTCCCTTGGAGGAGGAGAGGCACTCTGCTTTTTAGAGTTTCCAGTTTTTCTGCTCTGTTTTTTTCCCATCTTTGTGGTTTTGTCTACCTTTGGTCTTTGATAATGGTGACGTACAGAAGGGGTTTTGGTGTGGATGTCCTTTCTGTTTGTTAGTTTTCCTTCTAACAGACAGGACCCGCAGCTGCTGCTCTGTTGGAATTTGCTAGAGGCCCACTCCAGACGCTGTTTTCCTGGGTATCAGCAGTGGTGGCTGCAGAACAGTGGTGGCTATAGAACAACAGATATTGGTGTCTGTAGAACAGCAGATATTGGTGATCCACAAATGCTGCTGCCTGGTCGTTCCTCTGGAAGTTTTGTCTCAGAGGAGTACCTGGCCTTGTGACGTGTTGGTCTGCCCCTACTGGGGGATGCCTTCCACTTAGGCTGCTCAGGGGTCAGGGACCTACTTGAGGAGGCAGTCTGCCCATTCTCAGATCTCCAGCTGTGTGCTGTGAGAACCACTACTCTCCTCAAAGCTGTCAGACTGGGACATTTAAGTCTGCAGAGGTTACTGCTGTCTTTTTGTTTGTCTGTGCCCTGCCCCTGGAGGTGGAGCCTACAGAGGCAGGCAGGCCTCCTTGAGCTACGCTGGGCTCTGCCCAGTTCGAGCATCCCGGCTGCTTTGTTCACTTAATCAAGCCTGGGCAATGGCAGGCACCCCTCCCCCAGCCTCACTGCTGCCTTGCAGTTTGATCTCAGACTGCTGTGCTAGCAATCAGTGAGACTCCATGGACGTAGGACCCTCTGAGCCATGTGCGGGATATAATCTCCTGGTGTGCCGTTTTTTAAGCCCATTGGAAAAGTGCAGTATTAGGGTGGGAGTGACAGGATTTTCCAGGTGCTATCTGTCACCCCTTTCTTTGACTAGGAAAGGAAACTCCCGGATCACTTTCACTTCCTGAGTGAGGCAATGCCTCGCCCTGCTTCAGCTCACACCTGGTGCATGGCACCCACTGTCCTACACCCACTGCCTGGCACTCCCCAGTGAGATGAACCCAGTACCTCAGATGGAAATGCAGGAATCACCCGTCTTCTGCGTCACTCACACGGGGAGCTGTAGGCCGGAGCTCTTCCTATTTGGCCGTCTTGGCTCTACCCTTTAATCCATCTTGAATTAATTTTTGTATAAGGTGTAAGGAAGGGATCCAGTTTCAGCTTTCTACATACAGCTAGCCAGTTTTCCCAGCACCATTTATTAAATAAGGAATCATTTCCCCATTTCTTGTTTTTGTCAGGTTTATCAAAGATCAGATGGTTGTAGATATGCGGCATTATTTCTGAGGGCTCTGTTCTGTTCCATTGGTCTATATCTCTGTTTTGGTACCAATTCCATGCTGTTTTGCTTACTGTAGCCTTGTAGTATAATTTGAAGTCTGGTAGCGTAATGCCTACAGTTTTGTTCTTTTGACTTAGGATTGTCTTGGCAACGTGGGCTCCTTTTGCTTCCATATGAACTTCAAAGTAGATTTTCCGAATTCTGTGAAGAAAGTCATTGGTAGCTTGATGGGGATGGCCTTGAATCTACAAATTACCTTAGGCAGTGTGGCCATTTTCACGATATTGATTTTTCCTACCCATGGGCATGGAATGTTCTTCCATTTGCTTCTATCCTCTTTTAATTCATTGAGAAGTGGTTTGCAGTTCTCCTAGAAGATGTCTTTCACGTCCCTTGTAAGTTGGATTCCTAGGTATTTTATTCTCTTTGAAGCAATTGTGAATGGGAGTTCACTCATGATTTTGCTCTCTGTTTGTCTGTTGGTGGTGTTTAAGAATGCTTGTGATTTTTGCACATTGATTTTGTATCCTGAGACTTTGCTGAAGTTGCCTATCAGCTTAAAGAGATTTTAGGCTGAGATGATGGGGTTTTCTAGATATACAATCCTACCATCTGCAAACAGGGACAATTGGACTTCCTCTTTTTCTAATTGAATACACTTTGTTTACTTCTCCTGCTTGATTGCCCTGGTCAGAACTTCCAACACTATGTTGAATAGGAATGGTGAGAGAGGGCATCCCTGTCTTGTGCCAGTTTTCAAAGGGAATGCTTCCAGTTTCTGCTCATTCAGTATAACAGTGGCTGTGGGTTTATCATAGATAGCTCTTATTATTTTGAGATACGTCCCATCAAGACCTAATTTACTGAGACTATTTAGCATGAAAGAATGTTGAATTTTGTCAAAGGACTTTTCTTCACCTGTTGAGATAATCATGTGGTTTTTGTCATTGCTTCTGTTTATATGCTGGATTACATTTATCAATTTGCATATGTTGAACCAGCCTTGCATCCCAGGGTTAAAGCCCACTTGATCATGGTGGATAAGCTTTTCGATGTGCTGCTGGATTCAGTTTCCCAGTATTTTAGTGAGGATTTTTTCATCAATCTTCATCAGAGATATTGGTCTAAAATTATCTTTTTTTGTTGTTGTGTCTCTACCAGTTTTCAGTATCAGGATGATGCTGGCCTCATAAAGTGAGTTAGGGAGGATTCCTTCTTTTTCTCTTGATTGGAAAAGTTTCAGAAGGAATGGTACCAGCTCCTCCTTGTAGGTCTGGTAGAATTCGGCTGTGAATCCTTCTGGTCCTGGACTTTGTTTGGTTGGAAAGCTATTAATTATTTCCTCAATCTCAGAGCCTGTTATTGGTCTATTAAGAGATTCAAGTTTTTCCTGGTTTAGACTTGGGAGGTTGTATGTGTTGAGGAATTTATCCATTTCTTCTAGATTTTCAAGTTTATTTGTGTAGAGGTGGTTATGGTATTCACTGATGGTAGTCTGTATTTCTGTGGGATCTGTGGTGATATCCCCTTTATCATTTTTTATTGTGTCTATTTGATTCTGCTCTCTTTTCTTCTGTATTTGTCTTGCTAATGGTCTATGAATTTTGGTGATGTTTTCAAAAAACCAGCTCCTGGATTCATTGATTTTCAGATGGGTTTTTTGTGTCTCTATCGCCTTCAGTTCTGCTCTGATCTTAGTTATTTCTTGCCTTCTGCTAGCTTTTGAATGTGTTTGCTCTTGCTTCTCTAGTTCTTTTAATTGTGATGTTAGGGTGTCAATTTTATATCTTTCCTGCTTTCTATCATGGGCATTTAGTGCTATAAATTTCCCTCTAAACACGGCTTTGAATGCATCCCAGAGATTCTGGTATGTTGTGTCTTTGTTCTCAAAGACACATCCTTGAGATGCTGTTTGTTGGTTTCAAAGAACATCTTTATTTCTGGCTTCACTTCGTTATGTACACAGTAGTCATTCAGGAACAGACGGTTCAGTTTCCATGTAATTGAGCAGTTTTGAGTGAATTTTCTAATCCTGAGTTTTAGTTCGATTGGACTGTGGTCTGAGAGAGAGTTTTTTTATAATTTCTGTTCCTTTACATTTGCTGAGGAGTCCTTTACTTCCAACTATGTGGTCAATTTTGGAATAGGTGTGGTGTGGTGCTGTAAAGAATGCATATTCTGTTGATGTGGGGTGGAGAGTTCTGTATATGTCTATTATGTCGGCTTGGTGCAGAGCTGAGTTCAATCTTGGATATCCTTGTTAACTTTCTGTCTCATTGATCTGTCTAATTTTGACGGTGGGGTGTTAAATTATCCCATTATTATTGTGTGGGAGTCTAAGTCTCTTTGTATGTCTCTAAGGACTTGCTTTATAAATCTGGGTGCTCGTTTACTGGGTGCATATATATTTAGGATAGTTAGCTCTTCTTGTTGAATTGATCACTTTACCATTATGTAATGGCCTTCTTTGTCTCTTTTGATCTTTGTTGGTTAAAAGTCTGTTTTACCAGAGTCTTGGCTTGCAACCCGTGCCTATTTTTGTTTTCCATTTGCTTGGTAGATCTTCCTCCATCCCTTTATTTTGAGCCTATGTGTGTCTCCGTACGTGAGATGGGTTTCCTGAATAGAGCACACTGATGGGTCTTTACTCTTTATCCAATTTGCCAGTCTTTGTCTTTTCATTGGAGCATTTAGCCCATTTACATTTAAGGCTAATATTGTTATGTGTGAATTTGGTCTTGTCATTAAGATGTTAGCTGGTTATTTTACTCACTAGTTGATGCAGTTTCTTCCTAGCCTCAATGGTCTTCACAATTTGGCATGTTATTGCAGTGGTTGCTACTGGTTGTTCCTTTCCATGTTTAGTGCTTCCTTCAGGAGCTCTTGTAGGGCAGGCCTGGTGATGACAAAATCTCCCAGCATTTGCTTTTCTGTAAAGGATTTTATTTCTCCTTCACTTATGAAGCTTAGTTTGGCTGGATATGAAATTCTGGGTAAAAATTCTTTTCTATAAGAATGTTGAATATTGGCCCCCACTCTCTTCTGGCTTGTAGACTTTCTGCCAAGAGATCAGCTGTTAGTCTGATGGGCTTCCCTTTGTGGATAAGCTGACATTTTTCTCTGGCTGCCCTTAACATTTTTTCCTTCATTTCAACTTTGGTGAATCTGACAATTATGTGTCTTGGAGCTGCTCTTCTTGACGAGTGTCTTTGTGGTGTTCTCTGCATTTCCTGAATCTGAATTTTGGCCTGCCTTGCTAGATTGGGGAACTTCTCATGGATAATATCCTACAGTGTTTTCCAACTTGGTTCCATTCTCCCCATCACTTTCAGGTACACCAATCAGACGTAGATTTGGTCTTTTCACATAGTCCCATATTTCTTGGAACCTTTATTCATTTCTTTTTATTCTTTTTTCTGTGAACTTCTCTTCTCACTTCATTTCATTCATTCGATCTTCCATCACTGATACCCTTTCTTCCAGTTGATCAAATCAGCTACTGAGGCTTGTGCATTCATCACGTTTTTCTTGTGCCTTGGTTTTCAGCTCCATCACATCCTTTAAGGACTTCTCTGCATTGTTATTCTAGTTAGCCATTCATCTATTTTTTTTTCAAGGTTTTCAACTTTGCCATGGGTTCAATCTTCCTCCTTTAGCTCAGAGTAGTTTGATCATCTGAAGCCTTTTTCTCTCAAATAGTCAAATTCTCTGTCCAGCTTTGTTCCATTGCTGGTGAGGAGCTGTGTTCCTTTGGAGGGGGAGAGGTGCTCTGATTTTTAGAGCATCCAGTTTTTCTGTTCTATTATTTCCCCATCTTTCTGGTTTTATCTATCTTTGGTCTTTGATGATGGTGACGTACAGATGGGGTTTTGGTGTTGATGTCCTTTCTGTTTTTTAGTTTTCCTTCTAACAGTCAAGACCCTCAGCTGCAGGTCTGTTGAGTTTGCTGAGGTCCACTGCAGACCCTGTTTTCATGGGTGTCAGCAGCGGAGGCTGCAGAACAGCGGATATTGGTGAACAGCAACTGGTGCTGCCTGATCATTCCTCGGGAATTTTTGTCTCAGGGGAGTACCTGGTCATGTGAGTTGTCAGTCTGCCCCTACTGATGGGTACCTCCCAGTTAGGCTACCTGGGGGCCAGGGACCCACTTGAGGAGGCAGTCTGTCTGTTCTCAGATATCCATCTGCGTGCTGGGAGAACCACTACTGTCTTCAAAGCTGTCAGACAGGGACATTTAAGTCTGCAGAGGTTTCTGCTGCCTTTTGTTTGGCTATGCCCTGCCCCCACAGGCAGAGTCTACAGAAGCTGGCAGGCCTCCTTGAGCTGGGGTGGGCTCCACTGAGTTCGAACTTCCAAGCTGCTTCATTTACCTACTCAAGCCTTGGCAATGGTGGACGCCCTTCCCCCAGCCATGCTGCCACCTTGCAGTTTGATCTCAGATTACTGTGCTAGCAATGAGTGAGGCTCCATCAGTGTAGGACGCTCTGATGCAGGCACGGGATATCATCTTCTGGTGTGCCGTTTGCTAAGACCGTTGGAAAACCACAGTACTAGGGTGAGAGTGACCTGATTTTCCAGATGCCACTTTCTTTGACTAGGAAAAGGAATTCCCTGACCCCTTTTGCTTCCCGGGTGAGGTGATACCTCACCTTGCTTCAGGTCACAATTGATGCACTGCACCCACTGTCCTGCCCCACTTCCCAACACTCCCAAGTGAGATGAACCTGGTACCTCAGTTGGAAATGGAGAAGTCACCCATCTTCTTCCTTCAGGTTTTGAGCTGATCACTATCCCTAGGACACAATCAAAAAACATTCTTTGAATAAATATTAAAACTATAAGCCTTCTTTTAATAAGTCAGCTTGTTTGATGGTGATGTCATAATCTAATTCCATAAAAAAAATTCCTGACATATATACACAATACACATGTGTGTATGTGCTTCAGTGGTCCATATGCATCTATGTAAAAAAAAAAAAAAAAAAAAAAAACCTTTAAAGTACCTATTTTCCTATTTACTTACTTCCAAGGCTCTAGAACATATATCAGAGGAATTATTTAACAAACTGTTACTAATTAGTAAATACTCTTCATTTCTTTAAAAACAAAGGTGTATTATGTCTTCTTAGAAAATGACAATTTAGACTTTCAGAAATATTTAGTAAATAGTTGTTCTGCAATCATTGTAAAATGCACCCATCAAAATCAGGTTTAAATTTAACTAATCTATAAAGCCTAACTCCCTCAGTGAAAAAGCTGTTACAGGTAATAATAGTGATAGTAACAGTAATAATAATAAAACAGTGCCAGCACTTTGAAAAATCAGGTCAGTCACAGACTTCAATAAATATTCCTCTTTCACTACAAATTTTACCTCAACAAGTTTGTTTCTACAAATAATGCCAGCTTCTGTACACAACTTAATGTCTGTCAATTCCTCAGTTTCACACTCTGCATTGTTCCAAGAATGTGTCTAAACAGCAGAGCTCTCCCTTAGTATATTAAGCAAAAAAAAAATAAACTTGCCGTTTCCTTTTAGGTGTTCGATGGCATTTTATTAACCTTGGAGAAAAAGCAAGCCCTATATGGGTAGGAGTTCTGCCTCATGGAGAAGGCCCTAGCATCAGCAACAGAGCCTACATCTCAGGCGCTAAGTTGGAACTAAGGAAACGGTGTAAATTTGGATAATTACCATGTTGCTGCTACTTGCTAACATTCTGAAACAAATTTTTGATTGAAATGAAAAAGATTTTCCACTGTAGAAATTCACCTCCTTTTGGATTTATCTTAACCTTTTCAGAAATTGTTCCTATTACATCAGTTTCCTCATTCACTGATTTTTATTTTCTCTTATTGTCTAATATGCATTTTTTGTGAATGCATACTTTTATTATGTTGGAACAAGGCAGAGAACAAATAATTCTGATCAAAGCTGTCCACTATGCAAACTTCTATCAAATAACTTTTTAAAAAGTAGGAGATACTTGAATATTGGTTCTACTAAACAACTTTAGCAAAATTGAAAATCCTATAACCCCAGCTATAATCCTGACAAACTTTGTTTTCATTTGATTCACTTATTGTAATAACCCAGGATCATTCATGACTATATTATGACTAGGATCATTCATGACTGTATTATGGATACACATTGTGCTTTCTGAATGCACAATGTGTATCCATAATATAGTGTGACAATGCACCTGTATGCATGTGTATTATTTATGCCTTTCAACTGTATTAAAGATTAGCTCCATCCCAAATACCATTCATTGAGATTTCTCCCTTGGTACCTCCAAAACAGAGGCTGACTAGGGTTTTATTTTTTCACATTCATGTTTTACAAAAATATTCAAAAAGTAATTGGAAGGAAAAGCAGAGAAATAGAAAATATATCATTTAGTTTCTAATCATTGATTAACTGAACTGACCTTACTTTACTAATGTTTACCCTAAGTTGAATCAATGGAACTTATGTACACTTTTTCAAATCCTTCTGCTATACGGAAACCAAACTTGGAGTTAAGAAATCTTCAAAATATAACATCAAAGAGTTCTAAATGTGAGCTTTTAAAAATAATTTTCTCGAGAGATGTTTCAACACTGTTAACTTCTCGAAGGTGCCTGAGACTCAATATTTTAGGACATTTAGCAGCATTTCTAACCTCTCAGCAATAGATGCTAGTAACAACCTTACCAATTCTACTTTGAGTCACAAACCAGGGTTAGGGTGAAGTCTAAAGTAAAATCTGAAGACCTATAAAAACCCTAGAAAATCACATGGACTGTCTGTTACCTCTATGAGCTCATCCTCTATAATTTTCCCCCTTCTACAGCCTGCTGCAGCCACAGGTAGCTGGCTTTTTAAAAACAATTTATACAGCCTTCCACCAGGAATCATTGTACTTATTGAACTTGCTGCATGCTTACATTATTTTCTTATTATTTTCTTTAGATAATTATTTGAAAGTCACTTTGTAAGCCACTTATTGTATGTTTGTTTTACAAAAACCAAAATGTACTTTATAACAGAGAATCTTACCTCATGCATTTTATACAAAATTGATAATTTCACTTAATAAAAAAACAAAAACTTTATAACATGACCACTAAAACAAAAACCTAACACCTGGGATTGCAAATTGGAAATGTAACATTCACTTTAAGTATTTTAAACAAGAGACAAAACATAAACCTCATAAATAACAATAAACTCTGAAATTAGAAAACACTCAGTGCTTCATAGATAAAAATAAAAGTAAAACGGCAGGGATGGCAGTTTCAAACCATTCCAAAAAAAAAAAAAAAAGTTTCAAACCATCAAAAACAGTCTGGACCCTGAAAATCAATAGTTTATATAAACCAAGTAAACATTTAATCCAGAAAGACAATTACAAAATGGTAAAGTTTTTTTTTTTTTTCTTTAAGGATTGTCATATCACCTCCTAGGCACATATGAAGCCTTCAGAATTGAAATCCACATTGTCAAAATGAGGACCTGATTCCTGCTTCTCAAAAAAGGAAAGAAACCCTTATGTGCTAAATTACTGTGTTTTTTTTTCCAGTCTTTCCAGAGGACATATGAAAATTTGATAAAATAAACATTTATTTCTCCTTTGCCTAACTCAGAAGTCACTCTTGGTTGGAAATGCCAGGAATTGGTCACAAACATTTAAGTTGCTGAATACAAAAAATACAGTTATCTTTTACACTAGGCAAAGGATAAACAGGAGCAAAAGTTGGAGAGATTTGTATTTGCAAAAATCTGAATATTCAAAAGCAGTTTAATACATTGAAGCACTTAGAAAATCATGCATATGCTTATGACAGGAACATTCTAAAAAACATGTAAAACAATATACTTTAACCCTCAAGTTTATCTATAGCTTCAGAGTCAGAAGAAAGTGAATGTTAGGAAAGAATTAGAAACAACCCCCCTGAGAGTTAAAGGAGAGTGTTAATACATACCCTGTATTTAAAGGTGATAGTTTTCATATTGCTCTTATTCAAAGTGCTAATGGAATGTCAGCTGAGCTTTTAATAACTAACACGTTGCATTTCAGAAATACCAAAAAGCATTCAGAGTTAGCACGTTATGACATTTCAAATACAGAGGTAACATTCAGTGTTAGCACATTATGGCATTTCAAATATAGTTTTCTGAAAACCAAAAACACAAAAACAAACAGAAAGTTTTGAACAATGTAAACTAAATGCAGGAATTAAATGTGTCCCAAATTTTATAGACAAAGAACTTAAAACAACAGTTTTAAGTAGGGCTAAAGAGAAATGACGGACAAATGATGAAAGAATAACCTGAGAGCGTCAGTGAGACAAATTATAAAAGAACCCATAAAAATGGGAAAACTACTGAAGATATTAAAGGGATTTAACAGTAGATTTAAGCAAGTAAATATTCAGTCAGTCTGAAGGAATAAAAACTGAAATAACCCAGTCTGAGAAGTACAATTTAAAGAAAGTGAAAAAAAAAAAAAAACTGAAGAGTAAATAGAACACCATGCGTTATACTGGTACATGCATTATGAGCATCTTATAAATGAAGAAAAACAGAGGCCAAAAATTTTTAAGGCAAAAATGACTAAACATTTCCTGAACTTAAAAATCACAATCTGAAAGATGAAAGAGGACAAAAATCTTCAACCACAATATAGTCAATGATAGCCACATCAGAAAACATTACAGGCAATCAAGAGCCAATACAAAGAAAATTGTAAAAGCAGAAAGGGAATAGCAACTTTCTATGTACAAGAAGGTCTCGATTAAAATTAACACATGATTGTTCAGCTGAATCCATGGAGTCAGAAGGTGGTGGGATATCCAAGTTTTAAGAAAAATGCTATCAAACCTGAAATATATAACTGGTAAAATGAAACTAAGAAAACATATATAGATAAGGAAAAGCTAAAGGAAATTGTGACTTAAACTTCTCTATAACAAAATGCTATTGCTCTTTCAACCCTGGCAAACTTAACTGCTAATGAACAATCTGTGTGCACAGATAAAATCAGAGAAAGTAATATAAATTGAGAAGGATGGAAAACTACAAGAGCAGCATATTTTTATACTGCTGACCTTAAACATTAAATTATTCATACAAGTTAGTATTCTTCATAGTAGGATATTTTAAGTTTTCAATAATAGTTGAAATCCCAAGTACACCTAATTGTAATATGAAAAATACAACAGCAGTTTTTAAAAATTATCCAGATTTTTTAAATGAGCAAAAAAGAAATTGAGGATCAAGCAAGAGAAAGAGCATATGGAAAACATGTAAGTCCATGTCAGAGTATGTAATATTTTACTTGTAAGAACTGTAAATGTGAGCTCTTGCTTAAAAAGGCACACATTGTTGCAAGTGTACCCTTAAACGAAGGAGTCACTTTTGTGACTTCTATGCAAGGCATACTTTAGGTGCAAAGACAAATAGGTCGAAGTAAAATAATACTAGATTCTGGGAAAGTTCTGCAATGTACAAGGGATCACTGTATATCCGTCCCTTCAACTATACAATGGGTGCAGTGGCAGGATTAGTATGATGCAATTACTATAGAATTCCGAGTCTACCTGAAGGTTTACAGCTTCCAAAAAAAGATTTTATCAATTTTGTAGCACAGATCAACAGCAGCTACTTATTCCTTAATAACCACCAATGTGGGATGCTGCTTTGCAAATATTTCTGGAGCAGCTTACAAGAGCCATGGCAAACAAAAAGGACCCTGTCCTCCAAATCTCAGGGGGACTCATTTGCCGATTGCTGCTTCTGCTTATGGAGGTCCCGACAGAGGTGAATCGTCATTGTTATATTCCCCAAATATTATGCAGGCTCTTTGTCCCTCTGTGCAACCAACTTTCAGTAGATTTAAAAAGCGAAAATATTTTTTCTTGATTGTTCTTCTTTTTCTCTTAAGATGTTTGTAGACTAAAACATTCAAAATTAATCATATACACACACACACACACACACACACACACACACACATATATATATATAATGAATTGTGGTTTTAACGATATGTGCCCCAAAACAATGGGCCTCAAAAGAGACCCAAGACAAAGCTCAATACAGCTGATTTACAGGAGAGTAAGAGCCTATATAATGAGTAAACAAAACTCTACCAAACCATAGAAGTAGAAAATCTTATGTTCAAAGTTACAGCACTTTAAAATTTAAATGCTCTTTTTCAGCACCAGCAAAATCACAAACTACAGAGTGAAATAGAGAAGTATGGCTCATTTTAATAACAACTACAAAATAATTACGAAAAAATAAGCTTTTTTTTGACAGCCCAAATGGCAGCCTTACTAAAATATAATATTTACAATTAAGCTACATAATAAGCTAATAGAATGAACAAAAGAAGCACAAACAATTACAGACAAAAATTATTAATCAAAAGAGTAAAATTATTTTAAAACCTAAAAAAGTCTAGAGATAAACCACACAGTGAAACAGAGAAGTATGGCTCATTTTAAGACGTAAAAAAAAATTATGGTCTGAAACTTTTTTTAGACAGCCCAAATGGTGGTCTTACAGAAACATAATATTTAAAATTAAGTTTCAGAGTAAGCTAATAGAAGAAAAAAAAGAACCACAAAAAATTATGAACAAAAATTAATAAAAAAGTAAAACTATTTTGAAACCTAAAAAAGTCTAGGGATAAAAAGAAAAAAATATTCACTACAGATATTTAAAAGCAGACTTGAGCTGGGGGAAGAACAAACTATCAGCAAACCAAAGAAAGGGTGTTGACATAATTAAGTTAGGAAATGAAAGAAAAAGTATAAAGCAATGGGAATAAAGCCTAAAATGTCGTGGAACACTATCAAGCAGACATATTACGCATACTGGAAGTTCAAAGGATGAGAAAAAGAATCAGGAAGACTATTTAGAAACAATAATGTTAAAGAATGTCAAAGGCAACAAACTCCAAGTAAGAGAAACTCAAATAAACAAACTTAAATTATATGATAATTAAACTCATCAAAAGAAAGACAGAGAAAATCCTGAAAGCAACAAAAGAAGTGGCTAGTTATGTTACTGGCTAGTAACCCTCAAAAATAATCAGCAGATACCTTATCTGAAAACTCAGAGGACAGAAAGCAATAGATTAACATATTCCAAATGATGTGAGAAAAAACTTTTGAACAGAAATCTTATGTTCAAAACATTGTCCCTTATAAGTGAGGGAGAAATTATGACATTTCCAGATAAAAGCTGGGACATTTTACCAGTAGACTATCTTTTTAAAAAATGCCTTATGGGATACTTCATGGTAAAATGAACAGATAATAAGGAGCAGTATGAATGGATATATATTAAGGTAAAGATAAATATATAAGCTATTATAAAACATAAAGAATAACAGTGTACACCTCCACAATGTGTTTCCCATGCAATTTAAAACACAAATATATTTAATAAAAATACTATCACTAAGTTGCGTTTTTGACATACAGTGCATAAAGGTATGATTTTGAGAACTCAATAAGGAAATCATGGGGGTGCAGTTATACAGGGTTAAGGGATTTGTGTGTTATTGAAAGTCAGCTAGTATAACTTTAAAAGTGGAATACCTTTAGAATATTCAATGTAATCACAGTATCAATGACAATTAAAAAAGAAAAAGAGTAACAGACAGGTAGAAAGCTTTCTGTACTACACCAGAGAGTAAGAGATGTGGATTTAGCTACTCTCACTTGAGGCTACTAAGCCAGCTATCATGCACCATGAGACAAAGCCCAAGCTGTCCCACCAGGGCATAATTGTGGAGAGCCTAAAGCCCATAGCATAGCTGCTATTTCAAACAATTTTCACTACGTCAGTGGTGATGAAATAGAATAGGCTCATCCATACGCAGAACCTGGTAAAGAACTGGAGGCAGAAAGAAGTGGCTATGTGGAGATGCAAATGAAACAAATTTGGCACAGCAACTACTTCAATCCTGTGTCTTTCTTCCTGGCTTTCCAGGAGTTTGAGGTTGAAACTATTGTTGACAAAAGACGAGACAAAAATGGAAAGACAGAGGCCAGGCACAGTGGCTCATGCCTGTAATCCCAGCACTTTGCAAGGCTGAGGCGGGCAGATTACGAGTTCAGGAGATGGAGACCATTCTGGCTAATACAGTGAAAACCTCTTTCTACTAAAAATCATAAAGTTAGCCAGGCGTGGTGGCAGGCCCCTCTAATCTCAGCTACCCGGGAGGCTGAGGCAGGAGAATCGCATGAACCCAGGAGGTGGAGGTTGCAGTGAGCCGAGATTGTGCAATTGTGCCACTGTACTCCTGCCTGGGTGATAGCTCAAGACTTTGTCTAAAAAAAAAAACAAAACAAAACAACAACAACAACAACAAAAATTTTTGGTGTTGCAAAGGTTAAGAAGAAACGGTATGACACTTGGGAACCAGAGCAGCACCGGTCAAAAATATATATATTACTTTAACAGATGACAGACTGAAAAACAGAAAAAGTAAAAAAGTGGCATGGACCAGAACAACTAGAACTTTTTCAAACAATACCAGAAGATGAACTTCTACATCTACCAAGCCCAACTTTTCTAAGAATACTCCTAAAACGCTAGTGTCTGGCCAACACCACAAATTCAAAAGCAGCCAGTTATGTTCTGCCAGCCAGAATGTTAGCAGTAATCCAGGGTCACCTCTGTCCGACCCAAAGAATATGGAGCTACTGTGTTCAACTATCAAGAAAGACACTTGCCCCTTACAACCCTTTTAACAACAAGAACACAGTGAGTGGCATTCAGGAACTCTAGAATCTGGACCCTATTGCAGCAGATCAGCAGGATACAGTGGTCTTCAAGGAGGAGGAAGGGAAGATCATCAGGGCTTTATCAGATCCCAGGGCAGGACATTGTGGAATAGAGAGCAAGACCCAGATTCACCCACTATTTTCTCAGAGGTCTGGCTCAGTTACGGCTTCCATGGCTGCAGACTCAGCTACCAAAAAAGGTATAGTGGTATTAATGGGCCAATCGGCAGCCAATGGAAAAACAGATGTGCATACATTAGTTGCAAGAGTGAAAGTTGGGCAAAGAAATGTTACTGACGGTGGCAGAGACCAGCTTTTTATCCAGAAGATGTACCTCATCATAGGCCTAGCAGAAAGTGCCAGCACATACAGAGATATTGCAGTGAAGAAAGAGGACAGATTCACCCAGATGTGCCTATAAACTAGATCAACATAAAAAATGTACTGAATATAGAAGTAATTAAAGCAATGGTTAATGCTCTGAATAGGGCTGCTGTGGGTGGCAGCAAGCTTGTGCTGTTCAGTGCAGCTGGAAGTGTCTTTTGCTGTGGTCTCGATTTGGGGTACTTTCTGAAGTATTTAAGGAAGGACAGAAACAGAACAAGCCTTGAGATGGTGAACACCATCAAGAACTTTGTGAATACTTTCAATCAATTTTAAAAGCCTGTTTTTGTATCAGTCAGTGGCCCATCCTTCGGAATAGGTGCATCCACACTGCCTCTTTGTGATTTCTTCTGAGCTAATGAAAAGCCTTGGTTTCAAACCCCTTATATGACATCTGGACAGAGTCCAGATGGCTGTTGTGTTACTTTAGTTCCTACTTGAACTTTGCATCATCCAGCCTCCTTAATTATTGTGGCCATGAGACATTACTTCATCCCTTGATTGATCCCAGGCCAAGGTCTCAGGCCAAGCTGTCACTTCAGCTCCTTCTTGGTCCAGGGCCAAGTTCCAAGGCTGAGCCTTGTAGCTTCTACAAATCATCACTTCAGCTCCAGATGAATCCAAGGCCAAGTTTCAGGGCCAAGCCAAATGACACCTACTCCAAGAACACTAACCACATTTCTTTACTTCTCTGTCCTTAGAAACTGTAAAGCACAGCCTCATAGTAGGTAAACCACTCACATTCCACCCCCACTGTGAAGAGTTTTTTACTTTCACTTATAAAAGTTTTGATTCAACCTTTTTGCATCCATCCTCCTTAATTTTCTTGGCCATGAGACAAAGAACTCTGTGTGATATCTCACAATTAGAGTTTTCTAGGTCGTAGTGCACTAATGAGACTGCAATGATTGAAGTCTGGGAATTGAGCTCTGGGATGCATCAGCCTTGCGAGACCAACTGACACACTGTCCCCACACTGTGATACACACCCTTCGGGTCAGTCAACCATATAGTGGTCACCAATGGAGTCTGAAAAGGGGCAAGGCAGATTTATACAGCCTAGAAACCTGAGGGACACCATCAAGCAGCCATACATATGCATTTTGGAAGTTCCAAGGAAGAGACAAAAACTCATGGATACTATTTAACAACATAGTCATAAAGAATGCAACAATTTAAGACAATAAGTAAGCACCCAAGGAGCTCAACAGACTCCAAGTAACAAAAACTCAAAGAAACAAACTCAAACTTACCTGATAATTAAACTGTCTAAAATAAATACAAAGAGAACCTTGAGGATTTTCAAGGGAAGCAGGGGAAGTAGCTAGTCATGTAAAAGGGACCCTAAAAATAACCAGTGGATCACTTATCTGAATAACCACCGAAAAGCAGTAGATTTCTTATCTGAAAACTGAGATAGAAAGCAGTAGCCTCATATATTCCAAGTGATGTCAGAAAAAACTGTCAAGCCTAAACATTATGATCCACCAAACTGTCCATCAAAGGTGAGGGACAAATTATGACATTCCCATATAAAAACTGGCACCTTTTACAAGTAGACTACCCTTTAAGAAATGTCTTATGGAGTACTTCAGGGTAGAATGGACAGATACTCAAAAGCAGTATGAACAAACAAAGATTAAGGTAAAGATAAATACATGAACAAATATGTAAGATAAAAAATTTGGCTGGGCTCAGTGGCTCACACCTGTAATCCCAGCATTTTGGGAGGCTGAGGTGCTTGGATCACGAGGTCAGGAGATCGAGACAATCCTGGCTAACATGGTGAAACCCCGTCTCTACTAAAAATACAACAAATTCGTAGGGCCAGGTGGCAGGTGCCTGTAGTCTCAGCTACTCGGGAGGCTGAGACAGGAGAATGGCATGAATCCGGGAGGTGGAGCTTGTAGTGAGCCAAGATCTCACTACTGCACTCCAGCCTCATTGACAGGGCGAGACTCCATCTCAAAACAAAACAAAACAAAACAAAACAAAACGAACAATTAACAATGTGCACCTCCACAATTTGTTCTCCACATAACTTAAAACACAAATATATTTAATAAAAAAACTACCACTAATTTGTGTTTTTGACATAAAATCAATAAAGGTATAATTTTGAGAACTCAGTAAGTGAAATAATGGAGGTACATTATACAGGAGTAAAGGCTTTGTATGTTACTGAAGGTAAGCTAGTGTAACTTTAAAAATGTTATAACATTAGAATGTTCCATATAATCGTCATAGCAACCACAATTAAACAAAGAAACACAAAAGAGTAACAGGCAGGAAGAAAGCTTTCTGTACTACACCAGAGGGTTGGGGCTGTGGATTTAGCTACTCTCACCTGAGGCTACTGAGCAAGTTGTCATGCACCATGAGACAAAGCCCAAGCTGTCCCACCAGGCAGTAAGTATGGAGAGGTTCAGGCACATGGCATAGCTGCTATTTCGCACAATTTTCACTACACCAGTGGTGACAAAATAGAAGAGGTTCATCCATACACAGAACCTGGTGAAGAGCTGGAGGCAGAAAGAAGTGTCTATGTGGAGACGCAACTGAAACAAAGGTGGCACAGCAACTGTTCCAATCCCGTGTCTTTCCTCATGGCTTCCCAGGAGTTTGAGGTTGAAGCTATTGTTGACAAAAGACAGGATAAAAATGGGAATACACAGTATTTGGTTCGGTGGAAAGGTTATGACAAACAGGATGACACTTGGGAACCAGAGCAGCACCTCATGAACTGTGAAAAATGTGTACATGATTTTAATAGACGACAGACTGAAAAACAGAAAAAACTGACATGGACTACAACCAGTAGAATTTTTTCAAACAATGCCAGAAGAAGAACTTCCAGATCTACAAAAGCAAACTATTCTAAGAACTCTCCTAAAACGCCAGTGACTGATAAACACCACAGGTCCAAAAACCGCAAGTTATTTGCTGCCAGCAAGAACGTTAGGAGAAAGGCAGCTTCAATTCTCTCCGACACAAAGAATATGGAGATAATAAATTCAACTATTGAGACCCTTGCACCTGACAGCCCCTTTGACCACAAAACTGTGAGTGGCTTTCAGAAACTTGAGAAACTGGACCCTATTGCAGCAGATCAGCAGGACACGGTGGTCTTCAAGGTGACAGAAGGGAAACTCCTCCGGGACCCTTTGTCACGTCCTGGTGCAGAACAGACTGGAATACAGAACAAGACTCAGATACACCCACTAATGTCGCAGATGTCTGGCTCAGTTACTGCTTCTATGGCCACAGGTTCAGCTACCCGAAAGGGTATAGTGGTATTAATAGACCCATTAGCAGCCAATGGGACAACAGACATGCATACCTCAGTTCCAAGAGTGAAAGGTGGGCAAAGAAATATTACTGATGACAGCAGAGACCAGCCTTTTATCAAGAAGATGCACTTCACCATAAGGCTAACAGAAAGTGCCAGCACATACAGAGACATTGTAGTGAAGAAAGAGGATGGATTCACCCAGATAGTGCTATCAACTAGATCGACAGAAAAAAATGCACTGAATACAGAAGTAATTAAAGAAATAGTTAATGCTCTGAATAGCGCTGCTGCAGATGACAGCAAGCTCGTGCTGTTCAGTGCAGCTGGAAGTGTCTTTTGCTGCGGTCTTGATTTTGGGTACTTTGTGAAGCACTTAAGGAATAACAGAAACACAGCAAGCCTTGAAATGGTGGACACCATCAAGAACTTTGTGAATACTTTTATTCAATTTAAAAAGCCTATTGTTGTATCAGTCAATGGCCCTGCGATTGGACTAGGTGCATCCATCCTGCCTCTTTGTGATCTCGTGTGGGCTAATGAAAAGGCTTGGTTCCAAACCCCTTATACGACCTTTGGACAGAGTCCAGATGGCTGTTCTTCTATTACATTCCCCAAAATGATGGGTAAAGCATCTGCCAATGAAATGTTAATTGCTGGGCGAAAGCTGACAGCAAGGGAGGCATGCGCCAAAGGCCTGGTCTCTCAGGTATTTTTGACTGGAACTTTCACCCAAGAGGTTATGATTCAAATTAAGGAGCTTGCCTCATACAATCCAATTGTACTGGAAGAATGTAAGGCCCTCGTTCGCTGTAATATTAAGTTGGAGTTGGAACAGGCCAATGAGAGAGAGTGTGAGGTGCTGAGGAAGATCTGGAGCTCAGCCCAAGGGATAGAATCCATGTTAAAGTATGTTGAAAATAAAATTGATGAGTTTTAATTGTCAGTCTGTCTGCTCAGGACACAAGAACTAAGGGGCAACAAATGCATCATGAGTTGCAAGATGCCCTAATCCATCTTCATAGCCCAAAACAATTTCACCCATAGCTAAGGCTTGGAAACAGAACTGGAAATGTCCAAGCTATGTATTTAAATTATCACATCATTTTTAAGCACTGTAGCTTTACAAGGAGTAACAAAACAGCCTCTTTGCCCAAATGTGATTATTTTATGCACACCTAAGCCCAAATATAAAAACAGACTCTTCTTGCAAGCTCTAATATGTATCTATGGCTACTACTATATATAAGACCAGAGTTGTGTTTTATTAGATGTTTGTGACAGAGAATCCTGTAATAATGTTGATTTTTTCTTATTTTTATATCCTAGAATACCTCTGTTGGGATATAAAGCAGCCTTCCCTCCCAGAAAGACACAGAATGATCAGAGATGGTGCCCTTGACTTTATAGTGGCACAAACGCTTCAGAGACACACAATTATAAGAGACTTATCTTTTAGCATAAATACTTATGGCTCAAAATCCACTGACGATCATTCTCCTAAACTGAACACATGACTAGAATTGGTGGTGAGATATCGCTTGATTTTCTTTTCCTTTATAAATGTCTAGTTCTTACCCAGTTAACAAAAGAAAACTTTATCGCTCTAAAGTAAAACTTGTTACACCACATTAGTGAATTATGGAATGATTTTGGTGGAAATATCCAGGTTCTAATGTGTGGAATGTGCAGATTTAGGTTACTTTAGTGTATGTTCTAGTTAATAAGTTAAAATTCTGGACACATTATTAAAGGCAGAAACTTCTTTCAAAGCAAACACCGCTACACTTTGTATGACCTTTACAATTATCAGTGTCTCTTTTTATGAGCACACAATTTTCTAGAACACTGTATGTGCTCAGTTATGCAAAAGCTCTATGAATCCTGTCTTGTTGGTTTTTATCGAGGCTCCATTACATAGACATAATTGAATAATCCACTGGCCACTGGTGATGAATGTCATCTTTGTCACAAGATCTCTAGGGTGTCACTTCACCAGCCAAGAACCTCTGTGGATGATGGCACCTTTGTGCAAGGTTCCCTTGAGCCTGCTTTTCTAATTTTACAAACCCATCTTACAGGCTGCACTCAGCTCAAACTATGGGCTTAGGTTTCATTTTGCTATGGATGCACCAGGCACAGACTGGAGGCAGATGCATGAGTGAGTGTTGGTTCAGTCCAGCCACTGCACACAGCTTTGCCTGTTATCTGTGATGAGGTAAGCAGGTCAGGTGCTGGTACAGGTGACAGCTCCCTGCAAATCTTTAGGTGAATCAGGCATACCACAAGCTTTCTCTTCTGCAGGCACTGAAGAATGCAGTGGCATCCACAAAAGAAGAAATGCCAGAAAATGCAAAGGCCCAAGGACGTCATCCTAGCCCTGGCATGGGAAAGGTTTAGAGCTGGGGTATCTAAAGGGCCAATGTCCTGCTTTCTTTTTCCTTTTTTCTTTTTTTTTTTTTTTTTTCTTATCTATGGGATCACTATGACTTAAATTAGGGTTTTCAAAGGGCTCTGTCTCTCTTTCTACTGGAAATTAGCATCTTGTCTTTTCTTCACTCTTTCTCTCTTTGACTGCTTTTTATTTACTATGACATGCTATAGAAGAAATGCGTCTTGGCCCAGCATCTTTCTGTTGACTGTAGGGCTATTTGTCAGAAGCAGTAAGATTTTGGCTCAGCAATAAGGTAACATCTTCCCATTTAAGACCAAAAAAAGGGCTAGATATTAGAAAGGCTCTATATATTTATTGATGTATCAGAAAACTTCCCCAGGTCTTACTTTATTTGTTTAAGGTACTGTAATGAAAAAGAAACTTGCACTTTACTGGCACCTCATTCATTGGGCATTTCCTATAGGGGTAGTAAGGAACGTGGAGGGTTGGATGTAAAAACTGGAAAAGCTGATGATGATGTGACTAAAAGGTTCTCTGCATCAAGAAGATGAGAAAACCTGTGGTAACAAATGTGGTTTTGAGTGTTTCCAGGGAGAATGTTTCTCTGACGTTTGGGAGTTGTTTCTTGTGGGCTTTTCTGATATGACTGCTAAGAAAGCAGGAACAATTTTACAGTATTTACAAAGATGTGGGTGGTTTCACAGGGCAAAAAGCCTTGCACATAGGGAACTTCAAACAATGTGCCTTTGACTCTCAGAAACTATCTAGGTTTTCAATAGTATTGACAAAGAAAAGCTACATAGTTGTGGTGGATTATTGGTAAAATTTCTGCAAGCAGAGAAACAGCCTGAAATATCAGGCTGCAGACACAAATTTAAGAATCCTGCACAATCCTGTGGCACAAGCAAATAATTTTTTTAAAAAAGCCCAACTTTTTGTGTGTGTGTGCTTAAGACATGCCCACAGCTACTCAGATAAAAAAAAAAAAAAAAAAAAACAAGACCCCGCATTAAAATGTTGTGTCTTTTGTGTAACCAGAGTGCTTCCAGGAAATAGTCTCTCTCTTTTTTAGAACTTGTACATATTGGACTCCAATGTGTTACAAAGGGTACCTTATATTACTAAACATACTTCAGACTCCGAGCCAAATTTCTGTAAATTATCATTTAAGACTCTGGTCCCAGGCCAAGGTCCTGGGCCATGCTTTCCCTTTAGCTCTTGTGTGGCTCAGGGCCAAGTTCCTGAGCCAAGCTGAGTCATTACATCCGCCATTAATAGTTCCAGGCACAAGGACCCAGAAAAGATGAGAAGTGCTTTCTTCAAAACTAGTTAGTACCTTTTCTTCCTTCTGAGTCCATAAAAATATGAGACTCTTTCTCAAAGTGGGCAACTGACTCTACTCCACCAGAAGTTAACATATTAAACATTTACTATCATCTCACCTTTTGCATTCCTAATTTTTAATTTTCTTGAAATTAAAAAGATCTGTGTGTCACCTAAAAATGAGAGACTGATACATTGTGGTTCACTGGGGGACAGCAAGGTTTGTTTTTGGTTCATGGACTTGGAAAGGCCTTAATTAAAAAGGTCAGTAGGGGCTGGGCATGGTGGCTCATGACTGTTATCGCAGCACTTTGGGTGGCCAATGTGGGAAGATCAGGAGGAGATCAAGATGGAGATCATCCTGGCTAACATGGTGAAGCCCTCATGAAGTCTACCAAAAATACAAAAAATTAGCAGGGTGTGGTGGTGGGCACCTTTAGTGACAGTTGCTTGGTAGGCTAAGGCAGGAGAATGGCATAAACCCGGGAAATGGAGCTTGCAGTTAGCCAAGATCATGCAACTGGACTCCAGTTTAAGTGACAGAGAATCCATTAGAAAAAAAAAGTGAGTAGGGGTGCCATTCCAAACTATTTACATTCATATCTTCAGCTTGTCCTCTATTTGCTTTCATATCTGCAGCTTGTTCTCAGTTTTTGTTTGTTTGTTTTTGTTATTTGTTTTTTTCTTTTTTTTTAATGTCTGAAGAGCAAACAAAGCTCTGGACCAGTGCCAGGTAAAATCCGATGGATTGCCTGCCATTCTTACAAAGCTTAGGAGAAAGGGATTCTGGGAGACACATTGGCAGTCTCCTTTCACCCTCCGCTGTTGAAAGTGTTGCCTCTGTTCCAACTGTTTTCTTTCAGAGAGGATCCAGCTGTCACATAGGACTGAAAGGATATCTAAGTTAATTGAAGATTTCTGGTTAAGGCTATACCACAGTGTTACGTGAAGGCCTCAAAACTAACTCCAGTTTCTGACAGCCCATCAGAGTGTTGCCACCAAAATTTCCAGGCTTTTCTGTGGCATTTTATTTATTTGTTTTTTGTCATTGTGTGGCTAATGTCCCTCCTATTTCTTCTTTGTATGCCATGTTGAGACCTGGAGATACAAGCTTACTGGTAAAAGTCAGTCAGTAGAAATATAATTCAAAGAGTTGCTATTTTGTGTTTTTTTTTCTTTCAAAAGAGGAAGAATTCAAAATTGTGGTCTAAAAATTTTTATTTGATAAGGGTCTTTTTGTCCGCCGATGATAGACATTCATGACACTGTAGGGAATGGCATACATTCAAATAAATTTTCCCTGTTTGGCGGGTGATTTCTCTTTAAAAAGCTCAGCACAGCCATATATATCTAAACAGTTTCTTTGTGAGACACATCTTCTTTTTTCTGCAGAGACACATACTGTGGGGACAGGCGATGGAGCGTTAACCTTCCTTTTCTCAGTTTTGACTATATAAACCTGGAATTCAGCATTTTCATGGAATATCTGAGATCTTAAAATGCAACCTAGTAAAATGAGGTTTTTCTCTTGGGGAAGCCTTGTCAGTACTTTGCACAAAACCCTTGGATTTTAATTCCTCTCTCTGTTATATCTCTCTAACTCTGTGCCCTATCAGTAAACAGAAAATTTCCACTTTCAATAATCAGAAAGAAGGTGTCTTTGAGAGACATATTTTAGCTAAGTGCTGTCTTATGAAAGCCAGCCATACAAGCTTTACTTGCTTTGAGGCACACCTTCTTCCTCCAGCAGCACTGACATTTAAACTAACGGAGAATTTTATGTTTCAACTCAATCTATCTTATTTCCTGCAATTTCAGTATTTTTTCTAGGCCATAGCAAGGGAAGCCACAAATAGTATTAAAATTCTTACTCTATACAAGTGTCTTGCTAGAATCCAATGACTATATAATCTTTTTTTTAGGCTCCCAAGTTACTCTGGGTATCTTCTGGGTTGAGTAGGCTTAAGAAATCAACAAAGAGTCACCAGTAGAGAGCTAAAGCCTCTGCAGGAAAATGTTACTTGTCCTGCTGTCTAGATCCTCTAGAACTGTGGGTGAAGGTTTAGCTTCCATCCATGGGGGACACCTATGTCAGTCACCAGACTCAGAAAAGACAAGAGGAATTCAAAAACAAGGAATATCCTATCTTTTTATTCAGTCAGGGCTATTTCAAAAGGGGGAAAAAGAGAATAGGAATTTTTTTTATATATTTCTTTAGAAACTTCACAAACTGTCTGCAGTACGCACCTCTCTAGATTACATTCTGAAACACAGAAATTTCATTGACTGTGAGACTCTGAAAAATGAAAGTGGCTTATTTATGTATTTATTGCTCAAGGGCATGACAGCCCTACCAGCTCCAGGACAGACATGCCTAGCTTTCTGAGGGAAGTGTTCGCTTTAGTACTATTCAACAGGTATATCTTTTCTTCAGATGGCAAAGAAAAGAGTATGATTTTTTTTTTCTTTTTTGGACAACCTTACTTTGACTGGGGAGACAACCCAGATCTTTCTAAGTATTGTAAAAATGACTCTGCCCTCTTGGCAGTCATAACAGGCAAGTTTCAAGAGATAATTCATTAAAGTCAGAGACAAGCCCCTGAGGAACACTCAAATTTATCTTCTAAATGTCACACCTGCCACCCTCATTTAGAAGTTCCAATAGCCATTTCATCATCTTGTCTTGTTGTGCCACTAAGGAAAACCAAAACTCACTGTTGCCCCTGTAGAAAATACTCCATAGATGTGATACTAGTATAGCAGAAGTTTTCTTCTCATTGCAAGGACTTAGACAAAAAAAAATGAAAAAGATAAGCAAATGTCCTCTGATGACCCTGGTGGATATACAGAGATATTTCAAAATCTAACTCAAATGTTCAATCATACCTGAATAGATGATACATTACTGCTAAACCAACCCCTAACTGTTGCCCTAAAGCAGGCAGCTTTACAGAGAGCAGAGTTATCCATGGATGAACCACATGTCTTTTATAAAATCTTGAAAAAGGGAGGGTGAAAAGGAATAAAAAAAGTTGAACTGATAACAGAATTCTTATTCGTAATAGGAAAGGACGGAGTGCTGAAAACTCGATTGGAATCTTATTGGTCCTATAGAGGAGTGAAAAAAAAATTAGTGAGCCTACTGGAAGGCTTATAAGTGAACAGGACAAAACTTCATAATTACTCTAAACTATTCATAATAGGTTAAAATCACAGAAAAATTATAGAGCCTTTTTTAAAATCCTGAGAGAGGCTTTAGTGAAACACATGTTCCTATCTCCCTATTGGGTTAAGATAAAGTTAATCTTAAGAGAAAAGTTTATTACTCAAGCAGACCCTGACATCAAAAGAAAACTGCAAAAATGTGTCATAGGTTCAGATAATATTGTTCTTTTAACAATGCACCAAGACATAACAGCCTTTCTTTCATTTGAGATTACACTAAGAGTCTTTTTTTTACATTTAAGAAGATTAAGGACTGTAGACAAAGGAAACTGTTTGGAGCAAAAGTTTAAATAAGTGGCAAAAGCAGCTCTCTGCCAGCAGAGATAGAAGCTTGAATAAGTTGTCCACTGGGGTTTAAGGTTTTTATGGCCTAAAAAATAAAGATATATACTTAGTTTGCAAGCTGTCTTGGAGAATGGGTGACTTAGCTTTGCCCTGGCCCAGGACCTATTAGACAGCTTAGCCCAGGCACTTTGCCTGGGAGCAGTCTGAGGTGGTAATTTGCAAAGACTGCTTAGCTTGGTACAGGACCTAAAGTAAAAGCTTGTTCTGGGATGCTGGCTCAGGACCAATCAGGGACTGAAGTGATGATTCATATGGGTTGAGCAACCAGTGAAATACAAAAATAAATATTTCATCCAATACCCGCTAGATCGCACTGCGTTTATGCCCACAAAAAACAAAACAAAACAAAACAAAAAACAACTTTATTTTCTGAAAGCCCTCTGAGTATACAGAAAACAACAAGCCTATGCCAGGCATTGGTTCCCCATCTGAATCAGTGGGAGGTTTGTACAAGATTTTATCTGAATGGACTGAAGGTTCTGTTATCTGTGCTGTCAGGCACAACCTTCTGTGTTAAATCTCTTACTGGTACACACACGTTTTTTTTTGGTCTGGTTATTATGTTATGTTGGAATCAGGCCCTTACTTGTTTACTGGAGGTCTTCCAGGAACCCATTCCTTGCTGTTTACATGGGAAAAGCTGGCTAAGTTGTCTTTGTCCTCCCTCAGAAATGAAAACTCTAACTTCTCTTAGGAGATTGGGCATTGGTCTTTCTGGATACTTTCTGCTGGAGAAGAGTGTTGTGTAGAAAACAGTATGTAGGATCTACTGAGGGTTGGTTTAAGTGTTTGTAGAAGAAAGGCCTGTTAATGCATGGTTTTATTTGCATTACATTTTAAAGTGTGATAGACTTTAGGCACAAAAAGAAAACCAGTTTGGATTATTAGAAAAAGCATATCACAACTAGACAAGGAGAGTAAGAACAGCTGAAATACTTCAAGGCTGCTGACGTGCCCGTGTAACTGTGGCTACATTTACACCTGTTAAGATTTTGTTACATGAGACTTGGATTTATTTAGCTTTCTTGATTTGATCCTTTGAAACAAAAATTCTGTTACAGAAACCCTATTTTCTTTTATGACCTGCAAATATTTGTGGAATGAGTTCCCAGAATTAGAATATTGTTCTAGATTTATCTGTTACTCATATCTTTCTGTTTTCCAAGAACGGTAGCTGGACCTCACCAGTTGGTTCACAGAAAAAAAAAAAAAAAAAAAGGTTAATTAATATTGTACAAACATCTTAAAAACAACATATGAGATGAGAAGTTAGTGATAGAGGTGTGATAGGCTGTGAGACATCTATCTTTTTTTTAGTCCTAATTTTTGTTAAGAACGAATTATGACAAAAGTTGGTTGTTGGCAAAACAGACTTGTCCTACACTTAGCCAGAATATTTTTGTACAGTGCTGTGGGAAATACCTTTACATGTGCTTTCCTCATGGGCTTTTATGAATCTCTATTCTACAAGGAATCTTAAATAGGACATTATAAAGCTGAGTCCAACTATAGGTTTGACCCTTAGATACATGTTATTTGGATAAACTCCTCTATTTTTTTGAGATTCCAAGTGCATGTGGTTCCTAGGCCTGATAGAAAGTGGCTTTTTTTTTTTTCCTCTTACCGCAGATTAGAAAACCTGTATTGGGACTGTGTAAACAAAGTATAAGGCTGCGTTTCTTAGGGGGCTTTTATTGGTTCTAGAAGTCAGACGTAAGTCATTAAAGAAGGCACACTCTTCCAGTCAAAGCCTTTGGAAATCAACCAGCTTATTCTATTGGGTTATGTTGCAAATGAAAATACATTTTTGTTGCACTGAGTAAAACAATTATATTGTTGTAAGTTAAGAATAATCACACATACTTTCCGAATTTTAGAGGAACTAGGCACAGAGGAAAAAAGCATGTTTCAAGTTTTGCTAACAGGAGTATACCAATTGACAGTGTTAAAAGCTGTAGCTACTTTAAAAGAAAGTGCGCTTGACTTTAAAAAACAAAACAAGAATTAGAAATGTTCTAAAATAAAGATAAAGAGATTGTTTCATTCTTCTGTTAGTTTAGTCTATTTTAACATTTGTCCTGCTTGACATTTATAAGCATTTTAGCTATTCCTAAGTTCTGTACATTTTCCTGTTATAAAAAAACCTACAGTTGAGAACAGCTGGTACAGTTCTACAGCTAATTATAAGTCGTTATTCTTGATGAAGATTAAATGTCTGTAAATGACAAAATGTCTAGTGTGGTTAGAAACAGCATAGGCAAAGACATTTGGTTACTTCCGTGGTTTACAATAGCTTAACATAATAACTTTAAATAAAAATTGTAGCACGTATTCAGATATTAAGAACCTTAAAAACCTCATGTGGTTTTGAGCCCTGTGTTAATGTTACCCACTAAAATATATTCTGAAAAAAATAAAATATTACCATCAAAATCACATGTATTTAAATGTGCTTTATAATCCTGTTTAACTTTTTCTTTTATGCCCCAGGGGCTCTCTGAGGCATCCAAAATATAGGGTTCAGAAAATACATCCTTGAAGTTAAAATTTTATTCTGGGAAGCCTGCCAAATATTTTAGAGGATTAAGACACTTAATGTTATGAAATCCAATTCCAGATTTCCATAAATCATTTGTTTTGCCAAAATACAGTTGGTAGAAATGTTTGAAAGGGCAGAAACACTTTTATCAGCCTTCAATATTACATGATAATCTCTTTCAGAAGGACAAATTTTCCCCTTGTAGTTGTCTCCTAATGTTAACCCTAAGCTTAATGAAACCTTATGTAAAATTATTTTAACCTTAGAAAGTTTGACAAAGAAGTGAGATTTTCACAAACTTATTACAACATTTTAACAAACTTTTACAAATTTGCTAAAGAGAAGATTAATGTTTCAAGAAATTTTTGTTGTGTTTTCACTTCAATGCTTAATGGCAGAAATAAACATAATACCCTTTTCAATCTAGTTAGTAGGTTCACAGGGTTTTCTTTTGCAAGATTAATTTTTTTGCAGTATTTTTCACAATTTGTGTAAACAGCTTTATTTTAGTTAATTAAAGAAAATTCTTTAACTCTAGGCAAAATGTACATTTCCATGCCTTTCTATAATTTATTCTCACTACAAACACATTTTACTCTTCTACCACACCTGGCAATTAAATTTATATACAGTATTCTCAATTACACATTATAGTAATATCTTTTAACAATTAATAACTTGACTATAAAACCTGGTGAGTTTATAAAATTACAGGCTGGGTGCAGGTAAAGTATGATTTATTACAGCATAGTTAAAGGAGTGGTTATTTTTATACATCTTCAGGCCTTTGGTGGCTTTCGTTTTTCATAAGTTAAAGTCACATGAACTGAGAAGTACAACAGCCTTCATTTCTTTGGAAGCAAAATATTTAGCTCAACTACCTATTCTTCACTAAGTTAATTAATTAGATTTTTAAAATATATACATAACACATATGTAAACACAGAGAAAACAGAAGCTCCAGGAGTCATAAAATTTTATTTTACTAATTTTCCAATTGGATTATTGACCTCTTGCTGTGGCCCTTTAAGAAATGGGCTATGAATAGTTTCCAGGGCCTAATAAAAAAAGTCTCACTGATGCTGGGCATGGTGACTCACACCTGTAATCCCAGCACTTTGGGGGGCCCATGTTTGGGGATCAAGAAGTCAAGAGATCATGGCCAAAATGGTGAAACCCCATCTCTACTAAAAATACAGAAATTAGCTGGGCATGTTTGTGTGCACTTTTAGTCTCATCTAATTGGGGGCTAAGGAAAGGAGAGCCGTTTGAACCCAGGAGGCAGAGGTTGCAATGATTCAAGGGTGTACTGCTGCACTCCAGCCTGGTGACAGAGTGAGACCACGCCTCAAAAAAAAAAAAAAAAAAGCAGAGCTGGAAGAGACAGCCTTTCATTTTCAGAGGTATTATTCACTTCTAATTCCAAGAGCCACATAAGAAATGCAGATTTCTCATAAAAGACGGTCGGTGGTGTCTCTTCTGTTAGCCTCAAGATGTCCCTGACCATCAGCTTTTATCCAAGAACCTTTTATGCATTCACCAAAAGTGTCAAGATAGAGTGGAGAAAGGTAACTTAGTCGACTGAAAGAAAAAACATTTTCAAGGAAACAAGGTTTATGAGGAGAAAATCATGAACGTCTTGAATACATGTATAGCATAAATCTCCATTTTTAATTAATCCAATTGCTTTCTAAGAGTGTTTTCATTAATTTAACTTTACAGAGAATATCAAGAGAAGTGTCTATTATTTATTTCACCGGTTTACACCACTATATGTTCACAATCAGGTTCAACAGCTCAACTTTCCCCTGATAGAAAGCTGCTGGATTCAGGCAAGTACAGGCTTTCAAATGGGCTGCAGATCCCTCCAGTAGCAAAGCTTGATATTTAAGGAGGTGACTGTCAGTTCGCAAGAGACTTTTTTAAGGAAACACAGTACTGCTATGCTATGTGGTGTAGAAACAGATATGTCATTTTCATGGTTAACTTGATGGTTTCTGGCACCAACAATATCACTGATGCAGCTGCTCAGTGGTAAGATGCCCATTTTTTTTTTAGAAACCAAGCTAAATTTCTTCCTTAGGTAAACCACTGGATGTTGATCTGGACCTCGAGCCTCATCTGTAATTTCAACGTCTGCTTTCTCTATTTCTGATACATGGAGATTAAGTGCCTTTACTATGAAAAAACTGACGGCTTCTGCTTTAAGTAAGGTTTGTTTAACTGGTTAAATTTTTTTGAGCACTAGGTTATTAAGTTAAACATGAGTTTTATCTGCTTTAGTTTCTTCTATGAGGTGGTATAAAAGACGAGCTAATTCTCTGTACTGAGGTACCTGCCATCTGAAAAATCAAGTACTGCCCAAGAATATTCTTAACTGTTAAGAAAAATGGGCTGAATTGTTTCATGACCTTGTACATTGGTCTCTTCTGATAAGACCAGATCCAGCTACTGTACTGAAGTCTGAGAGAGCTGAGCTTTAGATGTTGAGACCCAATAGTCTTTTTATTTTTAATTTTTGTCAGATAGTTTAGCAGAGCATTAGCGCATTCCCAGGAAGCCCATCACAATCTTGCTATTATTGTTATCTCACCAGTACACAAACACATAACAGTCTCTACTTATCTAAGGTAATACTGGGGGTTTCTTTTCTATGTCTTAGGAGAATAAAGATAGCAGACACATTTTAAGAAGGCTAAAGAGCACTAAGGTTGAAGAGAAAGTTTAGTAAGTGAAATAAAAAAGCTCGATGCCAGCAGTGATGTGGTCAAAATGGGTTAACCAATGTGAAACTTGGATTTAGGGTTTCTGTGTGTTGTGAATGGTAAGAAATGCACTTCGTCTGTGGGCTGTCTTAAAAAATGTGTGACGTAGTTCGACCTGGGGCCTTAGATCCCAGCCCAATCAGAAAGCTTAGCCTGAGACCTTGGCCCAGTACTTAGTGGCTAAAGTGAATATTCATAGGGGATACTCAGTTTAGACAACCTTTCAGAAGCTGAAGTGAACCTGTGGCCTAGGATTTTATCCAGAACTAATCTGAGGCTGAAGTAACGATTCACAGAGGTGGGGGTCACAATCCAAGAAGAAAAGAAAATTGTTCCCTGGAAGGCACTTGCTCCCACTCTCCCACTCTCTTTATGTTCACCAAAGGAAAAGAAATATTTCTGGATGTCCACTGATTATAAAATGGACAAATGCATTTCTATTTCAGGCCTTGTTTTCACATTTGAGTAATCTTGAAGTTTCTGCAAGTTTCTGAGTGAGCTGGAGGTTCTTTTATTTGTGCAACTGCAGTCATGTCTTCAGACACAACTTTCTGTTCTAGTTCATTTATTGGTGCCTGCTGCTTGAATGTTTCTTTCCAGACTGATTTGTATCTTATGTGGAAATGAAGCACTGATCAGTGGGCTGAGAAATTTCTGGAGACACTTCTCTTTCTGTCTATAGAAGGCAAGCTAGCTAACTCTCTTCACTATTGGAGGAGGAGAACCCTGGATTGGAGAGAAGAAGAGAGAAACAGGCTCTAGAATTTAGAAAAATGTTGTTGTTGTTGTTGTTGTTGTTGTTGTTGTTGTTGTTGTTTAATTTCCATTTTACCTCCAGAATTACTTGAATCCTGTAGATCACAATGGCTTGTAGAGCTGGGGAGCCATTATTCCTGCTGAACAATCTGGGAAATACACACTGGACCTGGTGACCTATGGCTCTGGGAACACTTCTACTTTCACTGGTCTCCCCCACAGGCTGGACAAAGTTGAGATATATTCTTTTTCTGCCTGAGCAATTCATTTGAAAGTGTCCTAGCTTGTCACACTAGTAGAAATCAGCAGGTGCCTCTTGGAGATTCCGGCTCTTGTAGGCCTGTGAAGAGGCCAGTAATGCCTCTTTCATTCTCTTGCGACTCCCCTCTTCTTTCTAGGTCTCCTCTCCCCAGTTCTTGTTTTAAAAGATAAAAGCCACCCCAGAAAGTCTTTCAAAGTGCTATCTGATCCCACAGCCTGCTTCTGTAGTTTTGTTCTGATATTAGAGGATGGCTGAGAAATAAAGTAATATTTTAAAATTGTGTATCCCTTAATTGAATTAGGAGATGGAGACACATGTATTGCTAAAGCTTCTCTCAGCCATTCCAAAGAATCTGTGAGTTTTTTTCTAGTTTGTGATTTCAACAAGAACAGTTCAGAGTAATTAAGAAGTCTTGTTCTGGTTCTTTCGAAGCCTGATAATATGCACAGTAGAAAGTGTTTTTCATTTCTATTCATCTGTAGGTTTACCAAGGCTTCATTTGGGGTTTTCAAACAGCACTGTTTTCCTTTCTATTGGAAATAGTAATTCTGTCTTCTTTACTCATCCATTTTCATCTTTCGCTTCTGTTTATTTTTTGACTGACTATAGGATGTCAGTTGTTCATCTTCAAATTCCTTTGCTGTCTGTACTGCTGCCTGTTTTTCCGCAGTAGTTGAAATGTGGCTTAAAAGTTGCACTGCATTTCTGCACATAAGAGGAAACAGCTGATTTAAATGTTGGAAAGCCTGTGCATGTCTATCAGGTTCATCAGGGAACTGTCTTAAGTCCAGCTTTATGTATATAAGTTTACTGTAATGAGAAGGAAATTTAAACCTTAGTAGCACCATATTCATTGTGCATTTGTTATAGGGGCACCAGTGAAGTTGGAAGTTTCCTGGGCTTGCACAACAAGAGGTGTTTTTATACAACTATTCTGAGTCCCAGTTAAAGGAGTCAGATAGGGCACTCAGAAATTGCATTTGACAGTTCTCTAGAGATTTCTCTCTTTGACTTTGGAAAATTATGTATTGTAGACTTACCTTGTATGGTTCCCAAAGGCACAGGGGTAATTTTACAATGTTTACAAAATCTAGGGTTTTTTTGAAGAGCAAAAGGACCTAGCTGTTAGATATTATTGAAATTATGCTTCTTTGGGAAGGCCTGTCCTCCTGTCAGGAACATGGCCACATGGCCACCTTGTTGCTAGTTGAATATCATTATTATTGTTTATAAATTTAGAGACTCAAGGTCAATGGAGTCCCAGTGCTTCCAAGTGCACTCAAGGGGAGTGCAGTCTACAGATGTTTTGTTGCCATCTAGAGACAGAGGGTAAACAAGGTGTCATTCAGATGACTTCCTCCTTTTGGTGTTACCCAGGATAAATAGAAAGTGTTACAGTATCCTTTTTCATCTTTTTCCTTTGTCTCATCTGTGCCCCCAAAACTGTAATAGGTGCTGCTCAGAAATGCAAGCATAGCTTTTACACCTATATCTGGAGGAGCTAGTCAGAAGCACTAGCCACACTCACCTGTGCAAAGCTGTAGCTTTCTGCCCTCCTTTTGTCCTAGACCCACTGAACCCCAAAGGCTTGAAAGTTACCCCAGAGGCCTTGCAAATGTTATGTAGTAGTAAAATTTGTTCTAGACATTTTAATAGAGGAAATGTCTTCATACTAACTTTGGCTTTGGTAACTATGTTCCCAGTGAAACATCAGAATCTCAGAGAATGAGACAGATTGACTTTCAAACATTTTAAATCCAATATTATTGCAATGCAGAACAGGTGGCTTAAAACTGTAGAAACTGAATGGCTGAATGGCCCTTCATTAGATGGTGAAAGCAAAGAGGCTAAAATCTGCTCTTTAACATTGTTTTTCTCCCAATAATTAATAGTGGAGGCTGCCTGTTTAAAGATAGGATATGTGGGCTAATCACTGATGGCAGAATGTAAATGGGGAAAGAATTTCAAAGCTGTAAGTTTTGGACAATGGATTCACAAGGCTCCAGGTAGAAAAGAAATCTTATTTCACTAGGGAGTGATGTAAGGTTAGAAAGGCTAGGTTAAAATTTCTGACACAAAATTCTCTTTATTCAAAAGTTAGAAAGAGAGATTTTGGGTTAGATAGGTTGTCTCCACTAAATGCCCCCCAACAGGCAAAAATTAACTTGTCTCTTGTAACTTTTATGTGAAGGAAAATAATATCTTTGTAAAAAATTCCACATAAAGGAAAGAGTATTTACTTGCAGTCAAATCCCTCCCATACAGTGCCACGATTATCTGTTAGTGAGGGACAAAAAGGCCCTTTTATAGGTAACAATTTATAGTGAAATCTTGAATTCCCCTTGTTTCACAGAAATCACAAAAACAAACCTTTTTAAATTACACTACTAATTACTGAGACAAGGAGTAACTGTGTTAAGCAAACCTGTATACCTAGTATACCGAGGCTGTAAAAATGCCCACAACGCTGCATAGAAAAAAATATGAAAGACATTATAGCTGTGAAAAGAAAAATTTTAAATTCAATAGATAAAAATGCGAAGTCCTTGTGTTAATGGCCTGATGAGTTGTCACAGACCAGAATTAGTCTAACGATAATCAGATAACACTGAGATGTAGCCTCAAGCTGAAACTTTTAGTGTCCCTGGGATCTCCTCTAGATCTCATGTGACTGCCAGGCTCTTTATGAAAAAAGTCTTGAAATAAACAAGACATTTTTGAAATGAATTTGGAAGTTTAAAGTCTATTTTTACCATTCTGATGAATTGTTTCCTTCACAGCCCATGCAGAAACATACGTATAGTCTCACCAATGCACCAATATATGTTGCAGTCTCACCAATGCACCAAGATGTAAGAGTATCCCTTTGTCTGTAATTATACCCAAAGATCTTTCCTTTAATAAAAAAAAAAGAAGCTGAGAAACAAAGTTGAGATTAAAGAAAAAAAAGCACAAGAAGAAAGCTCTCTGCCAATCAAAAGAAGGACTCAAATGTGTTTCCCACTATGAGGTTGGGGTTCAGGGTTATTACAAACTAGCAAGAGAAAGAAGTGTTTTTAGTCAATGGGCTGCTTTGAAGACCATGCAATTTAACTTGGCTCAGGGTCTTGGCCTGAGAATAATTCAAAAGCTTAACCCAAGAAATCTGCCTAGAAATAACCAGGAGGTGTAGTCATAATTTATAGCTGCTGCTCAGCTCATCCCATGACCTATCAGGAGCTGACGTAAAAGCTTGGCTCAAAAATTTGGCCCAGGCTTAATCAGGAACTAAAACAGTAATTTATAAAGGCTGGGCTCACAGTCCAAAAGGAAACAAATGTGCCAACCAGAAGCCACCAGGACCCACTGTGTTTATGCCAAAAAAAATGGACAAGAAACTACTTCCTGGGAGCCAACCGATTATACAAATACAAGGGTATTTTTGAGCCATGGCTGGTTCTCTTATCACAATGAGCCAGAGTTTGCACAAGACTTTTCTCTGAATGGACTGAAGATTCTTCTGTCTGTGACAATACGGATCTTGAGATACAACCCTCTGTGTTAGTTATCTTGTTGGTGTCTGCAGACTGATTTTTTTTAAGGCTGCTTATGTGTTACGTGTAAATGAGAAATGAACCTGCAGAACAGTGGTTTTCCAGGGACACTTTCCTTGCTGCCTCCCTAACTCAAGCTAGCTTTCTTATCTCAGTAACACTGTAAAGAGCCTCCTGAATGTGGGTACTTCAGATTTTACAATAGGAAACATGAGGAGGCACAAAAGAAGAAGAGTAAAGACAAAAGAAGAACAGAGACTCTAGCTAATGCAATACAGTTTTGTAAAAATCCAAGTCCCTGAGTGGCACCTGCTAACTGTTATCAGTGTGGCAAGACAGGACACTTTCCCAAGAAATGCTGAGAAAACAATAGAAAGCCACCTCAACACTCTCCAACCAGTGGTGGTGACCACTGAAGGGTGTGCTGATTAATGAGGCATGCACCACTAAGTCCAGGACCAGTCTCACAAATGGTCCAGCAAGACTGAGAGTTCCTGGAGATCAATTCCCCAGCTCTAACAGCTGCCATAGTCTTCGGGTTCCAAACTCTTCAAAATCCTTGGGTGATTCTGAAGGTGGAAGGGAGGAAAGTAGACTTCCTTCTCAAAACTGGAGTGGGTGTCTTTGTTCTGCTTTTCAATCTAGGCTTTCTCTCCTCCCATAATGTGACAATGATGGATGTGTCAGCAAAAGTCCTTTATGGAATATTTTCTCAGCCCATTAGTTATAGTTGAAACGACCTTCTATTTAGCCATACCAATTTAATAATTCCTGAAAGTCCCACTTTATTACTAGGTAGAGATATTTTGGCCTATATAGAAGCCTCCATATGAATGGCTGCAGGATAAACTCTTTGTCTCCACTAAGTGGAAACTAATATTAACTAAGAAGCATGGGATGTCCAGAGAAATGTTGCTGGGCTACAACCACTGTATGTATCTGTATTTACATTAAGGATTGCACTATTTTTTTTTCTGACCAGAGGCATTATTTCCCAAACCAGAAGGTAGAAAAGGGCTAGAAGTCATTATAAATAAGCTATAAAACAAAGGCCATTTTAGACCCTGCAACAGTCTTTACAAAACCCCAAATATCAAAGAAGGTCATTTTTTAACATGCCCAGAAATCCCATTTGCTTGGACCTGAAGAAGGAAAAAGTTTAACCAACTCATAGGTATTAGGGAACCAACCCCCGATATTTCAACCTCAGTTCTTTTCTATTTTCCATAAGTGTCAGCCAGTCTGAGAAATAAAAGGATAGGTTAGAAAAAAAAGAAAGAAATTTTAAAGCGGTGTGTCTGGCAGAGACATTACATGTCAGCAGGTTCCGTGATGCCCCCTAAGCCAAAAACCAGCAAGTTTTATTAGCAATTTTCAAAGGGGAGGGAGTGTACAAATAGGGTGTGGGAGACAGAGAGCACATGCTTCAGAGGGCAATGAAAGATCACAAGGCAGAAAGGTCACAGCAAAATCACAACATCAGGGTGAACCTAGAATTGCTAATGAAGTTCCATGTCCTGCTGTGCATGCATTGTCATGATAAACATCTTAACAGGGTTCCAGAGCAGAGAACTGATCTTGCTAGAATTCTCCAGGCTGGAATTTCCTAATCCTAGCAATCCTGGGGTTGCTGCAGGAGGCCAGGGTGTGTTTCATCCCTTACCTGCAACTGCATAAGGCAGACACCCCTAGAGCGGCCATTTTAGAGGCCTCCTCCTGGGAATGCATTCTTTTACCAGGGCTGTTAATTACTAATATTCCTTACTGGGGAAAGAATTCAGTGATATTTATCTTACCTGTTTTTGGCAGTAAGACAAATATGGTTCTGTCCTGCCCAGCTCCCAATCAGTCAGACCTAATGGTTATCTCCAATGTTCCCTGAACATCACTGTTATCCTGTTCCTTTTTCAAAGTGCCCAGATTTCATATTGTTCAAACATACATGCTTTACAAACAATTTGTGCAGTTAACACAATCATCACAGGGTCCTGAGGTGACATACATCCTCAGCTTACGAAGATGATCGGATTAAGAGATCAAAGTAAAGACAGGCATAGGAAATTATGAGAGTATTAATCTGGGGAACTAGTGAATGTCCATGAAATCCTCACAATTTATGTTCTTCTACCACAGCTTCAGCAGGTCCCTCTGCTTGGGGTCCCTAATTTCCTGCAACACATCAGTATTTGGAAGTAAAACCCATGGTTGTGCTTGGTTTTAAGAGGTTTTATCAGAGGTTCCTCATGAAGAAAAGTTTCATCAAAACCAGTGTACAAAGCCTATTTAAGAGCAATTATTTGGCCCACAGTTTATGCCAATAGTTATTTTAACTATTAAATTATAGACCATTTTGCTGTCAACCCAGGCCTATTATATTTGTTTTTTACAGAAATGAACAAGGAAAATAGAAAAATTTGCTTCAAATCTTACATTGGCCATTGTCTTCTAGTCTCATTAGTTGTCTTTAGAATTTGCCTGTAGTTTAAACTAGCCCTGTTAATTTCTGTGAGCCAGTCAGAAATCTCCAGCTACAGCTAAGTAGAAAACATAAAAAAGGTTAACATTTTAAAGTATGTAACAATATTTTCTTCTGGGCAATTTATTCTACAAATCGTGCCAGGTCATGAAAGTATAGTGTGGACTCATAGTTAAGGGGTGTTTGTCTTTGTGGGGATAAGACTAAGGACGCTAAGCAAAGCCAAGCCCTATACATCTACAATTCTCTGGCATAATTATAGCCCTCAGTTTTCGGGGCATGTCAGCAGCCTCAGAATTTTTAAGCTGTTTATTGCCTCAGCTCATCTCATTTAAAAACACATATTTTTATAACCCAATTTTTTTCTTCTTACATAGAGGAAATCAAATTCCAAATGGTACTGGAAATGAAACCACTTATGAAAACACCGTGTTTCTGTGAAACCTTATCCTGACCTCAGGCAGAGCTCCAGCTGTTGCGTTTCATTGCACAACCCCTCTCCCTAGCAGGAGGTAGCTAGAAAGATCAATTCTGTCTAACAGCAGTTAGGTAGTAGGGTTGGTCTCTCCCTAACAGCAGAGAAAAGTTAGATAGTTGGGGGGGGCCCTTGGTATAACTTCTAGGAACAAAGATCCAGCTTACTGAAAAATAGGCTACAGACACATATTAGTAAACTCACACAAACCTTCAGCCCACTCACATGAAGAAACGCAGTCCAACATAGACAGAACTTTGTTCTTTGTGCACAAATATATGCTCACAAAGAGACTGATTGAAAAACAAGAACAACAAGAAAACACCCTTGTCTTTTGTATAAGCAATGGACTTCCAAAATTAGTGGCTTTTTTTTCGGTGAGGAAAGTACACGGTGGGCGACAATAAATTTTAGTGGGCACTTTTCTGGACATGCTTTGGAATATAACCTGAAGTGGTATGAATCATCACATCAGCCTCTGATTAGTCATGGGTAGAGGTCGTGAGCCAAGCTTTCACATCAGCACTTGTTTTGTCCCAAGCAAAAGTCCAAAGCCAAGCTGAGTAATGCTTTTTCCGAGATCAATCATCACATTCTTCCATCTCCCAGTACATGAGGACCCCAAACACCAGGGTGACACTGGACAACCAAATTGGGTTTCCACCGTGGAGAGCCATTTTAATTTCCTTCTTAAACTTCAGTGCTAACTTCACTTTGTGTGCACGTTCCTCAAGTTTTTGGACCCCAGATAAATAACTCTTTGTGATGTCACACAGTGAGAATTTGCTACATGTGGTGAATTGGTGAGACTACAATTGAAGCCTGAATTGAGCCCTGGGATGCATAAGTCTTACTTGATTATATAAAATCGGGCCCTGTAATGCAAACTATGTCTCTGCAGGCATTCCACCTTCCAGTGGTCGCCACCACTGGCTGGACAGAGTTGAGGAGGCATTGTTTTCTTTTCTCTGCTGTTCTTCCTGAAGAGTCCTGGAGCTTGCCAAACTTTCAGCAGTTAGAAGGTCCAGCTCAAAACTCCTGGATTTTGTAGACCTGTAATTCCGTCACTAATGCCTCTGTCTATCTCTTGCTTTTTCTGCCTTTCCTGTGCCTCTTTGTGGGCCCTGCTGTAAAAGACCAAGAATGCCACCCACAATTTTTCTACTGTGGTATCTGGGACCATAGTCTGCTTTTGTAGTTATCTTCTGATTTAAAGTTTGAGTAATAAACTTGCCTAACAAGATTACCTGTATTTTATTTAAACCAGGAGATAGAGAAGATTGTTTCAAAAAATCCACAGAATCCTCTCTCAGCCTTTCATTAAGGCTGAAATATTTTGATTTGGTTTTTATTTCAATATGGCCAGTTTTGATTAATTAAGAGCTTTGATTCCAGTTTCTTGGAAGCTTTTTAACACACACATTAGAAACTCTTTTTGTTTCCACTCATCCATAAAATCAGTAGGCCTTTAGTTATGTTTTTTAAGGGGCAATGTCTCCCTTCTTATTGGAAATGGGGCTTCTGTCTCTTTTCCCCTCATTTTTTTTTTGGTCCGGTTTTCTTCTTTGCCTGGCTATATTAAACATGCTATTTGTCTCTGAAACTCTCTGTTGCCTGTGCGGCTTCCTGTTGCTCAGCAGTACTTAACATTTGGCTTAGGAATGACATAACATGTTGCCATGTAAAACCAAACACTTGGGTAACATTTTGGAAAGCCTGTCTGTATTCATCAGAGTTATCAGAATACTTTTCTAGGTCCCAATCTATCTGTTTGAAGTCTTATAATAAAAAGAGAACCAGTAATTTAGATGCACCGTGTTTATTGGGCATTTTCTTTAGGGGTAACAATTTAATGGAGGGTTGCTTGGGAGAAATGAAGAAGAAAAGGATGATAAAGTGACTAGAGGAGTCTGTGGATGGGGGACACAGGAGAAGCTGGAACATCTGGAAGTTTCTTCTGAGGGTTTCCTGGAGGTTTGTTTCTCTGACTTTTGAGAATTGTTCACTATAGACAAGTCTGATATGCTAAGAAGGCATGGTCAACATTACAATGTTTACAAATATCTGGGTTGTTTGCAGGACAAAGAAAATACCTCAGATAATTTACCTTCCCACTTAGAGAAAATATCTAGATGTTGGATAGAATTGAGAGAGAAAATTTAGGTACATAGGATGGATTCTTGCTAAAACTACTTTGAACAAAGAAACAGGCTAAAATACCAGGCTGCAGGCAGATTTTTAAAAAAACCTGAACAAACCTGCAGCCCACTCATATAAAGGAACAAAGCCTAACAAACAAATATTTTTTGCACTTTTTTGTTACCTAAAACATGCCAACAGATAATCTGATAAAAGAAGAATATTCTGCATAAAAATATTTTTCTTCTTAAATAATGCACATACTTCCAGAAAATAGTTTCTATTCCTTTTACACAGGGAGCTTCAGTGTGCTTCAGTGAGCACTTTTCTTCTTCTTCTTCTTCTTCTTCTTCTTCTTCTTCTTCTTCTTCTTCTTCTTCTTCTTCTTCTTCCTCTTCCTCTTCTTCTTCTTCTTCTTCTTCTTCTTCTTCTTCTTCTTCTTCTTCTTCTTCTTCTTCTTCTTCTTCTTCTTCTGCTTCTTCTTCTTCTTCTTCTTCTTCTTTTTTCTGGATATGCTTTCTACTGTGAGCTGAGCCACTATAAATTTTTACTTCAGCTACTTTTCAGTCCTGGGTCAAGTTTCTGAGTCAAGCCAACTAGTACTTTTTCAAGACTAGTGAGCACACTCTTTTCTTAATTCATAAAAACATCAGAACCTGCCGTATAGTGAGAAACACATCTGTCTCCTATCTGTGCTGTGAACAGTCATTTTTTCCCTGTTAAGTAATCAATCTGACTTCATTACAGTGAAGGAAAAAGAAAGCCTGATGATACTTCAAAGTAGCAGACTGATATGTATAGTGGCATGCCCACATGTGCAAAAGTGTGCATCGGAACACACTGAAAACCACTGGGTAAAAGAAATAGAGACTATTTTCTGGAAGAGAAGCATTTTTATGCATACTATTCTTCTTTTATCAGATTATCTGTAGGCATGTTTTAGGCCAAAAAAAGTAATTACAAAAGAGTTTATTTATAAGGCTATGTTCCTTTATATGAGTGGACTGCAGGTTTGTGCAGGATTTTTTTTTTAATCTGCATGAAGCCTGGTATTTCAGTCTGTCTCTTTGCTTAAAGTAGTTGTAGCAAGAATCCATCCTATCTACTTAACTTTTTTCTCTCAATACTATCCAACATCTAGATATTTTCTGCAATTGAGAAGGCAAATTGTCTGAGGTGCCATATATGTCAGATTTCTTTGTCCCGCAAACAACCCAGATGTTTGTAAACATTGTAATGTTGACCATGCCTACTTAGCACATCAGACTTGTCTATAGTGAACAATTCTAAAACATCAGAGAAACAAATCCCCAGGCAACCCTCAGAAGAAACTTCGAGATGTTCCACCTTTTCTTGTGTCCCCCGACAAGGGACTCCTGTAGTCACTTTATCATCCTCAGATTCTTCAATTCTCCCAACCAACCTTCCATTAAACCACTAACCCTAAAGAAAATGACCAAAAAACATGTTGCCTCTAAATTCCTGATTCTCTTTTTATTACAAGACTTAAAACAGATAGATTGGGACCTAGAAAAGTATTATGATACCCGGATGAATAGAGAGAGGCTTTCCAAAATCGTTCCCGAATTTTGATTTTGCATGCTCACATGTTATGTCACTCCTAAGGCAAATCTTAAGTACTGCTGAGCAACAGGAAGCCACACAGGGAACAGAGAGATTCAGAGACAAATAGCAGGTTTAACATAGCCAGGCAAAGAAGAAAACCAGTCCAAAAAAAAAAGTGGAAGACAAACCAAAGCCCCATTTTCAATTTATATATATTTGCTACATGTTCTGAGAAAGCAATATATTAGAATACTCAGTAGGAGTATAGGAGCACTTCTTCAAATTCTTTGCTTTACTTTTATTTCTGAGGATTTTGTCCTAAGTTTATTTTTCCTTTTTGTACTCAAGAGCAAACAACACTGAGCCAGTGTCAGCCAGTTCAAATCAAAAGGATGACTTCCAGCCTTATAAGACTCAGGTGACAGGCCAGATAGAGAGAACTTTGACAATCCCCCAACATCCTCAGTTGATGAAAACTTTGGCTCTGTTCCAACTCACTTTCCTTCACAAAGCAGCTTATGCATGCAGAGACTTACAATCGGTCTTGAGACAATTGAAAGTTTCTGGCCAAGGCTACAGCTCAGTGTTATCTAAAGCCTTCTGAACTAAGGCCAGTCAATGACAGTCCATCAGGGTGATGGCACCAGGAATTCCAGAATTTTCTATTTTATTTTCTTGCCTTTCCGTTTATGGCAATCATGTCTCTTATTTTCTTCTTTTTATGCAATGTTGCAACCAGGAAATATATTCTTATTGGGTGAATTCAGTTGGTGATTTAGTAATCAGGAATATTATTCAAATATTGCTGTTTTGGTGGTGTCTTGGAAACAAACGAAATTCGAGTTTTTAGTCTAACTTTTAACTTGGTAAAAACCTTTTTGGGAACCAGCGATAGACATTTAGAACACTGTAAAAGAAGTTTTCTTACCCCGAGGGAATACTTTCTTCTGCATTTTTTCTTCTCCTTTTTCACTGTCCTATTAATCTAAGAGGCATAGTGTAGGGAACGTTTATCAAGCCCTAACCCTTCTTTTCTAACTTTTGACAGAAAAGTGTTTGTAATCAGAGTTTTCATCTAATATTTCAGATCCTACATTGCCACTTGTTAAGATAGGATTTTTCTCTATATAGAATCTTGTCAGCCCTTTGCCTAAAATGTCTGGTTTCCAACTTTCTCCCCCTGCAATGTCTCAATGACAATTATAAGACTCTATGTCCCATCTCTAAGCAGAAAATCTCCACTTTCAACAGTCAAAAAGAAGCTGCCCTTGACAAATTACAACCTCATTGCTGATGTTTTTATAAAAGAAGGAAAGGAATGGAATCTTTTTTTTTTTTATTTTTTGAGGCAACCGTTCTGCATCCAGCTACATTAATATCTAAATAAGAAGAGAATGTTAAGTTTCAAAGTCAATCCGTCTTATTTATGAGGATGTCAATGTTTTGCTAGGACCATAGTATGGGAAAACAGGGATAATATAAAGACTCAAACTCTATTAAAGACTGTTGCTTCACTGTAACTACCGCATAATCTTTCTTAGGCTTCCCCCACGTACCTGGAACTTTTTGGGTTGAATGGACTTAGGAGACAAAGACGGAATTTTACATATATATATATATATATATATATACATATACACACACATACATGTAATTAGGAATTACACATATACACTCATATACACACATATACATACACACACATATATGTCTATATATGTATGTGTATGTAATATACACACATATGTGTGTATGTGTATATATACACACATATATAGACAGAGCATACATATATACTTATATATACACACACTTATATATGTGTGTGAATGTTTGTATATATATGCACATGTGTAATATATACGCATACATATGTGTGTGTATGTGTATATGTATATACATGCGTATACACGTACCATCTATATACACATACCAGAGTGTATAGATATACATACATAAAGTCTGGGTATTACATATATGTTATTACATACAGATATACACACACATACGTATGTGTGTGTATGTGTATATGTGTATATACACACAACTATATATATATACACACATATACATATATGTGTATGTATACACACAAACTTATATGTATATATATACACACATATACATATGAATGTGTGTACATATATATGAATGTAATACAAACACATATAATACCCAGTTTATGTATGTATACCTATACACGCTGGTATGTGTACATAGATGTATGTATATATACACATATCATATATGTTTATGTGTATATAGATGTATGTATATATACACATATCATATATGTGTATGTGTATATAGATGTGTATGTACATACACACACAGACAATTTAAAATATTAAGTAGCATGAACACAAGTGTAAAGTTTCAGCAAAATTTTAGTATATAAAAACAGACCATTTTGCCTGCAAATTTCTACGTGATCTGAGAGCTATTAATGCACAGATTAAACCAATAGGTGCATTACAGCAAGGTCTGCCATTACTGGCAGCCATTCCAAGTGACTCACCTCTCATAGTAGTAGATCCTAAAGATTATTTCCTTACTACACCCTTACATGAGAAGGATAAGCGAAGTTTTGCCCCAAAGCATGCTCATCGGTCCTACGCTATTTCAGCGTTTTGTAGGACAGTCCTTAAAGGAGCCTCATAATATATTTCCTACTGCCTACATCATTCATTATATGGATGAAATCCTTTTTGCTGCTCCAATGGAAGAGTGATTACACCAAATATTGAGAGAAGCAAAACAGGGGGACATCTCAAAATAGTTCAACAAATGGTAGAAACAACCTCCCCATACCAATACTTAGGCACTATTGTTACTGAAACAAATGTTAGACCTCAGAAAGTAGTCCTCTGTAGGGACAGATCACAAACCTTCAGTGATTTCCAACAACTATTAGGAGACATAAATTGGCTGTGCCCAATCCTAGGCATTGCTACTCATCAATTCAAACACTCAGATCATCCATGGAGATTCTTCACTAGGAGTAATGGGCTTAGGAGACAAACGCGTTGCTCCAGCAACTTACTAAGGAGGCTGAAGTTGAGTTACACCTTGTAGTGCAGATTCTTCAGTAAACACATGCCTCCCAGCCACAGCCACAAAAGCCTTTGGTTCTCTTTGTTCTTTCTATCCCCCATTCTCCAAAAGGACTTTTACGACAGATCATAGAAAAATATGCAATTGTGATAGAATGGCTTTCTTTTGAAATTCAATCAGATAGTAAAATCTCTGCAAGTTTATCTTTCTTTAACTACTCAATTTATAACAAGGGGTAGGGTTAGATCAAAAATGCTTAAGAGATATGATCCAGACAAAATTACTGTTCTCCTTTTAGAGCCAGTCTAAAAGTATGAGGAAAAATATTGGATTCCCAACAATAGTTGCATCATGGGAATTGTTGACTGTGTGTCAAATTGCTCTTTCAGATTATGTAGGAATAATACATAAACTTTATCCATCAGACAAAATTTTGAAATTTTAAAAATTCAACCTTTCATCTTCCCTGTGATTCCTCATCACAAGCCCATTTCAGGCAGCCAGACCTATTTTACTGATGGCTCTTCCAAAGGTCACAAAGCTACTTATAGTACTAACCATGCTCCTACAATAAAAAAAACCCAGAGTTTCAGCTCAACGCTCAGAACTAATGGAACTTAATCAGGTTTTAGAGCTCACTGGTTCATCTCTTATTAACACTCTCTATGATTCAGCCTATGTTGTAAATGTAGCTGGTCATATTGGGACTGCCACTATTAAAAGCACCCTAGCACCAGAGATGTTTAACTTGTTTCTAAGGCTTTAACAAGCTGTTTGCTCTCATGCTCCTTTTTATATCTCTCATATCTGCTCTCCCACACAACTCCCTACACCACTATTTCTAGGTAATAATAGAGCCAATAAATTGATTTGTTCTGCATTTCAGCAAGCTCAACTTTCTCCTATATTACTGCATCAAAACTCTGTCTTTACTCGTATGTTTCATTTGCCTAACAGCCAGGCTGCAGCCTGTACAAGCCCGTCCTACTTGCCAGCATGTCACTGGAGTCACACCCATAGAAGGCTGTAACCCATGAGACTTAGCTTCAAATGAAATCTGACAGATGGATGTTACTCACAAAGCTGTCATTGGCAAGCTCGCCTTTGTTCATGGGACTATAGACACTTATTCTCACATGCGGCATGCTACATGTAAACCAGGTCAAACAGCTGGTTATTTACAATGACATTGTCTGTCATCATGTGCTCATATGGGGGTTCCTAGGCAATTAAAAACTGACAATGGACACGCTTATGTTAGTCATGCTTTTTAAAATTTATTACAGCTATGTTCAATCACTCATAAAACAGGAATTCCTTACAATCCCCAAGGCAAGGAATTATAGAGCAGGCAAATTGAACAGTACAACGCGTGCTGAAAAAAACAGAAAGGGGAAACAGGAGACCAGTTACCACCTCAAACAAAATACATTTACTTTTACTTTAATTTTTTTTTTCACTTCGTTTAAATTTTTTGTCTCCTGGTACAGATAGTAAGACTATGGCAGAATGACACTGGTAAATGTTATAGGGAAAAAGGAAAGTATACCCAAAGATATTATGAAAATCCCCCCAAGGACGATGGAATGGCTCAGTAGATTTACTGATGTAAGGACGAAGGTATGCTTGTGTTTTCACAGAAGATGGATAAACTGTGTGGGTGCCCTCAATGTGTTTGCGACCATGTAAAGGGAGAGTGGAAAGAGCCATGGTTCCCAACTATGGATCCGGCTCCTCCGTTACAAGCCATGAGTCAGTTGAAACTGCTGGAGCACCAGGGTCAGGCAAACAACCCTGACCTCACGTTTATGGCCATGCTACCTGTAACATCCTGGCCAGTAGGTTTTCCTTGTGCAGAGACAAAAACATATTGGGCATATATTTCCAATCCCCCAGTATTATGGAGTGTAATATGGAGTGACACTCCCCCTGATATCTATCATGATCATGGAGGATGGGCACCAGGACCCCAAACACCCCCTGACAAACAGTAATTAGACTCTCAGAACAATGATTATCAATTATGCTGTGCCATTGGAGGGACTTCCTTTATGCATCACCCAGGGTACATCACTCAACTGCAGTGGCCTTGCAAATTAATCCCAAGTACGGTTAAGTTACCATGGAAAAATTATGTACCTATTAGGCCTTAGCTTTATTAACATTACTGGTGTAGATAATAACCACTCACAGCCCCATCCCCAAAATTCTATTAATTATACAGAATGGGCTCCCTTTGATAATTCCTACCCCCCTCATTGGACCCAGTGTCTTGGCACCCTAGCTAGAGAACAACAGTTCATGCTAATGGGAGACATTATTTTCTGGGTCCCTGTGGTCACTTAGATGGGAGAGATGAGACTCCGACCTCATGTCATAAACTTCGCTGACACTGGTTAGCATCTCTTCACTACATTGCACTGGGATTCAATCCCAATCTGCAGCAAGTTTCGCTTGGCCTGGAACAGGCTTTAGCTCAACTTTGCCTCAATGACATTATCAAGGAAAGAAACGTACAATTCAAGAGTCGATAGGGAAGGCAGCACTCCACTATATGAATGGCAGCATTTGTGTTCGAACACTATCTAATTATAGTAATTGTGCTGAATGCAGTTGCAATGTTACCTTTGTAGAAAATATTACCACTCAATTTACATTTTGTGTTTTTAAACTTATGTTTTTCTAGCAGCAAAATGGACTAACTCCAGTTAAACGATGCCCAATTGACTTGTGATTCTTGTCAACTGTATTATTCCCTTAACCATAGCACAGTACAAACATATAGCATATCCACCCTAGTAATTTTAGGTTGCAATCCCAGATTATGGATTCCTGTAAATCTGCCTGAGCCTTGGGTGGCCACTTCTGGTTTCCATTTTGTAAATCTTTTTCTTACTCAGCTTACTCATTGTGCTTGTAGAGCCTTAGGCATGAAAATAATTGTGAAAGTCTCCTTAGGAACACTAATAATTTCTGTTGTGGCATCCTTAGTAGCAATGTAGAGCTCCATTCAGACAGCTCAATATGTAGAAAATTGGATGTGTACAGCCGACCGGGCATGGATGCTTAAAAATAAACTTAACACTGAGATACACACAGAAGCAACAATGTTAAAGACTACAGTTCTGAGGATAGGAAAAGAAGAACAAACTTGTAGTTGCAGCAGCAATTGCATTGTCATTTTAAGCATACTCATATTTGTGTAACTAATTTGGAATAAAACCAAAGTGAATATCCATAGAAACCTGTAAAGGTCCATTTACATGGGGCTTTCACATACAATGTTACTTTTGATATTAATGATTAACAAAGTAAAATTCTTTTTTTTTCTTTTTTTTATTATACATTAAGTTTTAGGGTACATGTGCAATTCTTAACTTGAATAAGCATACTCAAGTATTTCAGCCATCTCTGAAAACTTGCACAGAATTCCAGCAAGGTGTAGAGAGCCTTAACCCTTGGACCTCCTCCAAACATCACCTCAATATCTTTTTTGTGATTATTGGAGTAATGTTATTATGTCTCTGTTTTATGCTCATTGTCAGTAAAAGCAGCTGGACCACCAAACAGCAATTGAGAGCTGCACAGCCTGCAATCACCTGTACTCAGTTAATGCAGAAACAAAATGGAGATGTTGGAGGCCAAAAGAATAAAGGTTGTGACCAACTCAGTAAAGACTGGAGGGTCTATGAGCAGAGAGCAAACTGTTCTCACGAAAGCAGCATTTTGATAACCTGACACACCACGTCTGGTGCCAGAAGGAATACTGAGGGCAGTCATGCCCCAAGCGCAGTATTTCTTGTGGTTATATATAGGAACATCTGAAGTCTGTAGTACAAAGAAAGCAATTATGTGAGCCTGTGATAAATCAAGCAGCTGACCAACAATTGCCTTTCCTCCCTGTTGATTCTGCCTAATAAATATGAAGGCCTGTAGAAGCTCAGGGCCTTTGCTGACTAGAAGAAATGAGCCCCCTGACCCCTCTTTTAAAACAAATATTTTTTGTCTTTGTCTTCATTTCTGTATTCAACCCCCTTTGTTTCATCCCATAGTAACTGACTGCCACACTCTCTCTATTAAAAATACAAAAAAATAAATAAATAAAGTTATGCTTGTTGGCAGGCACATGCAATCCAAGCTACTCAGGAAACTGAGGCAGAAGAATCCCTTCAACCTAGTAGACAAAGGTTGCAGTGGGCTGAAATCACGGCTTTGCACCCAGACTGGGTGACAGTGTGTGACTCCATCTCAAAAAAGGCAAAAAAACAAAAAGAAGAAAAAAAAATATGTTCAGGTTAAGATAATCAAAAAAACAAGGTGCAGGCTGAGAAAAATTTAGGTAACACATCTGAGAAGTGACTTTCAGTTAAAATGTACAAAGAAATAAGATGACCAAATTAATGATAGAGACCTCAGTAGATACTGCACCAAAAAAGATACGAAGATGGAAAATCTGGCACACAAAATACTGCTTGCTGAGCCCCTGTTATTTCTTCTGAAGGCTGAGGCTCCAAGCCATTTCCTGAGGAGCAACAGTGGCTGCCACAGTGACAGTGGCTCCAAAGATCATCCCCACCTACCCCAGCTCTACCCTTCCTCCAGGTTCCAAGGATTCCCCAGACATTGAGCGTGCTCACCGGGAAAGAGCCAGAAGCTGGATATTTTATTTCTCAACTTTTCTTAAAATTCTGGATACCAACAAGTATCCTTTGTTTGGAAATTTTACTTTTATCCTAACAATCTTGAGGCACTGACAAGTATTAGGAAAGATGGCTTTCAACCTACGGTTGTCTTCATAAAGAAATAAAAGAATTGGCATGGCCAGACATGGTGGTTCATACCTGTAATCCCAGCACTTTGAGAGGTAGAGCCAGGTGGATGTCCTTAAGTCAGGTGTTAGAGATCACCCTGATCAACATGATGAACAAGCTCTCTACCAAAAATACAAAAGTTAGCCGGCAGTGGTGGCTGAGTCCTGTAATCCCAGATCCTCAGGAAGCTAAGAGAGGAGAATTGCATGAATCCGGGAAGCTGAGGTTACCAGAGGCGAGATCACGTCATTGCACTCCAGCTATGGGAACAGAGGAAGACTCCATCTTGAAAAAAAAAAAAAGGAAAAGAAAAAAAATGATTCCATTACCCTTTTAGGCAGTTATTTTAGAATGCTTGGTACAATGCACTACTATTTTGGTATTCTCAAGACAGAAAACACAGTAACAGTAGTAAGTAAAAACCAAATAGCAAGTCATTAAAAATTCATGGGATTAATTTCCTCTGTCATTCTTTCTGGCTTTTATTATTTAAAATGTGTAATGTTGAAGTAATCAGACGTTTTACCTGTGATATCCAAACGCAAAAAGAAACAACAGTTAGTAAAACACTATTAAATGAATCTCAGTCTTCAACTTTGATTCTGATGCAGTGGAATGTTTTGTGAAAGATAAAAAACTAACAGACAAAACACAAGTGATTTCAAATTTTGACCTACTTTTGTAGGGGCAGATTTAAGAACCAAAACCTTCATAGTTCTAATTTTTTTTATTTTTGTCAATGATTCAGCATTGCAAGATATGTAGTGAAACTGAGATCAGAGCTTTTTGTCAATTCCAACAGAGACTAGTTTGTACTCTAGACGTTCCTCTTGCTCCCTTGAAATCCGTAAAGAAATCACTTGAGTGAATGGGACTTTTACACAATGAAAAATCACGACAATACACCACATTCTCTTATTAGCTACAGTTCACTCTTTTCTTGTAGTCACCATAAGATAAGAAAAAATAGCAAGATAAACGACTACGTGGACTAGAATAATTTTATTAGTTTTTACCAGGTAAAGCATAGAGTACTTTTTTTAAAAATTGGTTTTCTGTGGCACAACGCATGTATGCTTTTTGGCAGCAATCATAGATTAATGAACAAATGATAACAAAACAATGCTCAACAACACCTTCCATTCAGGGAAGGCAAATTAAAATAAAAGTGAGAGCACTAAACAGCTATACTATATCTAAATTTCTTTTTAAATGTAATCAGAACTGCAACAGGAAATCTCATTCATTGCCGATGGAATGCATAATGGTACAGCAACTTTAAAATATGGTTGTCTTCTTCTGCCACAGTTTGGCAGGTTTTTCCAAAGGCAATCATGGTCTCATCATATAGGCTAACAATTGCACACTTAGGTATTTAGACAACTGATTTGGAAAGTCACATCTAACCCAAAATCACGTGCATTTATGTATAACTGCTCTCTTGACAATGGCAAAATACTTGAAGGAATCAGGATGCCTTTCAATATTAACCAAGCCAGGCAAATTCATAAAATGAAATCCTATTCATCAAAAGAAAAAGAGTGATTTATGAAGTCACACAAAGCCATGGATGAATCAGGCACACATGAAGCTAAGTGATAAAAGCCAGTCTGAGGAGATGACATATTGTATGATTTTGTTTCTATTACATTACAGAGAAGAAATGTTTACAGAGATGGTAAGCAGACAAGGTAATTTACAGTTGTTTTTAGTGGGCAGGTAGTGAGTTGAAAAGGAGAATGTAGTAATGGAAAGGAGCACAAATGAGCCAGATGAGAAGGGACTCACTCTGTTTGATGAGATCATGCTGGGGATGTGGAAGAGTCAGGAGTGTGTATACCAGCATGAATAAATAAATAGGCTTCTACTCATGATAGGAGAAGAGCATCTTCTTTCATGACACATGCAACTATTTTAGGATGATATCTGAGGAAGCTTTAGTGATAATTGGAAAAACATATGTAAACAAATGTACCATTTCAAATATTTTTGAGTGTATAATTTGGAAGCATTAACTATTTAACTATGCTCAAATTGTGCAACCATTGCCACCATTTCACCATCTCACCAGCAATGTACAAGGTTTCCAATTTCTCCACATACTCTCAAAGTTTTCCTTAAAAAATAAAATAAAAAATTCCAATGGAGATAAAGTGGTAATCTTATTCTCATTTAGATATTCATGTATTAAGTGGCTAGTGATTTTGAACATCTTTTCATGTGCTTATTGGCTGTGGATCTGTAAATGATTTCTTGGCTATATCACTGAATGAACACAAAACATAAGAAAATATAGATCAACTGAACTTCATCAAAGCTAAACACTTTTGTGCATTAAAGGACACTGTCAGCATAGTGGAAAGAGAACCAACAGCATAGGACAAAATATTTGCAGGTCATATATATGGTATGTGTTCAAATCAACCACTTGGATCTCTCCCAAGGGCACTCTCCATTTTCTTACTCTAAAACTTTTTAAATAAACATCCATGTCTGCTGGGAAACTTTTCTCAGTCTCCTTTGCTACTTTATTCCCCTCAGTCAAATTCTTTCTTCTGAGGAAGTAAGAGTTTAAGTTACTGCAGACCATGATAGATTTGACACCAGTAACTCAGATAACTTCCACTGGTAACAGGTCGAGGAGCTGCTGGACAGGGTGGCGGGAGTTCATGTCTAGTATGTGGCTGGCCAGGCCCCGGGAAGTTCTGGGCTGTGGATGGACCAGAACCCCATGCTACAAGCACTCTGTGGAAAGAGAGCTCACATTGCTGAGAGAATGCTGAGGAAGAAATTTTCTCTTTTTAGTGAGGCCAATTTCCTTCTCATAATATAAAATTAACTGTTTGTTAATGAATTCCTTAGTGATCTTTAGTACATGCATATTTGTGGGCAACAACCGCATCTTAGTTCCAAATTATTTTCATCATTCCAAAAGGAAATACCCTACTTATTAAGAAGCTCCTACCCAATCTGTCCTCTTTCTGACACCAGCAACAAGTGATCTGCACTTTTTTCTCTATGGATTTACTTATTCTAAATATTTACATAAATAAAATCATACACTATGTGACTTTTGTCTTCACCTTCTTGAGCCAAAATTGCTTTGAAGTTTCCTCACATTGTAGCATTAGAGTTGTCATCCTCTTCACAGCTGAATATTATGCCATTCTATGGGCATACTACATTTTGCTTCTTACATTTTGCTGGTGGACATTTATTTGTTGTGTTTCCAGATTTTAGTTATTGTGAATGCTGCTATGAACATATGTATACAAGTTTTTCTTTGAATACCTCTTTTACATTTTTTGTATATACAGCTTGGAGTGGATGTTGTGGGTCCTATGGTAATTTTATATTTAGCTTTTGCAGAACACCAAACTATTTTCCACAGCAGCTGCAGCATTTTACTTTCACATTTTCCCACTTCCCTTCCTTTGGGCCTTCCAGAGACTACCTCAAAACACCTGCCATTCTCAAACACAAGCTACTGTGGATTTGGTTAGCTCTGGGTTGACATTTAGAAAAGCTGTGGCCTCAGAAGCCAACTTCCTTTGGCTCCTAACCTATGAGGCTGCACAATGAGCATTAAGATGGCCCGGAGCTTAGACCCAGAAAAGTTCTGGGAGAAAGGCTCAGTCCTCCCTTCTACAAAAAAGAGTGATGACTTAATACACTAGCCAGCTGCCCAGTGCCTTCTGTAACCCTAAACTTAATCATAACGTTAACCTTAACTCAGCCTCTACCCCGATCCTAAGCAGGAATCCCTAACACTAACAGCAACTCTAAGCCACAGACTTGACCCCAACATCAACCCTATGCCTAGCCACTCACCAAAACCTAAACCCTAAAACAAATCCCAACTCTAAATCCTAAATCTAACAGCTAAACCTGAATTTGACCCTGACCCTGAAAATAACCCTAATCCAAGTGTAATGCAAACATTACAGAAACCTGAACTTAAGCTCTAAGCCTAAAACCTTAACCCTGAAACACTAACCGTAAGACAAAAACACTAACAGTAAGCAAAAAAACCATCTCTAACCCTCAAAAGCTAATGTTAAGCCTAACACTAACAACAACCCCTAAATCTAACCCTAAATTCTAACTTCTAAACCTGCTTTTTGAGCATGATCATAACATTCACAATAAGTCTAATACTAACCCCTGACCCGAATGCTAAAACTCTTATTACTACCTTAACCCTACACCTACATGACAGTGAAACCTAGCTGTTACATAAAACCTAAACCCTAATCCTAACATTAATCTTTAGGTCAACCCTAACCCTATACCTAATCCTAACCCCTGACCCTAAGCCTGACTACTAACATTAACTCTAACCCTAATGTGTTACTGCAATCTGTATCCTAATGCTCATCCTAACACTAATTCTAACCAATAATTGTAACCTCAACTGTAATCATATTAATAAACATAACCTGAACCCCTTAATCTAAATTTAAACACTCACCATAACTATAACCCTAAAGCTTAATCTACTCTTACCCTAACCCTAAAAATAACATTAAACAATAATTCTAATCTGAATCCTAATTCTAACACGGTGTCCTATCTGTAACACCAACAGACCCACAACCACTAAACTCCAACCCTAATACTAACCCCTAACACTAATTCTATATCCTAAAGCTAACTCTAACCCTGAATTTTAACCTGTAACGCTGTAACCTAAACGCTGTATGCTAAACACTAAACGCATACCCTGTAACACTAAACATAAAAGTTACTCTATCTGATAACCTAAATGTAATTCTTCCCCTAAATACTAACCCTAACACTTAGTCCAAAATCTAACCTTGAAAACATAACCCAAAGCAAACCCCTTATTTTTAAATGTAATCCTAATGTTAACAATAAAACACTGAAAAACTACACCTAACCACAAACTCAACACATAACCCTAACAATAACACTAATCCTAACTGTAAAAGCATGAAACCTGAACTTTAACATTAAAACCAACCTAACTCTAAACCCATTAATAAAAATAAGCCTAAATCATTACTCTAAACCTAAAGCCTAAAACCTAACTATAATCTTAATCCTAAACCATAAACTCTAACTGTAACCTGTAACTGTATCCATAAACCAAAACCCTAACCCTAAATGCTAAACTAAACCTTAGTCCCTAACTGTAACCCTAACTAAAATGCTAATACCCAACACTAATCCTAAACCCTAACACTAACTGAAAACTCTATTCCTAATCCCTACCCCAAATCCTAACCGGAACTTCAACACTAACACCAACCCCAAATGTACGCCCTAACAGTAAGCCTAACACTAAGCCTAACCTTACCACAAATCCTAACCCTTTTACCCTCAACTTAACCCTACCCCTACATGAACACCAACCCCAAACATAAACATAAACCCTACTTTACACTAAACAGAGAATCCTAAGCCCAAATCCTAAACCTAATTATAACACTAACCCTAAACAATGCCCTAACCTTTAGCAAAACCCTAAACCCTAACTCTAACACTAACACCTCATCAAAAGCCCTACTCTAAGCCTAACACTAACCCTCAGCCTAATCTTTAGCCAAACGCTTTGACCATCATCCTAACCCTAACTCAACCACAACCAGGCACCCAATGTTAAACCACAAACTAACACTAAACCCTAATCCTAAATTTTAACAATAAACCAAACATTTTAATTATAACTCTAACACTAAGCATAACACTTGCCCTAATTTTAACCCTCATCCTGAATCCTAAACCTAACCCTCACCCAAACTCTAATCGGAACCCTTACACTACCACATAAAGCTAACCCTAATTCTAACTATAAATCCCCAAATCCCAAAAACACTGAAGGTAGCTTTAACTGCATCCCATAACTCTAAAACTCACACTAACACTAACCCTAATACCTTTATCCTAAGAGTAAAACTAACATAATTCTAACATAATCTTAACCTTAGCACCAAACCTAAAAATAACTCTTATCCTAAACACTGAACCTAATCATAACCTGAACCCTAAATGAGAAAACCTAACCCTTAACACTAACCCTAGTCCTAAAGCAAAATCTGTAACCCTAATTAAAACTAAACCCTTAACCTAAACCTAATCTTAGCCCCTAACTCTACAAAAACCTTAATACTAACACTAACAATAAATGCTAACCCCTAACCTTAACACTAAACAAAACCCTAACACTAAACCCTAACCCTAACCCTAAACTCTAAACTGAACCCTAACTGTTACCCTAATTGTGACCACTAACCTCAACCTCAACACAAACTCAGCCTTAACAGTCATGCTAAACTTAAATCAAAAACCCCAACCATATGCCCAACACTATCACTAACATCTAACCATAAATGTTGATCACTATCATTAACAATATCCCTAAACCCTAACCCAGAACCCTGAACTCTAACCCTACATGTAACCCTAAGCCCTATCCTAATGCTAAACACTAACCCAAATACTGAAATACTCTAACACTTACCCTCACACTAAACCTCAATACTAACACTAACCCCGGCCAGGACCCTGATTCCTAACCTCTAACTGGAAGCCTGTCTTTTTACCCTAAACCTAAGCATAACCCAACCCCAAACCTAACCTCTAACCCTGATTCTGACCCCTAGCCCTAAACTCAACCCTAACCCATAAACCTAATCTTAACCCTAACTGGAACCCTAATCCTACCACAACACTAAATCTTATTTCAAGCCCAGCCCTAACCCTCAATCTAATCCTGAACTTTTTCTGCAATTGTAAACCCTATCCCAATCCTCCGTTTCTATTCTATCCTTAAGGTTACACCATTATGCTTAAAAAACTTTAAATACATCCTGTATGACTCTAACCTCTAGCCCCTTATACCCATAAGAGTACAAGAAGTCATATCTCTTTTTAAGCCCAAATTAGTGTTGAATTAAACAAATGGTATCACTGGGACAAAAAACTAAATGTTACTATATCTGCTAACTATAGACATTATAATCTTTAACCAAATAAGTGAAGACATTATAAACCACGATGTTTAAGATCTTTTCTCAGAAAATCAAGTTTTGTTTTTTTTTTACCATTCTAACGTCATCCCTTTTCAACATATTATGTAAATCAAATGTTGAAATACACCACGTTTGTCTCAACTTTTATAAAAAGTACTTAAAGACAGTCAACACATTTAATAATTAAAAATCCAATAAACTGTATTTCAATTTTTTCCCATGATAAAACATCTTTATGCAAAACCGATAATAATCATCATCTAAATTGTTGGGAATGAAAGCTTTAAGATGAGGAACACAGCATTGATGCTCAACTGTATTAAACCCTGTACTAGAAGTTCCAGAAGAACAATTACATATATATATGCAAACACACACAAAGCTATTCATATGTGGAAGAGAAAAGTAAAACTATTCACAGATCTCATACACAGAAAACCATAAGGAACCATCTAGAAATTATGAAATCTAGGAAACAAATTAAGAAAAATAACAGGACAGAATATCAACACAAAAAACACCTTTTTTTTTTTTTTTCTTTTTGATGGCGTTTTGCTCTTGTTGCCCAGGCTGGAATGCAATGGCACGATCTCGGGTCACCGCAACCTCCGTCTCCTGGGTTCGAGCGATTCTCCTGCCTCCGCCTCCTGTGTTCAAGTGATTCTCCTGCCTCAGCCCCCTGGGTAGCTGGGATTCAGATATGTCCCACCATGCCCGGCTAATTTTGTATTTCTAGTGGACACTGGATTTCTCCGTGTCAGTCAGGCTGGTCTTGAACTCCTGACCTCAGATGGTATGTCCACTTTGGCTTCCTAAATTGCTGAAATTACAGACATGAGCCACTGCACCTGGCCACAAAATCTATTTCTATTCACTAGTAATAAACCCTATAAAAATGAAATTAAGATGACAACTTTATTTCTAAAAAAAAAAGAAGAAGCAGCTGGAATATTTCCCACTGCCCTGAAAGACACAGATATCAGGCAGCCGAGGTCTGGGACAGCCTTTGAGTTGAGGCTGTGCTACTATATTGGGACCTGGCTGGAATCACTGTGGGGCTAACCAGAAACTGTTCAAGTTCCTGAGAAATCAACGTCGAATTCCTTTAAAATATAATGGATGAAGAAAAGAAAATCTCTAGCGGTTTTGAAAACCCTAATGCCATGATGTCAAATAATGTCTTTTGAGTCATAAATTTTTAGAAAAAATCCTGCACAAACATCAGCAATAATGAAACAGTAGTTGAGTGGCCCAGGCCATTTTGCTGAGAAGAAAACCATTGAGGTCAATTTGAGAGACATCCCTTCATGAGCACTGTCAAGAGCATGCACATATTTTACCTACACATTTTACTATACCTACAGCTCCACAGGGATTTTTAAATTCTGATTTCACATAAAACTGCACTAGAATTTCTGACGGCTGTAAACTTTCTAGATTGTATGTAAATACAATTGATTGTGTATCAATACAATAGATTGATATAATAAAATAAATTATAATCACCTGGTAACTCTTTTCAGTGTTTAAGACTTGTAGTTGAGTTTGTATTTTTTCACAGACAGTACATTCCCTGTATGCAATGTAACTATAAAATTAATTGCTATGAAGGTTGTCTTCAGTTTTTCATAACAGAGTTGAAATTTGTTTGCAATGTCAACAAATTAAGGACATTTTCATAACTGAGAAATAAACAAATATGGCAATTCATAGGTGGTTTTGCTTTATCCTATGGATATGACTTTTAAAATGAACAATGATGATCTAGAAAATGCTGGAAACTAGAACTAATAAACATGTTTTTCAGTTAAACAATTGGGCTAAGTGTTTTTATGTGTTTAGTTATTTGTTAATAAAATTCTTCAGTTTGTAGCTGCCCATAGCATTGCTGGAGTTATTCAAATAATTGCATTATAGGTATGCTCATAACTTAGCCAAAACATTGATTTATTTTTACTGACCCTGACACAATAAATGTTGTATTGATGCCTGTAATCTCAGCACTTTGAGAAGTCAAGGCAGGCACATCTCTTGAGCCCAGAGGTTTCAGAAGAGCCCAGGCAACATGGCAAACCATTGTCTCCAAGAAAATAAAAAAGAAAGAAAAAGAAAAATAATTAGCCAGGTATTGCAGTGGAAGCTAAGGCAGACAGATTCAAAGGAGCCCGGGAGTGAGAAGCTGCAGGCTGCAATGAGCCATGATGGCTCATTGTAGTCCACACTTGACAAAAAGTGAGACCCTGTCTGAAAGACAAAGAAAGAAAGAAAGAAAGAAAGAAAGAAAGAAAGAAAGAAAGAAAGAAAGAAAGAAAGAAAGAAAGAAAGAAAGAAAGAAAGAAGGAAAGGAAGGAAGGAAGGAAGGAAGGAAGGAAGGAAGGAAGGAAGGAAGGAAGGAAGGAAGGAAGGGAGAGAGAGAGAAAGAAAGAGAGAAAGAAAGAAAGAAAAAAGAAAGGAAGAAAAAGAGAGATATGAGTTGAAATTCCTTAAGTCCTTTGATAAACTTCAGTATTGTTTTAATGTGTCTTGTCATCTCATTTTTTTATTACTACAATTCAAGGAGTTTATTTAAAGACAATTTGGGAAGGTTAACAGCTACAAATTTTTAAGAAGTAATTGAACTTTACCCAGGTGGTTGATAAGTCAACTATACAACTTAGAGTTCTTGTGCATTATGTCTTCTGGCCAATTCAAAGTACTATATTTTCATTGATTATAAAGCAAATTATCCTTTTCAACTTTCAAAACAGAAACCAAAAACAAACAAACAAACAACAACAACAACAACAAAACAGGCTGAATGTTGTGGCTTACACCTGTAATTCCAGTACTTTGGGAGGCCAAGCAGGGAGGATTGCTCAAGCCCAAGTGTTTGAAGCTGCAGTGAGCTATGATTGCACAAGTACGTTCCCACATGGGCCAAAGAATAAGGCCCTGTCTCAAAGAGCAACAACAAAAAGCCAACGATCATAAAGTTTTCAAGACGAACTTTTATCAAGGTGCAAGAATTAGACATGAAAAATTACAAAATACTGCTGAAATAAATTCCAGAAACCCTTCATAAACGTAAAGATACTCAGTGCTTTTGGATTAGAAGATGATTCTTATGTGACAATACTGCACAAAGCAAACTACAAATTCATTGTGATTTCTATGAAAATACCAAAGTCCTTTTGGCAGAAATGGGCAAGCCAATTCTAACATTCATATACATTTCAGGGGATGCTGAATAGCCAAAATATTCTTGAAAACAAAAACAAATATTGCTGCTAAGCAGCAGTCATCAAAACAGCATAATACTGGTGTAAGGACACACACAGAGGTCAATGGAACTGAAGGTTAATTCCAACTGTACCTCTATAGTCAATTGATTTTTGACAGGTAACCAAGATCAGTAAATTCAACAAATGCTGTTATGCAACTGAATACCGCATTCAGACAAAGAAATTGTACTTTTCTCACAACAGAACATAAAATTAACAGAAAATGTTTCAAAGCCTACATATTAGAGGTAAAAAAAGAAACTTTAGAAGAATATATGGGGATAGATCTTCATAATGTTGGATTTAGCAGTGGTTTCTTAGATCTGATACCAAAAGCACAGTCAACTAAAGAAAGAATTTTCTCAAAATTAAACATTTTTGTGCATCAAAAGACACTGTCAAGAAAGTGAAAAGACATGGTACAGAAAGGAAGGCTTGCATTTTATGTATGTAACAACAGTCTGCTATCGACAATGTATGAAGACTTTGCATACCTCAGTAACAAAATAAAAGACAAACAATCCAGGTACAAAACAGAGAAGTAGTTGAATACACACTTCACCAAAAAGACATGCATATGGAATACAAGCACATAAAAAGATGACCAGTAAAATATATAAGTTTTACTCCATCAGGTGTTTCCTAAATAAGCTTTTCTCATAGTCATGTGATTCCGTGTGGGAAAATTAGTCCTATCCAGCTCGACTTAAGGAGCAGCTAAGTTAACAATACTGCTGGGGAGCAAGTTTGCTTGGATGAGAAAATAAATACCTGGCAAGAAATAATATTCTGAAATGAAAACTTTCTTGCTGGACTAAAGTTTCCAGTAGAGCTGATAGTTTGTCCCTCAGCCTCCATGGGCCCAAAATTTATCATCCAGCAGGAAGTAATAAGGGAAGTCATTAAGTTAATGAGGTACATGGGTACACAAATGCCCCAAGTCTCATATCAAAGCTGTGACATAATTACATACCCTCACAGCATTTCAATATTCAAATATTAACAATTCATCTGCTTAAATATCTAAGCTTACTTTATTTACTTTACACTATACAGTTAAGGAGGTTTACAAATATTTATATGAATTGTCATGTCGTGTTCTAGGGCTTTTTTGTCACTTAAATGTATTGATGGACTACGTTACATGTAAGTACTTAAACCTAACATAACTTGGAAATAATAACACACGGTTACGGAAGATAGCAAGGTAACAGTCTGCCCGATAAATTCTTATGTAATTTCAATAATTAATAGTGTCATTAGTCTTCAGCACTGAGATGTTTTATTTACTAATTTCCCCAAACATGAACTTTCATTGCATTAACTATTATTTCCTTGATTTATAAATTGAGAGTGATCTCATCAATTATCTAACAAATAATGAATTTCTTTTTATCTTTAGAAACAGCACATCATTATCTTTTCTACAGTTAAATAGCACAAGCTCTGACTTTATTAGCTGGACAAAGCCTTGGGAAATTAGATAAGTGTGGGCACTAGGTGAATAGATTGAGAGATAGCACATAAAATTCCTGAGACACTCCAGACACTGTGTTACCACAATTAAAATCAGATGAGACTGCAGGTAGTTGAGCAGACTGAGTGGGCACAGGAAACAGGCAGGAGAACTTGGGGTCTGCAGCTATGGTGAGTTCTATGGTTCTTGTTCTAAGGTCAGTGGGAAACCATTGGCAAAATTAAATCAGGAGAGTGACAGGATGAAACTTGTGTTTGTAAGTGAATATTTTGCCATTACCCTTACCAGTACCAACCCTGTATTTCCCGATGTTGTAGTTATGTGGTGGTACCCTTGGAGAATGTCTCCACTTTTTGTAAAACCCACTGGGATATTTTGCATAAAGCTTCAAATCTGGCACAGCAGAAACCACTGGAGATTCTGGGAGAGAGGATTACTCTATACTAATAGCTATTGGAAGTTTCCTAGAAGTATGAAATTATTGAGAAATAAACTACTTTTTAATAAAAACAACCATGTCAATACCTTGTCACTAAAGCAGAGACAACAACATCAAACATCATTATAGAGGCCAAATCCAACCCAAATCCAGCTCAGTGGAAGCTCTGAAAAAAAGTGCCCTGGTAAGAGTAGGAATGTTATGACAGCATTGCAGGTGTTACATCTTTATGTTGAGAGTTACATCAGTAATTATGGGTGTTACATCATATTATGGTTGTTTCATTTGTATTACAAATGTTGTGTTAGTATTATGGGTGTTAGTATTACCGGTGTTACATCAGTATTACAGTTGTTACATCAGTATTACGGTTGCTATATTTGTATTGCAGGATGATATAATGGTATTATGAGTGGTATAATGGTATTATGAGTGTTACAGTTGTATTACAGGTGTCAGGACAGCATTATTACACAAGTGTTATGGATGTTTCATTTGTATTGTGGGTTGTATATTGGTATTATGAGCTTGGCACTTGTATTATGGGTCTTAGATAAGTATTCCGGTTGTTATATTTGTGTTTCAGATGGTATACTGGTATTATGAGTGTTTTATTGCTGTTAATGAGTGTTACAGTGGTAATACGGGTGTTAGATGAGTATTTCAGGTGTTACATTAGTATTACGAATGACACATCTGTATTATGGTTGATATATTTGTTTACAGATGTTATATTTCTATTACAGATGTTATATGATGAATGATACATTTGTGGCACGAGGCCACGGTGTGGACCTGGCATTGTGGCCACCACAAATTGTGTGTGGGGAAGGACGTTGGGGTGCACTTAAAGCCATGGGATATTTTTATGTTTAATTTTCCACAAGAAGCCCTTCTCCTGGGTCCCTGATCCTCAGCAGTCAGAGGGAAATTTTTATTTACCACTCCCTCCAGCTGTCCCACAGCAAGGCGTTGTTGCTCTGGTCTGTGCTGAGAAGAACGCTGCTCTCCCCCTCAAGCAGCATGCGCTGAAAACACCTGCACTCCCAGGGTCAGAAAAGGCAGACTCTTGCGTCCCCTGCTAGCAGCCGGAAGAACTGCAGGACACTCATGGTCAAGGTGAAGCAGCCGCGTGCGTGCGACGCCCCACCTGGCTGGCCTGCGGCACCAAATAAAAGCAGAGGTCAGACTGTTCAAAGCCGTCATTTTAGAAATTCAAATGGAAATGTTGCCTATTATCTTGGTTTCTTTTTTTATTATTATTTTAGTTTCAGGCGTACATGTGAAGGTTTGTTATATAGGTAAACTCCTGTCATGGACGTTCGTTGTACAGATTATTTCATCACCCAGGTATTAAGACTAGAACTCAATAATTATTTTTCCTGCTGGTCTCTCTTTTCCCACCCTCCACCCTCAAGTAGGTCCCATGTCTATTGTTCCCTTCTTTGTGTTCATGAGTTGTCATCATTTAGCTCCCACTTCTAGTGAAAATATGTGGTATTTGGTTTACTGTTCCTACATTACTTTGCTAAAGATAATATCCTCCAGCTCCATCCATGTTCCCTCAAAGGCATAACTGTATTCTTTTTTATGGCGGCATAGTATTTTTTGTGAGTATGTGCCACATTTTCTTTAATCCAAACCATCACTGATGGGCATTTAGATTAATTCCATGTCTTCTGTTGGGAATAGTCCGCATGAACATTTGCATTCATGTGTCTTTATGGTATAATGATTTATATTCCTTTGAGTACATATCCAGTAAAGGGAATGCTGGGTTGAACAGTAGTTCTGCTTTCCAGTCTTTGAGGAATTGCCCTACTGCTTTCCCCAACAGTTGAACTAATTTACATTCCTACCAACAGTGCATAATTTTTCCTTGGTTTCTGTAACCTCGCCTGCATCTGTTATAACTTTTCTTTACAATAATAGCCATTCTGACAGGTATGAGATGGTATCTCACTTTTTTTTTTGCTTTGATTTGCACTTCTTTAATAATCAATAATATCGAGCTTTTAAAAATAAGTTTATTGGCTGCCTGTATGTCCTTTGAAAAGTGTGTGTTCACACTTCTCACAAGAAGACATTTATGCAGCCAACATACGAAAAATGCTCATCATCACTGGCCATTAGAGAAATGCAAACTACCATGCCATGGTGGTTTGCTGCACCCATCAACTCATCACCTACATTAGGTATTTCTCCTAATGTTTTCTCCGCACTATCCCACCACCCGCCACCATGTGATGTTTTTCTCCCTGTGTCCATGTGTTCTCATTGTTCAACTCCCACTTGAAAATGAGAACATGTGGTGTTTGGTTTACTATTTTTCTGATAGATTGCTGAGAATGATGTTTGCCACCTTCTTTCATGTCCCTGCAAAAGACATGAACTCATCCACTTTTACGGCTGCACACTATCCCATGGTGCATATGTGTCACCTTTTCTTTATTCAGTCTATTATCAATGCACATTTGGGTTGTTTCCAAGTGTTTGCTACTGTGAATAGTGATGCGATAAATGTACATGTGCATGTGTCTTTATAGTAGAATGATTTATAGTCCTTTGGTTATATGCGCAGTAAGGGGATTGCTGGGTCAAATGGTATTTCTCGTTCTAGATCCTAGTCTTCCACAAGGGTTAAATTATTAACAAACCCACCAACACTGTAAAAGCATTTCTATTTCTCCACATTGTCTGCAGCATCTGCAGTTTTCTGCTATTTTAATGATCGCCATTCTAACTGGTTTGAGAGGGTATCTCACTGTGGTTTGGATTTGTGTTTCTCTAATAACGAGTGATAATTTAATGAGCATTTTTTCATATGTTTGTTGGCTGCATCAAAGTCTTCTTTTGAGGAGTGTCTGTTCATATCCTTTGCCCACTGTTTGATGAGGTTGTTTGTTTATTTCTTGTAAACTTGTTTAAGTTCCCTGTAGATTCCTGATATTAGCCTTGTCTCAAGGTAGATAGATTGCAAGATTTTTCACCCATTCTGTAGGTTGTCTGTTCACGTTGTTGATAGTTTATTTTGCTGTGCAGAAGCTCTTTAGTTTAATTAGATCCCATTTGTCAATTTTGGCTTTTATTGCCATCGCTCTTGGTGTTTAAACATGAAGACTTTGCACATGCCCTATGTCCTGAATGGTATTGCCTAGGTTTTCTTCGAGGTATTTTATGGTTTTAATCCTTATGTTTAAGTCTTTAATCCATCTTGAGTTCATTTTTGTGTAAGGTGTAAGGAAGTGGTCCAGTTTCAGTTTTCTGAATAGCTAGCCAGTTTTTTCAACGTCATTCATTAAAGGGAAAATATTTCCCCCATTGCTTGCTTGTTTCGGGTTTGTCAAAGATCAGATGGTAGTAGATGTGTCGTATTATTTCTGAGGCCACTGTGCTGTTCCATTGGTCTATATATCTGTTTTGGTACAAGTACCGTGCTGTTTTGGTTACCGTAGCCTTGTAATATAGTTTGAAGTCAGGTAGTGTGATGCCTCCAGCTTTGTTCTTTTTGCTTAAGATTGTCTTGGCTGTGCAGGCTCTTTTTTGGTTCCATATGAATTTTAAGGTTTTTTTCCAATTCTGTGAAGAAAGTGATTGGTAGCTTGATGGGGATAGCATTGAATCTATAAATTACTTTGGGCAGTATGGCCATTTTTACAATATTGATCTTCCTATCCATGAGCATGGAAGGTTTTTTCATTTCTTTATGCCCTCTATTATTTCCTTGAGCATTGGTCTGAAGTTCTCCTTGAATAGTTTCTTCACATCCCCTGTAAGTTTTATTCATAGGTATTTTATTCACTTAGTAGCAACTGTGAATAGGAGTTTACCCATAATTTCACTGTCTCTCTGTTATTGTGCGTAGGAATGCTTGTGATTTTTGCACATTGATTTTGAATCCTGAGGCTTATCTGAAGGTGCTTACCAGCTCAGGGTGATTTTGCCCTGAGATGGCGGGTTTTCTAAGTTTATAATAATGACCTCTGCAAACAGAGACAATTTGACTTCCTCTCTTCTGATTTGAATACCCTTTATTTCTTCCTCTTGCCTGATTGCCCTGGCCAGAAGTTTCAATACAATTTTGAATAAGAGTGACAACAGAGTGTATCCTTGCATTGTACAGGTTTTCAAAGGGAATGCTTCCAATTTTTGCCCGTTCGCTATGATATTGGCGGTGGCTTTGCCATAAGTAGATCTTATTATTTTGAGATAAGTTCCATCCTTACCTAGTTGATTGAGAGATTTTACATAAAGTGGTGTTGAATTTTGATGAAGGCCTTTTCTGCATCTATGAAGATAATCATGTGGTTTTTGTCGTTTGTTCTGTTTATGTGATGTGTTACATTTATTGATATGCGTATGTTGAACTAGCCTTGTATCCCAGGGATAAGGCTGACGTAATCGTGGTGGATAAGCTTTATGATGTGCTGCTGGATTCAGTTTGCCAGTATTTTATTGAGGATTTTCACAGCAATGTTCATGAGGCATATTGGTCTGAAATTTTCTTTTTTGGTGAGGCTCTGCCAGGTTTTAGCATCAGAATGATGCTGGCCTCATAAAATTATTTAAGGAGGATTTCCTTTTTTTAGTTTGTAATAATATCAGAAGGAATGGTACCAGTTCCTCTTTGTATCTCTGGTAGAATTCGGCTATGAATCTGTCTGGTACAGGATTTTCTTGGTTGGTAGGCTCTCAGTTACTGCCTCAGTTTCAGAACTTGTTAATGGTCTATTCATGAATTTAACGTCTTCCTGGTGTAGACTTGGGAGGGTGTATATGTCAAGGCATTTCTCCATTTCTTTTAGATTTTCTAGTTTATTTGCATAGAGCTGTTTATAGAATTATCTGATGGTAGTTTGTATTTCTGTGGGATCAGTGGTGATATTGCCTATATCACTTTTTATTGCATCTATTTTATTTTTCTCTCCTTTTCTTCTTTATTGCTTTGGCTAGTGGTCTATCTATTTTGTTGATATTCTCAAAAAAACAGTGCGTGGATTTACTGATTTTTGAAAGTTTTTTTTTGGTGTCTCTATCTCCTTTAGTTCTGCTCTGATGTTAGTTATTTCTTGTCTTCTGCTAGCTGTTGAATTGGTTTGCTATTACTTCACTAGTTCTTTTCATTTTGACGTTAGTGTATCTATTTTAGACCTTTCCTGCTTTCTCTTGTGGGCATTTAGTGCTATCCGTTTTTCTCTACACACTGCTTTAAATGTGTCCCAGAGATGGTGATATGTTGTGTTTTCATTATCATTGGTATCAAAGAACATCTTTATTTCTTCCTTATTTTGTTATTTACTCATCAGTGATTTAGGAACAGGCTGTTCAATTTCTATGTTGTTGTGTGGTTTTGAGTGAGTTTCTTAATCTGGGTTCTAATTTGATTGCACTGTGGTCTGGAAGGCTCTTTGTTATAATTTGCATTCTTTGGCATTTGTTGAGGAGTGTTTTACTTCCAATTATGTGGTCAATTTTTGAATACATGTTATGTGACACCGAGAAGAATGTATATTCTGTTGATTGGGGGTGGATAGTTCTGCAGATGTCTATTAGTTTTACTTAGTCCACAGCTGATTTCAAGTCCTGCAAATCCTTGTTAATTTTCTGTCTCATTGATGGCTGCCTGTTCTTTACTCTGGAAGCTTCATCCCCAGGGGGCACCTTCAGATTCCAGCCAGTGCTCTCCTGTATGAGGTGTCTCCCAGTCAGGATACACAGAGGCCATGGATCCACTTGAGAAGGCAGTCTGACCATTAGCAGAGCTCAAACACTGTGATAGGACGTCTGCTGCTCTCTTCACAGCCATCAGGCAGTTATGTTGAAGTCTGTGATGCTGCATCCATGGCTGCCCCTTCCCCCAGATGTACTGTCCCAGGGAGACAGGGGTTTTATTTATAAGCCCCTGACTGGGGATTCTATCATTTTTTCAGAAATGTCTTGCACAGAGAGGAGAAATCTGGCAGCCTAGCCACATCAGCCTTGCTGAGCTGCAGTTGGCTCCAACCAATTCAAACTTTCCTGTGGCTTTATTTACACTACTAAGGTAAAATGGCCTACTCAAGACTCAGCAATGGCGGATGACCCTCCCCCCAGACAAGCTCGAGTATTTCAGGTCGATCTCAGACTGCTGCTGTGCTGGCAGAGAGAATTTCAAGCCAGTGAACCTTAGTTTGTTTGCCTCTGTAGGGGGTGTCACTCCCCAAGCCAGACCACTTGGCTCCTTGGCCTCATCACCTCTCTCCAGGGGAGTGAACGGTTCTGTCTCCTTAACATTCCAGGCACAATTAAGGTATGAAAACAAACAAACAAACAAACAAAAAATTCCTCCAGCTAGTTCAGTGTTTGCTCTAACAGCTGCCCAGTTTTGTGCTTGAAACCCATGGCCTTCATGGGGTAGGCACCAAAGGGAATATCCTGGTCTGTAGGTTGTGAAGACCACGGGAGAAGCACATATCTGGAATAGGGCCCTTGGTTTCTCGGGCTTCCCGGGTGAGGTGATGCCCCACCCTGCTTCATCTCACACTCCATGGGCTGCACCCACTGTCCAACCATTCCCAGTGAGATGAGCAGTGTACCTCAGGTGGAAATGCAGGAATCACTCACCTTCTGCATCGATCTCTTTGGGAGCTGCAATCTGGAGCTGTTTTTATTCAGCAATCTTGCCAGCAATTCCCCTTCATTTTTTTTTTTTTAATGGTGAAGGAGCCATTAACTGGAAATGTAAAACTATGCAAATTCTAGAAGAAAGCACAGACATAAATGTATGTGATCTTGGATTTGGTCATAAGTTTTAACAAATGACAACAAAGCCGATCAGCAATGGTAAAAAAAAAATTAATAATTTAAGGTTTCTCATATTAAAAGCTTATACTCTGAGTAAAATCTTGTTCAGGAAATAGAAAGATAAGCAACACACTGAAAATAAATATCTGCAAAATACAGATCTGGGTAAAAACTTGCACTGAAAATACACCAATCTTGAAACTCAAAAATAAGATATAATACCTAATTAACAATGAGTAAAGAGCTGAACACACCAATGAAAATACGAAGATGGCAAGCAAACAAAAAGATGCTCAAACTCATATATCTTTAAGTGACTGAAAATTACAACAATGAGTTAGCATGGCTCATCTATATTTGTTGGAACTACTAAACCATTTTTAAAACATGACAACTGATTTGCTGCAGGAAAAACAACAATTCATTCATTGTTTGTGGAATGCATGATGGCACAGAAAGAAAAAGAACTCTTTCAAACTCTCATATTAACCTGAAAGCCTGTTTCTATCCTCTATCATACACACAAGGTGCTATTTGGTCTACCTTTTGGTGACAGACTCGAGATCCAATATAATTTGTGCATCTGTAAGAAGTAGCTGGGATCCAGACAGAAGGCAGATGGTCCCCACAGTCAAAGTCATCTAAGAACTTTTTAATAAAGAGGGACTTATTCAGGGTATCTAAAAAAGATGGTGGAGTTCCCTGGGATAGTAACAGGACCATACTCTTTGTACTCCTTGGGAATGGAGAATTAGGGGAGAGAGAAATTCTCAGCACTGGAGAGACAGAGATGGTTCAGAGCACTTGAAAGATGTCATCACAGGCACTATGACCTCTCTGGGACTTGAGATGAAGCAGCCAGTCTAGGGCCACTGTATGTGGAGGCTGGTGTCCCCACTAGCCAAACCCAATCAGCAGGCAGAGAGCAAAAAAATGCCTTGATACCATCTAGAGGCAGGTTAGCAGAGTTTAATCCAGAAATCATAATTTTATAAATCTTTCCAATTTAAGCCTCCTTTACAAGTATAAAACATAGTTTTATACTGACTTAGTATGAATCACTAATACATGCAAGCCATGCACAGTGGCTCATGTCTGTAATCCTGGCTATTTGTGAGGCCCAGGCTAGTGGAACATTTTGGTGAAAAGATTGAGACCAGCCTGGCCAACATGGTGAAACCCTGTCTCTATTAAGCATATAAAAATTAGCTGTGTGTGTGTGGAGCGGGTGGGGGGGGGGGCGGTAAATTCCTGTAGTCTTACCTACTTGAGAGGCAGAGGCAGGAGAATTGCTTGAACATAGGAGGTGGACATATGGTTTAAGAGATGCATGTTTTTATTTTTATTCTCTTCCAGTTTTTCTTCCTTTAGTAGTAAATAGTCACTTATCTCTTGAACACTTTCATTCACAATATATTTGTTTTGTTATTGCCGAAGACTGTGCTTTGACACACATTAACTCAATCTGAAACTTAAAAAGGAAAATTTGCATTTGAATGATGACTTTACAGTGCTGCAAAAGTAAAAGCTGGCAGGCTCCTTTTAGCATAGCGTCACAATTTAACTGAGGTCACTGAACCGATGTCTGAATCTCTGCAATAAGACCCAAACTACAGTAACAAAAATTGTCTTCTGCCCTGCAGTTGGGGCAGAGGAAGTTTTATGGACAACATCCCATGAAGCAAGTCCTTCTAAGTAAGATTATAACCTCATTTTGCATAGGCATTGAAGAACTTAAAACAGTCACTCATCATAGCAATATAGATTTGTTTTAAATATGAAAAGGTAAGGTAAAAATGGCCAGGCATGGTGGCTCCCGCCTGTAACTCCAGCACTTTGGGAGGCCAACATGAGAGGATAGCTTGAGCTCAGAATTTCCAGACTACCTTGGGCAACAAGGAAAAACCCGGTCTCTACTAAAAGTGCAGCCGGACACTGGCTCAAGCCTGTAATCCCAGCACACTGGGAGACCATCATGGACAGATCACTTGAGGTAAAAAATTTGAAACCACCCTAGCCAACATGGTGAAACCCAATCTCTACTAAAACTATAAATATTAGCCAGGCATGGTAGCAGGTGTCTGTATTCCCCGCTACCCAGGAGGTTGAAACAGGAAAAATCACTTGAAAACAAAGGCAGTGGTAGCAGTGAGCCCAGTTTGCATCATTACACTCAAGCCTGGGCAACAGAACGAGACTCCATCTTAAAAAAATTAAAAAGTAAAAAACAAAAACAAAAAAAAGACATAATTTTCTTGGTGTGGTGGGGTATGGCTATAATCCGAGCTTCTCGGGAGGTGGAGACACAAGAATTGCTTTACCCTGGGAGGTGATGATTGCAGTGAGCCGATATAACACTAGTGCACTCCACACTGAATGACATAATGAGGCTCAGTCTCAAAAAAAAAAAAAAGTAACATTTTGTGTAGAGCTTTTCTTTTCTTAGTATTCTCTATGTCATATTTGAATAAGAAGGCATACAAAGTTCTCACAAAAGTTCAACTTGCAAAAATGTTTTAAGTGCCTAAAATTCCAGCTTCATCTTCAGACAGCAAGCATAAAAATAAACAGAAAATTAAACAAGCAATGGCAGGTGATAAATGCATTGCATTTAGTTTTAATATGTGAGATAACACTATAATGTCAAAAATTTTAGCTGCTGCTGATGAAAGGAAAGAACAGGTTAATGTAGAAACAGAACAATAATAATATTGGCCACCTGCTATGAACTAGGCTCATACGTTAACTCACTGAATTCCCTCAACAACCCTATAATGTGGAAAACATCCTAGGGTTTACAGCTGAGGAATCTGCAATCAAAGGACCTGCCCAAAGGCACACAAGAAATTAGGACACAGATAGGATTCAAGGAGGACTCTAAGAATCAAAGCACTGTCTACACTTTCATATATGATGTTGATTGAAATTAAGAACTGTTGAGTTAACTTTAGTCATCCCCATCTTTGCCGTAGAAATGGCAGTTTAAACATCTCGAGAGAAAAATTTTGGATAAATTATACATGACTAAAATTGTGTATGTTCATTAAAATCTATTTCAAAAAAATATGCTAAACAATTCCTTGAGTTCTTACATAAAACTTACAGATTGATTGAGTTCCTCCTTTTTTGTATTACTAACTGTGAGTTCGTCTTGCAAGTAAACAGCTTTTCCTGAAAGAAATAGCCCTTTAAACACCATAATGTTTTCCTTGTGAATACAAAAGCTATTTAATATTTATGGCCAGTATGTCAGACCTAATGACCATTATTTTATAATATGAAATAGCCTGTGTAGGGGACAAAACTTTCACAGGCAAGTAAGAAATAAGCCCTGTTAGCTAACAGGTGATGTGAAGCTATAACTGTCATCTATGTGGTGAAATTCCACCATCTACACCTGCTAACCAGAGAGGTTTTAAGTTCCTTGAAGAAGAAGATCTGTCTGTTACTATATTGTAAAAGACAATATTGTTATTGTATTGTAGGTATTACTTTGTCATTTTCATTTTATTTAACTTGAATCTATGTAGATATAATATCAAGGCAAAATTTGCTACATAGATGATGGTAGTAATTTATAAAAGAAGGGTTAGTCTCCACAAGATAGTAGTAAAAGCGGAAGCCACACACTGGGTGTCTGGACATCAAATAACCACCCTTGGTGTACTCCCAATAGTCTAATTGAAAATTCCAACAAAACGTCACCTCTCCTAACAGGCAATTTCCTAAAAATATATTGAAATATAAAATATCTGAAGATTGAGACATTACTCATCTTCCAGTTTCAAGTGAAATATACACAAGAAATCAGGAGGTTATATGTAAAGTAAAAATATTATAAATAAAAAATATTTTAGAAGGCCACAAAATAAGAAGCTATGTCACAGGAAACAGAGAAGTTAAAGTTTTTCCTTAAGTGGAAAAGAACATATCTCATGCTAAAAGTAATAGGCACCAGAGGCAATAAGTTGCTGCCACCTTGATAATTACAGGTTTTTCAAAATATATTGAAATAAAGCTTATTAAAAATACAGAAACAATCACTGGCCTTTCTGACTATATAAAATATTAAAAATAATGGTTTCTCAAAAGGCAGTGAAGACAATTTTTTTAATTTTACATAATTAAAATTACAAAAAATATGAACTATCGAAGAGACAATGAAACATAAAGTTTTTTTTTTGTTTTTTTAGAATATAAAACAGACCCAAATTGGGAAGCTAATAACCTGTATCAAAACTGAAAACTACAGCTACTTACCCCACCCAAACCTCACCTTTATTCTTCCTTTTCTCTCCAATCAGTCAATTAGTTCTAATGATGGAGTCATCCATTAGTTCAAGTTGTTACCTGATATTTATAATGAGTCAATATAAATTTCATAGTTATCTCTCCAGAAAGATGGTTATCAATGTGGGAGCTTATCTACGGTACAGGTGAACCTGAGGGCACTGAAGACGACATTACGTGAACTTCAATGTCCCTCAGTACTAAAGCCAGGGATAGGAATTTCAAACATAACATGTCCAGTAAAACCCTGCCTTGATGTTATAAAGCACCATCATACGAAATGGAGGGTTATGTTGTCATAAGGTTACTGAAAGCATCACTTTCCAGTTGGTCTCAGGTGACCCAAAGAGCAAGGAAGAAAAATAAATGTACACAGCACACGGCAGACTCAATCCCACATGATAATTAGACAATCACTTTCATCCCACCTGTACTATCTGCCTAGGCCAAACAAATGTAAGGACTTTTGTGCCTAGGGAACAAGCACAGTCTGGGGAACTAGGTGCTAAGAGCATTGTATCTGAATTAGCAGTACCTAAAGGCATATTTTCACAGTTTTACTTTTCTTTCCCAGCTTTTACAAGCTGTCTTTTGATTCCAAAAGGATAAAGAAACACTCCTGTGGTGAACAGTCCCCAAACTCCAACACTTGCCAAAGTCATACGAGAATTCCCAATGCCAGAAAGACACCATGCAGACCATGGAAGCTGTCAAAATGATACCAAATAGTTCAGTAGCTCCATAATGATATAAAATTAACAAACATACTTTAATACATGTATTCCTGAAAATTCAGTAACTACAGAAACTTCATGTTAGCTCTTTTAATGTAGAAACTGACAAAAAAATTGGATAAAATACATCATTTTATAAGTAAAAAATAAAGTTTCTCATGGTTAGGAGTAATATGTACCAGAAGCAGTAAGCTGCTGCCAACTTCTTGACAACTACGGAGTTATCAAAATATATAGAGAATATATTAGGAATTCAGAATCTATAAAAAAACTAGTCTTTTTTTGAAGATAGAATTTGTTTATAGAATAACCTCAAGAAAGCTTTGCAAGTTCTGTGTAATGGAATATTCATGATAAATTATGAGGAAGGCAATAAAAGGAGACCAAATAAATGCCCAGGGCACCTGAGTTGCGTCATTTCCTCCTGATACGTAAACTACAAATATTAGCTAAGAATTTTTTATGTGTTTGATGCTTTCAAACCCACTGAAAAGTGACCACATGGGCATAAGGTCTTAGCACTGAGGTATTACTCACTGATATAAAAGATCAGAGTAGAGAAAAGCCAAAGTAATCATAATTGTCCATATTTTCTTTCCCTCTATCAATTTTTGCCTCAAATAGTTAATTTTACCTCCTTTCTTTTGATTCTGGCTTTGCAGAATCATGAAGGAATACAAGGAACATGTTCACTGACAAACATTTGGACCACTAAGTGTAATTTATACATTGTTAGATATCCCCATCATTGTGGCACTATGAGTGGGGTAGAGGAAAATGTAACTGAAAGTGATTATAATTGAAACTTTACAGCTTATCAACTATGCAACCTGAGTAAATCACAATGTGCACTGCCCTTGATAAGTATTTGAGAAGACACAAGGAAGAAGAACAGAGGACGTGCTTTTCTATACCTTGTCTTTTAAAAACTACTCTAACTCAAATGTGAGAAAGTATAGGCTATTGATAAACATATGTATTTTTTTGAACACTAAAGTTTGCATAAGATGGAAACCTTAGAATACTTCCTTAGTTTTTGTTTTATGTTTCTGCCAATGTAATTTAAACAAATTACTTCTTCAAACGTGCCAAAGCATTATGCTAGAAGTTTGTATTTTAGGTTTCTGTGATAGGTCTCCTCAAGACACTTTGTATTCTGCTCCCATCTACTAAGTCCTCAGTCATGCTTTTATATTTTTCTTCCTGGAGTTTATGGGTTCTGAAATTAGCAGAAACATAAAGTAAATAAACTATAATAGCTGAGTTAACACATTTAGGAAAAGCATCATGTGGCATGTTTTTAGTTCAACAGACTAAAACTAGTACATGACAGTTACTACTGGGACGTAAAACAAAAGAACCAGAAGTCCTCAGTGTATTTTATGAACCGACCTAGTTACAATGTGTTGAAACTAGCAGAAGCAGGGGGCTGTGGCATATGACTGAGAAGAGTGGGAGGGTCTCTTACTGAGGGGAGTGAGAGAGTCTCAATGAAGAAGTGATTTCTCATAGAAGATAATTAACACTTAAACAATAGCTAAAGGTGATAAACGGTCCAAATCAATTCTGGGATGAAAGAATAATACTGTTAGTTACAAAGTCATAAAAGTGCACTTATGGGCTGGGAGCTGTGGCTCATGCCTGTAATCCCAGCACTTTGGGAGGCCAAGGCAGGTGTATCATCTCAGGATAGGAGTTCAAGACCAGCCTGGCCAACATGTTGAAACCCCATCTCTACTAAAAATATAAAATTAGCCAAGCATGATGTCACACAGCTGTAATCCCAGCTATTCAAGAGGCTGAGGAAGGAGAATCACTTGAACTCCGGAGGCAGAGTTCACAGTGAGCTGAGATTGTGCCATTGCACTCCAGCCTGGGTAACAAGAGCAAAACTTTATCTCAAAAATAAAAAAAAAGTGTACTTATGTATTTGAATCTTCTATAATGCTCTTTGTAACTCTGGAATTTAATTAATTATCTCATAGATATGTAAGGTACAATATTTGTTTTTCTCACTTAATAATCTATCAGCTTTAGTCAAGTATGGTAGCCTTCAGCTATAATCCCAGCTTTGCAGAATGCTGAGGCAGGAGAATCACTTGAGCCCAAGAGTTTCAGACCAGCCTGGACAACATAGCATGACCCTGTCTCTTAAAATCAAAACAACACCACCAAATAACCCTACAAAACAAACAAAAAAACCCTATGGATTGAATACTGATCAAGTACCAAAAGAGAGGGCAACAGATAGATGGGTCGTTCCAGGCTTCCAAATACTTAAGAATAAAATAATTTTCATAGTGAGACTTCAAGTCACCCATTGCACTGATTCCTAAGCCAGGGAGGTGGATTTACAGGTGATGAGATTCAGCCATCCTGAGAAGTTCTATAAAACACTGACTAGTCTAAGAACAGTTAAAGGCTCCAGGTATTAGCTCCCTCTGCTGGTAATCTGGAAAGCCATGGAGAGATAAACTACATTGATTTAGTATATATGCTGAGAGAAGGGAAAAGGAGTAGAGAAAATGGAGGTTAAAAAAAGTGGCACACTCTCTCTGCCCAAAAGTTGTTTCTCTTTTTTTTCTCTATCTCGATTAATTTACCTTTTCATTGTTCCCAAAAAGAGAGTAAGGTACACAGCGAGCTGAAATAAAAAAAAAAATCAAACCTAGAGAAGTGAGAAAACAACATTAAATAAGATGGAGACAAATTCTTTAATGAGCTAAAATCCCTAAATTATCTTTGGGTGTCAATTAACAGCACATTCCCAATAGAAAAGAAGGCTTCTTGTGCAAACCACAGACAGGTGAGATTGCTGTCAATCCCAGATAATATATGAATGATAAAACATTTCTGAGCACTTGGACAATGCGAATAGCATTGAGAAATAGTTTCATCCAGTACAAGTCAAGTCAAACCACAATACTTCCTTTTTTTGAGCACAGAGCTGGTAAAAGACGCAGGCCTGGATATTTGGAATTCAGTCACAATACATAAACACACAAAACTATCAGACCTGAAGGACTGAAGTTAACTTTAAAACATATGATCTGTTCAAGTATTAACAGTGTCTCCAAATTTTCTGTTTGATGTTACTGTAGCCTGGTGATAACACCTCATTCTGCCTTTCATCTTAACAGTTAACATTTCAAAAGCACAGCCTTCGCGTTTGTTTCTCTTAAAGTGTAAATTCTAATGCTGCGTGATACCACCTTTACAAAAAAAGAATTCTACTTGGTAATAAACATGAGAATATTTAGACATATATTTAGTAATTCTTTTTAATCTCATCATTCTGAATATCCAAAATAAACATACATACCTGCAATTCAAAAGCTTCAACTCTCTGCTTCAGCTCTGCTTTTCTTTCTCTTAACAGATACATATCTTTAAGTAAAAGAAGACTTTGAGCATAAAGTTTCTCATTTCAACTGGTAAAAAAGCATTAATTTTGGCCACTTACAGTGGCTCAACACTTTGGGAGGCTGAGGCAGGAAGGTCATGAGGTCAGGAGTTCAAGATCAGCCCAGCCAAGATGGTAAAAACTCCATCTCTACTAAAAATGCAAAAGTTAGATGGGCATGATGGCAGGCTACTCAGGAGGTTGAGGCAGGGAATTGCTTGAACTTGGTAGGCCAAACAGCAATGAGCTGAGATCACGCCAATGCACTCCAGCCTTGGTGACAGAGCAAGACTGTCTCAAAATAAACAACAACAAAAAAAGGCATTACGTTTTAGCAAGCAAGTTAATGAAAGCATAACAAATTTGAGTAAATACTCTCCTTCCTGAATTCCAAAAAACAAAGTACAGAAATAGAGAATAACAATTTCACCTTCAAATGATTGCAACTCAGCTGGGCATGCTGATTCACTCTTATAATCCTAGCCATTTGTGAGACCAAAACAGGCCGATCACCTGAGGTCAAATTTTGAGGCCAGCCTCGCCAATATGGTGAAACCACATCTCAACAAAAATTACAAAAATTAACTTGGTATGGTGGTGGGCACTTCTAATCTCAGCTAATTGGGAGGCTGAGGCAGAAGAATCTCTTGAACCTGGGAGACAGAGGTTGCAATGATCCAAGGTAGTGCCATTGCACTCCAGCCTGGGCAAAAGATTAAAACTTCGTCTCAAAAAAAGAATCCACTTCAATGTATTCCACAACTAGCTATTCCAGCTGCATAAATATTTACTTTTCAATTTCTGTTAAACTACCTTCCCATATATTTTTAACATCCCTTGTGTAATTCATGCTACTTAGTTAACTTCTCTCAGTCCCTTATGTAACTTTTTTTTTTTTTTTTTGAGACTGGGTTCTCCTCTGTTGCCCAGGCTTGAATGAAGCATTGTGGTTTTGGATAACTGCAACCTCTGCATCCCAGAATCAAAGGATCCTCCTACCTCAGCCTTCTGAGTAGCCAAGACTACAAACACTGACCACCAAGTTCAGCTACATTTTGTGTAGAGTCGGGGTTGTGCCATGCTTCCCAGGCTGGTGTTGAAGCTGTGATTCAAATGAATCACCATCTCAGCCTCTCAAAGTGCTAAATCTATAGACATGAGCCACACACCTGGCCTCCTTAACTAAAATTTTGTAAGTTCTTCAGGAAAAAATAATTAAAATATACATTCAGAAATAAAGCCCAAAGGAATAAAATCCCCATGGTTTTTAGTGGTGCTGCTGTCTGAATGTTTCAGTTTATGAGTCATCATGACTGAGAGTTAGCAAGCTCATATGAACTTGTAAAAGAATGAGACAACCTTCCACTTATGTCTTCACAGAGTAAGAATTTACTAACTACCTGTCATATATCAAGAAGCATACTGGGAACTAGATATAAAATTTAGACAGATACAGTCCTCATCTCTGAAGACCTCACAGTATAGTCAGGGAGAAACAATCACACTATGATAGGATAAATTTATAACTGAACTTAATAAAGACCGCATGCAGGAATGAGACCTAAATGAGTTGCTCAGTGGCAGTCAGGGAAGGCATCTCAGGGGTGACACCAAAGCTGGGCCTTGAATGACACTATGGTTTTATCAGGGAGAGAAGGAGATTGATATTCCAGGTGAGGAAATACAGGCATGGTGGTTTTTATGAGAAGGACAGTCTTCCTCAAAGACTCAGATCCTCGCAGTTGAATAAACAGAATTCTAGTCGGTCAACTATCTTGAAGCTGAAGTTACTAGTCTAAACACAATCTAATCATCTCTAAGATCTGTGCATCCAAAATTCAACTTTATAGCTGAAGCAAGCCCTAAATTTCCAGAAATTCTATAGAAAATTTTAGAGCCGGTGCCCTTAGTATTAAAGAGCTATGTCTCATTGAGAATTTCCAAGCAAGAGTGGGCACTAGGGGGAAGCCTTCCTACTTTTAACATCTGTCAGTAGCTGTTGTAGATGTATGTTTGAAATACTGCTGTAAATCCTGTCTCTTCTAAAACACACACTTGGAAAAGGAATAAGATTACCTAAAGGAGTATATCCAATCCCACTTGCCAACTAAAACTCCTTGTCATTCCTCATCGTCTTAATCTCCTTTCCAGTTACTTTCCTGGTGATGAGATCAAATGGCCACATTGATGACCCTGGGGACTCTGGTGAATCCTTCACCCCAGGAATATTTACTCTTGCTCATTTCCATGGCTCCATCCAATGACAGCGTACTGCTTTTGATTTCCAGTCTCCACCTGAAACCTCATTCTGCAATTCCGCACTCCTGGACCATCGTTATTCTTGCACCTGTCAGTCTCTTCAGATCTAGTTCCTGATCACTGAGACTACCACTTAACCCTCCCTTTCCCCAAAGGTTACCAGCCACCTGCCCTCTCCTCTGCTTACCCTTGCTACACAGGAGAATGATATAATCTTCAATTAAATTCTCTGACTTTCTCAAGGAAAATGAATTATGTTCTGCAAAGCTCCACTTCCCAAGTATCTCCATCTCTCCACCCTCACTGAAAGGGGCAGCAGAGAGAGACCCTTAAAATTTCTCCCTAGATCTAGAACAGAAAACTCAACTATAAACATGTGGTTTTATCTCTCTCAATCCCAGGTTACTGTAACCAAAGCTGGGCCATCAGTACAGGTAACCACTCTGCTCTGCTTTAAAGAGCTGTTCTTACCTTACCCACATGAGCTACTCTGCACCTCCGAGCTGCTCCTAAAACTCATGACCTATCTTCTTAATTGGCCTGAGACGATGAAGCATTTTTATGGTGTGTTTCTCATAATTACAAGTTGACTGGTCAACTCTGCAATGCTTTCCTTTCCACTAGTCTCGAAGGACACAAATCTATGTATCCTTTTCAAGGTCCATTGTCCTTGTGTTTTTGCACTCTTAGCCACAGTCCGTACCGCTCCTCTGGGGCCTTGTTCCATCAGTTGCAACATCTCATTCCTGGATCTTGAGTCAACCCAGTAATAACTGTAGGAAATAGCCACCCAGTAAAATATTCATAAATACCACCTCTTGGTTCTTTTGATTTCTCTCAAGGATACACTTTTCCTGAAGACTGAGGGCTTCAGATTCTGCTTGACAAGCTCTCTCAGAATCACTTCAGAACATAGCTAATTCCTTCTCATACTCTCTTATCACTTCCATAAAACTTCAACTGCAAATTGATTACAAAAATATAAAAGTCCCAATCATTATACTATTAGAAAAGCAACAGTTCCTCTCTCCACCGCTAGGCTCCATATCAATGCTCTGTCCAAATATGTTATATTTATTTAATCTACAGTTTTATATCATTTACTGTATTTGTAGGACTCAATCAAAAGGGATAAACAAATCTCATAAGAAAAAATTGATATGCGCAACAGTGAAGTACCCTATTTTTTATTAAAAATTCCAGGTATTTTTTTAACATACCTAAGAGTAAATCTTTAGATGACAAACAAAAATATGACTCTTGTTAACTGTAACAAGATACAGATTACGTTTTGACACATTTCTGCCAGAAGTTGTTTTTCTATTTCTCTCTTATATTCATTTAGCTTTACTTCTAAAGACTCAAGCTTTATATGCTGAGGATAAGCATCTGCCAATTGATCAAGAAGCTGAAGGTTCTCAACTATTAAAAAGTAGCAGGCCAAATTAGGACACAGAAGCATGGTCAGGTGTGTAAGAGGCCAGATTTCTGGTTCGAAAGTAAAAAGTATACTTAGGGGAACCTATCGCTGCCTGCAATGTACTTTGAAATACAAAAAAATGTAAGATGAATAGATGCACAGATTAAAATGATAAAGCCTATATAACACAAATGTATTAGTAGAATCTAGGTGGTAGGTGTGTAAGTGTTGACCAGAATTGTTTCAACTTTTCTGTATGTTGAAAATGCCCAGGAATTTACCACCATGCACCAGGCCCAGCTAATTTAATTTTTTTTTTTTTTTTTGGAGACAGAGTCTCGCTATGTTGCCTTCCCAGCTGATTTCAAACTCATGGCCTCAAGTGATCCTCCTTCCTGGGCATCACAGTGTGCTGGGATCACAAGAATGAGCCACTTTGTCTGGTTATAGCTTTTAAGAATAAATCTTTAAAAAGTCTTTCCCAAGCATGATACAAAACCTGAAAGGAATAAGGAGTAATATTTATCAATCTCACTACATGTAAATAAAAAATTTACATATGGCATAAGATAAATATAAATAATACACTGGAAAAGTAGTTGCAATAATATGGAGGCATAACCAGGACTAAAGTGATGACATTTTAATATTGTTAAACAGCTCTTACAAATCAGTTAAAATAAAAAAAGCAAAACTGAAAAATGGGGGAAAACATGGCCAGATTGTAGGAAAAATAAAAAGTAAAATGGCTCGAAGATGAGCAAGATTATCAGATGTTGAATAAACATGAAGAAAATCATAAATGCAAATTAGTAAAAAAGAAACCATTATTTTCCCTGTAACACCACTAAGATTAAAACTTTGTTAACGCTAATGTTGGCAATGGAGTGGAAGTATAACTGTGCTGATACACTTGGAAGAGAAATGTGTCAGTGCTTATATATATTCAAAATGCAGGTGCCTTTTTATCTACTCATTCCAATTCTATGAATTCACACAGCTATATTTGTACAAGCACATAAAGGGTGCACACTGTATATTGGTTACCTCTATTGGGAAAAGGCAAACAAGAAGACAGCTAAATTTCCATCAGTAGGGGGTTAAATATTTACTTTAAAAATAATTAGTCTCAATATACTGCTACAAGTAGATATATTGGTGGATAGAAAAAGCAATCTGCCTACAGAATCTATAATATAATTTTATTCAATGTGTGTTTTAATTAGAAATACATAGAGTTTTAAACACAAACAATTCTACAAAAATAACCAAGAAACAAAATTATTGAAATTCTAGTTATCTCAGATTCTCTTTTTTGGTTGTGTCTCTGCCCGGCTTTGGTATCAGGATGATGTTGGCCTCACAAAATGAGTTAGGGAGGATTCCCTCTTTTTCTGTTGATTGGAATAGTTTCAGAAGGAATGGTATCAGTTCCTCCTTGTACCTTTGGTAGAATTTGGCTGTGAATCCATCTGGTCCTGGACTGTTTTTGGTTGGTAAGCTATTGATTATTGCCACAATTTCAGAGCCTGTTATTCCTTGATGAACATTGATGCAAATATCCCCAATAAAATACTGGAAAATCGAATCCAGCAGCACATCAAAAAGCTTATCCACCATGATCAAGTGGGCTTCATCCCTGGGATGCAAGGCTGGTTCAATATACGCAAATCAATAAATGTAATCCAGCATATAAACAGAACCAAAGACAAAAACTGCATGATTATCTCAATAGATGCAGAAAAGGCCTTTGACAAAATTCAACAATGCTTCATGCTGGAAACTCTCAATAAATTAGGTATTGGTGGGACGTATCTCAAAATAATAAGAGCTATCTATGACAAACCCACAGCCAATATCATACTGAATGGGCAAAAACTGGAAGCATTCCCTTTGAAAACTGGCACAAGGCAGGGATGCCCTCTCTCACCACTCCTATTCAACATAGTGTTGGAAGTTCTGGCCAGGGCAATTAGGCAGGAGAAGGAAATAAAAGGTGTTCAATTAGGAAAAGAGGAAGTGAAATTGTCCCTGTTTGCAGACGACATGATTGTATATCTAGAAAACCCCATTGTCTCAGCCCAACATCTCCTTAAGCTGATAAGCAACTTCAGCAAAGTCTCAGGATACAAAATCAATGTACAAAAATCACAAGCATTCTTATACACCAATAACAGACAAACAGAAAACCAAATCATGAGTGAACTCCCATTCACAATTGCTTCAAAGAGAATAAAATACCGAGGAATCCAACTTACAAGGGACCTGAAGGACCTCTTCAAGGAGAACGACAAACCACTGCTCAAGGAAATAAAAGAGGATACAAAGAAATGGAAGAACATTCCATGCTCATGGGTAGGAAGAATCAATATCGTGAAAATAGCCATGCTGCCCAAGGTAATTTATAGATTCAATGCCATCCCCATCAAGCTACCAGTGACTTTCTTCACAGAATTGGAAAAAAACTACTTTAAAGTTCATATGGAACCAAAAAAGAGCCCGCATTACCAAGTCAATCCTAAGCCAAAAGAACAAAGCGGGAGGCATCATGTTACCTGACTTCAAACTATACTACAAGGCTACAGTAACCAAAACAGCATGGTACTGGTACCAAAACAGACATATAGATCAATGGAACAGAACAGATCCCTCAGAAATAATGCCACATATCTACAACTATCTGATCTTTGACAAACCCAAGAAAAACAAGCAATGGGGAAAGGATTCCCTATTTAATAAATGGTGCTGGGAAAACTGGCTAGCCATATGTAGAAGCCTGAAACTGGATCCCTTCCTTACACCTTATACAAAAATCAATTCAAGGTGGATTAACGACTTAAACGTTAGACCTAAAACCATAAAAACCAGAGAAGAAAACCTAGGCATTACCATTCAGGACATCGGCATGGGCAAGGACTTCATGTCTAAAACACCAAAATCAATGGTAACAAAAACCAAAATTGACAAATGGGATCTAATTAAACTAAAGAGCTTCTGCACAGCAAAAGAAACTACCGTCAGAGTGATCAGGCAACCTACAAAATGGGAGAAAATTTTCACAACCTACTCATCCGACAAAGGGCTAATATCCAGAATGTACAATGAACTCAAACAAATTTACAAGAAAAAAACAAACAACCCCATCAAAAAGTGGGTGAAGGACATGAACAGACACTTCTCAAAAGAAGACATTTGTGTAGTCAAAAAACACATGAAAAAATACTCACCATCACTGGCCATCAGAGAAATGCAAATCAAAACCACAATGAGATACCATCTCACACCAGTTAGAATGGCAATCATTAAAAAGTCAGGAAACAGCAGGTGCTGGAGAGGATGTGGAGAAATAGGAACAGTTCTATACTGTTGGTGAGACTGTAAACTACTTCAAACATTGTGGGAATCAGTGTGGCGTCTTGTGGACAGTGTGGATCTAGAACTAGAAATGCCATTTGACCCAGCCATCCCATTACTGGGTATGTACCCAAAGGACTATAAATCATGCTGCTATAAAGACACATGCACACGTATGTTCATTGAGGCACTATTCACAATAGCAAAGACTTGGAGCCAACCCAAATGTCCAATAATGATAGACTGGATTAAGAAAATGTGGCACATATACACCATGGAATACTATGCAGCCATAGAAATGATGAGTTCATGTCCTTTGTAGGGACATGGATGAAATTGGAAATCATCATTCTCAGTAAACTATCACAAGGACAAAAAATCAACCACCACATTTTCTCATTCATCGGTGGTAATTGAACAATGAGAACACATGGACACAGGAAGGGGAACATCACACTCTGGGGACTGTTGTGGGGTGGGGGAGGGATAGCAGTAGGAGATATACCTAATGCTAAATGACGAGTAATGGGTGCTACACCCCAGCATGGCACATGTATACATATGTAACTAACCTGCACATTGTGTACATGTACCCTAAAACTTAAAGTATAATAATAATAAAATAAAATAAAAAATTCTAGTTATCAGTGGTGAGTGAGATTAGACAAAATGAGCAGAAATTGCTAGTTTCTTTTCACTTTATATCCTTCTGAATAGCCTGAAACTTTGTTTTAAACCGGAAGCATAAATTCTTTAGAAATCTTTAGTTTCTTGAAACTAAAATCATTAGTCAGCTCAACACCTTATCCCCATCCCCATCCTCTAAGTGAGGGGATTACAGTTAGATTGTTTTGTCACAGTCTGCATTCCATGCAGAAATCATCAGACCAAAATTTGTGAACATTAATGTTTACTCTTGGTGATGTAAACTTTATGGGTTTTGACAGTGGGTCACTTTCATTCTCTTAACAGTGTCTTCCAGAGTGATGCTTTTAATTTCAATTAAGCATCTATTTGTTTTTTCATTTATCTTTTATATGTCATATATCACAAAACTCAGGACCACATAGACTTTCTCTTGCTTTTACCTGGAAATTTTATAGTTTTGCAATTTGCATTTAGGCTTATGGTTCATTTCCCTGCGTATGAATATTCAATGGTTCCAGAACCACACTTTGAAAAGACTATCTTTCCTCTATTGAATTGCATTGCTCCATTGTTTGAAAAATCAATTGACAATATTTGTGTGAATCTATTTCTTGATTCTCTATTTCTGTTCCCATTGATGTATGTGTCTATTCTTTGCCAATTATAGATAGAATTTTAAGTTTCTAAAAGCAAAGGGCCAATGTCCAAATTTTCTTTCCTCATCCAAATTTTGTGCATATCACTATCTGTGTATCTTTATCTCTCAAAGGAAATATTAAGAGTGGGAAGAATGGGTGACTAGAATCTAGGAGGTGAGTATTGTGACTATTCAACAGCTTAACATCCCCTGAGTGTGGGTATAGTAGGATAAGATAAGATCACAGGTGTCTGAGTCAGGGCACAGAACAGAGTTCTGTACAATATATCTTCCTATAAGTTTTCTGTTGTTTAATTGGAAGCCACCACTTTTTAAAACAATTTTGTTTTACCGGAAACTATTTTATTGTTAGCTAAGTGTTCTATCCAGATTTTGGTACGAGGATGACTCATATGTTTCCTACTCATCATTTTTCTGACTTTCGGAAATTTTACCAGGATGCTAGGTAAAGCCGGTAAGGTTTGACAGTCAGACGTTTTTGTAAACCAGATATAGTCAGAGAGACTGTGTAAAGATGGAAAAACTATTTTTAAGGATAATGTAATATAGTAAGTATATAGATTCTTTCATGTTGGGGGCTCAGTCAGGCTGGTGGGAAAAATATTAGATAGTTATAGTAATAGCCACAAACCATCTTGGAAGGTCAGAGAGTTAGCATAACTTCAGTTATAGATATGGTTGAAGGTGACCTGCTTTACCTTTAGTTAAATAAATTAAAGTAATAACAAATGAATGTGGCGAAGTTATCTAGCTAGCTTGTTTACTCACGTGGTCTTAAGACTAACCTTTGATATACCATGTGTGCTTAAGTGCTTTCCACTCGCGAAGTCCACAATGTCAATTACCCCCTAGTTTCACTGACTCAAGTCTTTGTCAATTAAACTTTACCGATAAATGCGAGTCTCAATAGCTGGTCAGGGCCACAGTTGCAACTGTTCACAAAGCTCTACTGGAGTCTGTAAGTGGCTCAGAAACCCAGCTTCGGCTGGACTGGCAATGCAGAATATCTGTGTGTCAGTGTACTTCATGCATCCATTGTGGGGTCAAATGTCTGCAAAAGACAGATCCTCGAAGCTGGTGTCACCATGTAAAAAGTGCTACAAGAGCTTCCTTTATTTTCTTTCTTTATTTTTTCCTTCCTTCCTTCCTTCCTTCCCTCCTTCCTTCCTTCCTTCCTCCCTCCTTCCCTTGCTGCCTTCCTTGCTTCTTCCCCTCTTCTTTCTTTCTTTTCTTTTCTTTCTTTCTTTCTTGTCTTTCTTTCTTGTCTTTCTGTCTTTTTTATTTCTTCTTTCTTTTTCTTTTTTTTCTTTTCTTTTCTTTCGTTTTTTTTTTTTTTTTTTTTTTTTTTTTTGGTGGGGAGTAAAATGGCATCTAGTTGTGTCACCCAGGCTGGAGTGTAGTCATGTCATCTCAGCACACTACAAACTTCACTTCCCAAGTTCAAGTGGTTATCATGCCTCAGCCTCAAGAGTAGCAGGGATAAAAGGCACTTGCCACCACACCTCACAAATTTTTGAATTTTTGGTAGAGATGGGGTTTCACTGTTCTGCCCAGGCTGATTTAAAACGTTAGACCTTCAGTGGTCCTCCTCCTTCAGCCTCCCAAACTCCTGGGATTGCAAGCATGAGGCATTGTTCCTGGCCCATACATTATTCCTTAATATCACTTGAAGCCATACATTTTCTTTTGAAGTAACAATTAAGTAATAGATACCTGCTATATACTTTAGAATTATGCTGTTCATTATGGTAGTCACTGTGCATATGTAGCTAACTAAATGTAAGTTAAAAATTTATTCAGTTATATTAGCTACATTTCAGTTGCTCAATAGCCACATGAGACCAACAGTTACCACATTAAACAGTATAGATAAAGACATCTCCACCATCACAAAGAGTTACTCTGGATCATGCTTAGAGCACAGAATATAGAATCACTTACCATACTGAATTTCAGTAGGGATGGTCTAGTGTGCAGGCAGCCTAGAAAGTCTTGTTGTTCAATTTGTGTATCTTCTGCTAACATTATTACAATGAAACTTGGCAATTAAGTCACGGAGTCAATGGCTGGCAGAAAGTATGTACTCAAATGATTAAGTTCTGAATCAATGGATGAATGAATAAATGTCTCTGTCAGGATGATAGAAATGCATGCAACAGACAAAATCCCAAGGGGGTAGCAACACAAAAAGAATATTACTAATTCACAGATTATTTTAAAAGACCTAAGGGATAACTTAGAATAAAGTGCAAGTTGCCAGCTTATGTTTATGCTACAAAGCCCATTATCAAGTCTAACCAATGATCTGGAACCCACAGTAGTTACAAACTTCATAAAAGTTTTATATAAAGGCCAAAATTTAGTCAACTAATCAGATCTGTGCAAACATTTAAGAATAAAAGTAATATTACATATTACTAAACATGTATTTTCTTCTTTAATGACATATTAATACATTTAATACTCTATCAGTTGTACATGAGAGGCATACTTAGTATACAAGACAATTGGCTTAAAAGTCAGTTTTTTGAGGGTTTTTTTTTTTTTTAGAAATGTTCCCAACAGTGGATATTTTTACAAACAGTATCTTTCAGTGTCTGTAGGACCCTTGGTACTGTCTGAAGTTTTCTTATTTGACTATATAAAAGTTATTACAAAAATGAAAATATGGGAACTGCAGAACATGTGAACTATTGTTTAAAAAGTAAGATATGGTCAGCAGGAAAAACATGTAATTTAAATGAACTTAAATTCCTTACTCTTCTTCCTCAAAATTAGCTTAATTCTTTTATAAGAAAAAAGTACTAGAAAAATTTTGCAATAGTTTACAAAGTTGCATGCTTCTACCTTTTTGATTTTCTTTATGAAATCCTGAGACCTGTTAAAAAAACCATTTTACCTTTATAAAGCTATTCACTTATCATTAACAAACCAAAGTAGATTATAGAAACTAAGTAATCTAACAATGATTTGTAGAAACTGGAAGTAGGGTGATTTTTTATTGAGTGTAATCAATACTGCAAAGTAAATACCTTAAAAAAATAAAAGGTTACTAATCAGACATAGTTTTATAGCAGTGTTTAAATGAAACAATATAATATGTTTATGAATATGAGATTAAGAGACAACTTTCAGAAAAAATAAGATTATGACCATGCTAACAAAGCAAAATTAAAGCTCTTTCTTACACTGTTAAATTACAAATCATATTGAGGTCAAAATAATAAAAAATTTTTCTTGATCATGTACTTAACCTCTAAGTATTTCACATCAAAGGTCATTCAGTTACAATTTTTTAAAAGTAGTGTTTAAAAATGTAAACAAACTAAATTTTCACTGTCCTTAAAATCATAATTAAACTGCACTTACAATACTGTTAAACAGACATTTTGGACAGCTGTTTATATATATTCCTACTGCAGTATGTATCAGTAATTATGTCAACTCTGAGAACACTGACGTGTTTTCAGCTGGATTTCCTTTAAAGAAAATATTTGAGTGGGTAATTTATATTAGCAGAAGCCATTAAGTTGTTTGAGTGGGATTAATTCCTGTTATAACCATTATACAATTGGTAAATACACAATAAGTAGAAGTATAGAGTGATTAGAAAGTTAGAGAAAGATGTATCAAAAATGAATTTCAGGCAAGGCACAGTGCCCCACAGTTATAATTACAGCACTTGGGCAGGCTAAACGGGCAGAATACATGAGCTCATGATTTGAAACAACACTCACCACCATACAAAACCCAGTCTACCAAAAAAAAAAAAAAAAAAATAGCAGAAAGTGGTGTGCACCTGTAATCCCAGCTGCTTGAAAGTGTGTAGTAGTATAATTGCTTGAATCTGGGAGCAGATGTTGCAGTCACCTGAGAATATGCCATTGCACTTCAGTCTTGATGACAGAGCGAGACCCTGCTTCTAAAAATTAAATATGTATACAAATACATTCATATTGCCGGTAAGTAAAATTTGGTTGCTCATGAAGAAACTCAGCATACTTAAAGTTTTCATTCAAATACTGTACTAAGGCCAGGCATTGTGGCTCACATCTGTAATTCCAGCACGTTTGGAGGCCGAGGCAAATGGATTACTTGAGATCAGCAGTGTGAGACCAACCTGGCCAGGATGGTGAAAACCCACCTCTACTAGAAATACAAAAATTAAACAGGTGCTTGGGCAAGTACTTGTAATCCCAGGTACTTGGGAGACTGAGACAGGATAATCACTTGAACTCGGGAGGTGAAGTTTGCAGACCAAGATCATGCCACTGCACTCCAGCCTGAGCAACAGAGTAATACTCCATCTCAAAGAAAATAAATATGATACTAAGCTTCTCGTGTTCTTAAAACTTTGGAATAGGAAATCTTTATATAATTATAGACAACATAAAGAAAGTAAAAAATATATACACACCACCAAGAGTGAAATTTAATGTTAACTATAGATTTTGGGCAATAATGACATGTCAAGGTAGTTTTATCAATTGTAGCAAATGTACCACCTTGATGCAAAATGTTGACAGTGGGAGAGACTGTGCATGTGTAGGGGCAGTGGGTGTGTAGGAATTCTTTGTACATTTCCATCAACCTCACTGTGAACTAAAAACTTCTCTGAAAAGCAAAGTCTATGAAACATGCACACACACTCACACACACATGCACATATATTTACAGGGAAAAGTTTGCTGCATCTACCTTTAAAATAATAAAGTGGGATGAATGTTCACAATAACGATGAAGAAATATAGTTAAATAATTAGAAATATACTAAAAATAGAATGAAAGTCTTTTTATTATTTGGAAACTTTACAGGTTTTAAGAATTAAATCATTTAAGTTACTTAATTCACTTCTCCACAGCCTGGTTCCTCATCTGTGACAGACAAAACATCTGTTGTGTGTATATCACAGTGCCAAGCTCAGAGCAGACATTCAGCAGGTTGGCAGAGTCTTATCAAACAACACAGAATATAGATAAATCAATTTTAGCTCTTAAACATTTAGAGATTGTAGATCACAATTTTACCAAAGACTAAATATGATACCAAGAAATCAATTTCAAATTTACTACCCACTTGTTATATAACAAATGCATCATATGCAGGTACAATGTAAACTCAAAGAGGAATGAGAAATGGACCTAGTTTAAAAGCAATCCACTATAATGCAGCATGTTACAGTCAGCGAAGAAGAAACTGTCAATAAAAAGTTCAGAAACAGAAAAGGAAATATGTTAGCTTTTATTTTGCTGAACAATTTCTGGAAATAAAACAGAAAGTGAATAGTCATAGCAGCATCTTTGTAAGTTATCAGCCACTAAAGAGTTAGAGGCTGGTAGTAAGAGGGAGTTCCTTTGACATGAAATGGACTGAGGTTGCAATTCTCCATTCAACACAGGGTGCAACCACTCATGAATTAGCTGGTTTTGAGTTTGCGTCTTGCAAGAGAGCAAGGAAGGAAGGAAGAAAGAAAGAAAGGAAGAAAGAGAAGAAGGAAAGAAGGAAGGAAGGAAGGAAGGAAAGAAGGAAGGAAGGAAGTGAGGGAGGGAGAAAGGAAGGAAAGGAGAAAGGAAGAAAGAAGGAAGGAAGGAAGGAAGGAAGGAAGGAAGGAAAGAAGGAAGGAAGGAATAAAGTGAGGGAGGGAGAAAGGGAGGAAAGGAGAAAGGAAGAAAAAAGGAAGGAAGGAAATAAAGAAGGAAGTCAGGCAAGGGAAAAAAAAACTCAGTACGATTGTCTCAGAAGAGATATACCAGATGTAGTACATTCATTAGACAACTCCCTTTTATTTCCATAATGTTTCTAGATCCATGACCAGAAATTAGGAACCCTCCCCTGCACAAGTGAGAAAAGAAGGCCAGTGTGTTCTAGAAAAATATTTCTTTCCTCAGCTTCCACGTGAAACTGGTGGTTAACCAGACCCATTTGCAGACTCTTCACTTCACTTCCCTAGAAACCCATTTCACCAGCTTACACTTGGGATATGAAGTATAGGAAAAAATTCTGCCAGTTCATCACACCTTGTGGAATGCTGGAAAATATAACCAAAATATTCAACAACAAGGGACTGCTATGTATGTTACAAAAATTTCCAAAGATCAGCCTGTTGCCACTAAGAAGGGGCATTTCAAGAAACTTTTAAGGAAACAGAGAAATGCTCACACCATATAATTTAAATTTCAAGCGGATATATACAGAGCATATATACATTTTTAAACGTAAAATATGCCTTTGAAATGCATATTGCAATGAAAACACATTGAGCTAACCCAATTCCTAGCTGTTAATCCAAATATAAACTATACTACCAGATATGTGCTGCTCAAAGGAAATATTCAGGCATTTCACTATAGTTTAAAGATGAAAGTATTCGTTCCCCAAACTATTAAAATAGTACACTAGTATTTTCTATATAGTGTTAATGTCCCTCATCCAAATGTATTACAAACCCTTTTGTTAGTTTAGGAACCTGTAAGCCAATTTATAAAACAGGCCCAATCTTATTAAAATGTGATCATTACACAAATGCTTTCTACTCCTTATTGTCATCTCAATTATTTATTTGAATATTCTCCTTTAATGTGACTCAAATGCAACATTTTCTCAGTGGTTTCAAAGAGACTGTAATATTTCATTATAGAGTATCAAAACTGAAAATCACTGGGTGAATTTAAATGTGAACTACCTGTTACAGGTTACACTTTTAAAAGATATGGAACAGATAAACCTAAATCCGACACTTTGAGTGTGCCCAGTACACCCCAATCCTTCAACATTTGGTGTCGTTTTTTGCACAGCTCATCTTAACTCAACACATCACACATAGGGAGCAAGTTGGACTAGAAGACAAAATGGTTACAGCTTACCTGGGGGGTAGAGGGAAGGTGGACTACTGAAAAAAGACCAGTGGCCTCTGGGGAAGCCCCGAATGTCCTAGTGGGGAAAGAGGTTTTAAGGAACATCAAGGAGACTTCATTTCCACCTGTCCCCGATGAAGGGCAGTTGTGTATTCCTGAGTCATCAGGTGCCAGCTTTCTCCCATCGTCAGCTTCCTCCCAAGTCTCCTCACTCACCCGGCCATATATATAACCGTCCAATTCTAAATTTAAAACCGCCAGCTGTGCCTTGATTTTCTTTATAAAATGTAGTTCTGTGTAGCTACCTCCTCAGGGCCTCTGGGACAAGTGTTCCTTGGAGATTCTTCAAAGGACCCTATTTAAAGCAATGGAAAAATTGAGCAGACCATGAATACACACTCATGCCAATGCAGGTATGTCAGTCATGGCAGCTGTGCCTTGATTTCCTTTATAAAATTTGTCATTCATTAGCAAGTACATATCATGTTTCTTCTGATTTCATTGTGTGTATGTGAATCAGCTGAAGGCCCGGTGAGGCTTCATGAGACTTGTCTTCTAACCCACCTCAGATGTATCTTCCAGGGGTTTGACTAACTCCTTGTTTACTCAATTTCCACCCCATGTTGAGAATTTTACTAGTCACCACATATCAGTATGAATTTGGCCTTCCATGTTATTCTAGATAATATTAATTGAGCATGTCCTGTGAGTCAGACATTGTGCTGGGTACTTTACTGGAAGGTGTTACAAAGTTACCACTATTCCATAAAGGAGAAGACCAACAATAGATGATGGGCTCCCTCTGGTCACATTGCAAGTAATTAGCAGAGCTATCTGGAACCTAACTTCCTTGGATTTTAAATCCCTTGTGTTAAAAGTACACACAGTTGGGTTACCATTGATTATATCCACCCACGTTCCCACCCATCCATTATTCATCTATATTTTAATTATCTGCACTAGAAGAAATGAAATCGCTTATATTTTCCCCAGTTTCTCATAGATTTATTTCTTTTGTTAATCTGTTATTTTTTTTTTTTTTTTTTTTTTTTTTTGGTCAGGGTATTTCAGCTTACTGCTGCCTTGAGCCCTGCTGGGATCAGGTGATTCTCCCCTGTCAGACTCCAGAGTAGCTGGGACTACAGGCACACACCAACTCACCCAGCAAGTTTTAGTATTTCTGTAGAGATGTATTTTTTGTAGAGATGTATTTCTTCTTTCATGTTGTTGCCTTGGCTGGTCTCAAACTCCTGGGCTTAATCAGGCTGCCTGCCTCAGCCCTCCAATGTGCTGGAGTTACCGGCATGAGCAATCACACCTGCCCCAATCTGTTAAACTTAGTTTTAAGATCTCTCAGTGCCTCAGAATGTTTTCCTTTATGGATTATTTATTCCATCTTTTATAGAATACGAAACTTTCTTTCTTAGAAATTGGCGTATGACGAGGCATATCATAGTCTCTTTTATTAGCAAAGACATATATTTATAGCACACATAGTTCAGGGAGAAAGAAGACAAATGGAGCACAAAGGGCTACATTGCCTCTCTTTTCTCGGTGAGTGACATGAGGGACAGTTGGTTTTAGCTTCCGCCAACGGATGTCTTATGGAAATTTCTAAGGCAAGCTAATTAATTCCTTCATCTTCTCACCACTCTATGGTCCTTAACTTACCGTCTACCTCTGTTAAGCTTTTTTTAAGTGTCAGTGCTTCTGCTAACGGGTCCAGTCCAAGTGAAGCCTAGCTTACTCCACCAGACACTCAGGATCCCTTGAGCTGAATGTGCCGTGCTTTCAGATCATGAGAATGTTGTCTGTGATTTTATCTCAGAGATCTTTTAGTTTTCGTATGGAAACACATAAGATTCTACAAGAAATACCACAGTTATATGCTTTGTTTATTCCAGAAGCCACATATCTTCACTAGTATGCGGGAAATGGTGACAAGTTTAGTGGCATCATTCAGGTTTAAGTTAGAAAGCAAAACAGAAGAATTTTACACTTCTCATTAGTCACATTTAAATTTCAGTATTGACTGCTAAAAATATATACTATTTTTTACTTCATCAGGAGCCACATATTTAAGACCATGTCTAGGAGCTTCTACTTTGTAATTGTTGGCCACCATGATAATCCAGTTTTTGAAAGGGAGGTTTTGCCAGCTGGGAAGGCAGAATCCAAAGTACGTGTGGAAGCTTAAATTTCATAAGAATTTTTATTCTATTGTAATAATATAGTGTAACATAATTTAAATGAAATCCAACACAATTAAATAAGGCTTACTCTGGAGTCCCAGAGCCTGATAGAAGCCAGCTGGGGAGTATCCTATGAGTCGTTTATGTATACTTTATTTCAGCACAGACTAGCATGACCTCTGACTTTCCCATGATATTCAGTTCACTGTGTCACCGACCATGAATTGCTGCTGCTTCAGCACTTAAAAACCTAGTCCACATGTAGCAAGTTGTGGCCTTGAAATGTCATCCATGAATGTTTAGGCAGTTTTCATGAATCCCGTTTTCCCATCAGGACCTATGGGGTAAAAAAGACGTTCAGTGACCCCTAGCAGCACTTCCTGGCTGGTCATACATGCATGCTTTCCTCCCCAGTGACCACCATGGCCCTGCACAGGAAGCTCAAAAGCAGCACCAGAGGTGATGACACTGACTTTCTTGTCAACAATGTTTCCAGAAACCAGGCTTGTCTCGAGAACATGTTGCCATTTGGAGGAAACAGGCTGGTAGATTTTTTATATAAGAGCCCAGTCCTTTCCAATTTATGTTTCTAATACGTTGCTGTCATGTTTGCACTGTTTCTCTCAAGCACCTAAGTCAGATTTAATGACCTTTAAGGAACTGACATGGTAAGTTACTTGCAATGTATAATGTTAATGTGTGTGATATTTTTCAACTATTGAGGACCTGTCACCAAAATATGATAGACAGAATTATATGACAGGTGTTGTTGTGACATTATTTTTTCATATTATGAGAACACTACTCATTAAAACTTGTTTTGAGTAGTTGTAGCAGTATTGCTTTCTGGGATGCAGCTATTTGTATATATGTTCTGTGCACTCCACTGGCCCTCTAGTAAACAAAGGAGCACACATAAAAATAATTTGTTGCATATATTGATTTTATTTCTTTCTCCTGCTACCATTCACCTCGTTAAGGCATTTTCACAATTTGCTCTTGATCTTTCAGTATTGATCATTACTGTAAAAGAAACCACTGTGGGATTGAGACAGAAAAACATCCATTTATCTAAGGATTCACTTAGGTTTGTTGTGATGACATGAGTGAAGTAAAACATGCTTTAGATGTCTGAGGGATTTGGGGGCATTTGGCCACCCTCTTCCAGCCCAGGATTGGGAACAGCTTCCTTGGCGAGGAGGCTCTCTCTGTTTCCTGTGCCTGTTGTAACAAAGTACCAAAAATTTAGTGGCTTTGGACAGCAGAAATTTATTGCCTCATTTCTGAGGGCCACTGTCTAAAATCAAGGTGTCAGTGGTGCCATGCTTCCTATGTGGGTCCTCAGGTAAAATCTGTTTGGTTTATCTCTCAGCTTCTGGAATTTCCCTGGCTTGTGGCAATGTAACGCCAGTCTTCCTGTGTCATTTTTCTCCCTGTGTGCATCTCCAAATGCTCCCTTTTTCTATATACATGAGTGGTTTTATTAGGGGCCCACCCCACTCTAAAATGACCTCTTCTGAAATAATGACATGTACATGTAAACTCTCTTTCTCAGTGAGGCCACATTCTATGGTACTGCCCCTTTGGACATCAACAAAGGAATTTTGGAGAGAAGACACTTCAACCTGTAACTGAGGTGTTATTTTAAAACTATATTTTTAAAGAAATAATTACATTGGTGTAAGATTACATTCCAAGTTGTGAATTTCTTCTTCATATCATGGTCAGACAGTTCCACCTCCTGTTAACTTTAGCCATTTCAGCCCAGGAAAAGGACACCCCCAGCTCTAACAAAACTTTTTCCTTTTGATGACACAGATGACTGCTCACAGTCGGGGCTGGGCATCATCTCTAACTACGCCCAGGACCGGCTACCATGTTAACTACATGCACTGAATAAAGGCATCTGTAGCCCTTCCAAGTGTCATTTCAACTGTCTGTAGTGCTTACCTGGTGATACCTGGTGCTAATTTGCATAAAGCCCAGCCCTCTCAGCTTCCTCTCAGACCTTGAGGCCTGGTGTGAATGGCACCTCTTCTCCACAGGATATGTGTATGTGTGTGTGTGTGTGTGTCTATGTGTTCTGTGTGTATGTGTTTGTGTATCATTTATTAATTGACTGTTTCTGTTCTTTGAGTTTTAGATATGAAATTTAAAAATAGAATATAATGTGAAAACAGATCTCTCGTATGTCTCTTGACAATAACAAACACAGTAAAATTAAACTGTTTTTTTTTTTCCTGCATGCACAAAACAATCTATAGGATTTACAGAATGAAATGTTGGCATTCTTCATTCCATGTGGGTATGTTAATCTGTTGTTGCTCACACTGTCATTTACAACCACTGACGTCATCTGCACCAGTTCATAGGCCATGCTGCTCTCGACCTCATAGATGAGAACATGTGACTTTTGAACATGTACTTGAAAACTGTAGGCAAGTCCAGAAACTGGTTTGTGTCAGTATTCATTACTCCAGGGCATACCTTTACCTTTTTAGTAAAGATAATTAACTAAAGTTTGGGTTCACAAACTAGAAGAACATGTAACACAGATGCCAGGCTCTGACACTGTACACGACACAATTTGTATGCATGTAAAAGTTTCCATTTATGGGGCTACTTTTTTTTATTAGGGGAGAAAATATTTTGTTGAACAGCTAATTTTTAAACTAAGTTGCATACACACCAAAAAGTTTATCTGAATCATATCGAGGGTGATGTTACCTTATTTTGTAGTTATTTTTTCATTTACAATGCTTATATTCACTTTCTGATACAACTAAGATAATTTTAAACACAGGTAATGTATTCAACTCTTCCATCAGAAATACGTGGCACATGACCAGTTTGAAGACTATTATATCAATGAACTGGTTGCTTTTTGTTTTTTATTTATAAGGAAAATATTGCCTTATTTATGTCACATATGAGATTTATTATGCTTCATGGCAAGAAGATGGAATAAATCACATCTTTACTGATGTTTATGATTTACATATAAAAGTAAGGCATGTTCTATAATTTTTAAATTTTAAAATCTGATGATAGAATAAAGGATTCAATTTCTGTCAGGAAACTGGCCTTTTCAAGTAACTTCCTTACGCTGCACAGCTTACCTTTCAGAGGGCCTTTTCTCATCAGAACTATCTCTGTCAACTCCCTTGGCAAGCAAGTCTTCAGAGCCAGTCAAATGGGTATTTAGGAACACAACTTATGATAGTAATTAGTAGAATATTCTGGAGGCAAATTGTTTTTATATTTTCCCTCTTAGTGTTCATAGTTGATTTTATTAGCGAACTCTAAAGAGAGCAAGGAAGCAGCCTATATAAGGGAAAACTAATTAAAATTTAATCTGAAATGTTTCCATCTGCTTTCAAATAAGTTGCTGTGCTATTAATAGAGATCATGAACTGGCAGGAATTGAGTTTTCCATGATCAAATACTCAATCTAGAATAATGGTGCCACTTGTTTATTTGGTTTGTTTGTGATTTTATTGCTGTTGTTGTTGTGATGAAGTCTCGTTCTGTTGCCCAGGCTGGAGTGCAATGGAATGATATTTGCCTCACGGTTTCAAGTGTCTCTCCTGGCTCAGTCTCTGGAGTAGCTGGGACTACAGGCCCCAACACCATGTGTGCTGAATTTTTGTATTTTTAGTAGAGACAGGGATTCACCATGTTAGCCAGACTGGTCTCAAACTCCTGACCTCAGGTGATTTACCCACCTCGGCTTTCCGAAGCCCTGAGGTTACAGGTGTGAGCCACGGAGAATGTCCTAGGTGGTTGATTTTAATGTAACAATCCAAAAATAAATGTCAGAGTCAAGATTTGGTAGATAGATTTAAAACTAACATATTCTGCAGCTGGGAATGAAATGTGATAGCACATACATTCACAGTAATTCATTTATACATTTAGAGATGTTATAAAAATGTATAGGCAGTATACACAGCAGGAGTCAAGAAGCCAAGGAAACATGTGTGCTGTGCTAAGTGTTGCATATATGCTTCTGCCAGTGGCTAGGAATAGTGGTCCTGCTGATGATTTCCTTTCCCTCAGAGAGTAAACCGTTGATACTCATACTTGCAAAAAGTTGTAAGGCAGTTTTTAGGAGAGTTGCCAAAGATAATCCAGGATTACATTAACATTTGTGCTCAGCCATTTAGATGTGTCAAAAGCCTCTATTTATATATTTATATATTTATTTATTTTATATTTTTATTATACTTTAAGTTTTAGGGTACATGTGCACAGTGTGCAGGTTTGTTACATATCTATACATGTGCCATGTTGGTGTGCTGCACCCATTAACTCATCATTTAACATTAGGTACATCCCCTAATGCTATCCCTCCCCCTCCTCCCCTCACCCCACAACAGGCCCCAGGGTGTGACATTCCCCTTCCTGTGTCCATGTGTTCTCATTGTTCAATTCTCACCTATGAGTGACAACATGCTGTGTTTGGTTTTTTGTCCTTGTGATAGTTTGCTGAGAATGATGATTTCCAGCTTCATCCATGTCCCTACAAAGGACATGAACTCATCATTTTTTATGGCTGAATACTATTCCATACTGTACATGTACCACATTTTCTTAATCCAGTCTATCACTGTTGGACATTTGGGTTGGTTCCAAGTCTTTGCTGTTGAGAATAGTGCCACAATAAACATACATGTGCATGTGTCTTTATAGCAACATGATTTATAATCCTTTGGGTATATACCCCATAATGGGATGGCTGGGTCAAATGGTATATTTCTAGTTCTAGATCTGTGAGGAATCACCATACTGACTTCCACAATGGTCGAACTAGTTTAACGTCCCATCAACAGTGTAAAAGTGTTTCTATTTCTAAACGTCCTCTCCAGCACCTGTTGTTTCCTGACTTTTTAATGATCGCCATTCTAACTGGTGTGAGATGGTATCTATTTTGGTTTTGATTTGCATTTCTCTGATGGTCAGTGATGATGAGCATTTTTTCATCTGTCGTTTGGATGCATAAAAGTTTTTTAGAGAAGTGTCTGTTCATATCCTTCGCCCACTTTTTGATGGGGTTGTTTTTTTCTTGTAAATGTGTTGGAGTTCATTGTAGCTTCTGCATTCTGGATATTAGCCCTTTGTCAGATGAGCAGATTGCAAAAAGTTTCTCCCATTCTGTAGGTTGCCTGATCACTCTGATGGTAGTTTCTTTTGCTGTGCAGAAGCTCTTGAGTTGAATTAGATCCCATTTGTTAATTCTGGCTTTTGTTGCCATTGCTTTTGGTATAAGGTGTAAGGAAGGGATCCAGTTACAGTTTCCTACATATGGCTAGCCTCTTTTCCCAGCACCATTTATTGAATGGGGAATCCTTTCCCCATTGCTTATTATTGTCAGGTTTGTCAAAGATCAGATAGTTGTAGATATGCGGCATTATTTCTGAGGGCTCTGTTCTGTTCCATTGTTCTATATCTCTGTTTTGGTACCAGCACCATGCTGTTTTGGTTACTGTAGCCTTGTAGTACAGTTTGAAGTCAGGTAACGTGATGCTGCCAGCTTTGTTCTTTTGGCTTAGGATTGACTTAGCAATGAGGGCTCTTTTTTGGTTCCATATGAACTTTAAGGTAGTTTTTTCCAGTTCTGTGAAGAAAGTGATTTGTAGCTGGATGGGGATGACATTAAATCTATAAATTACCTTGGGCAGTATGGCCAGTTTCACGATATTGATTCTTCCTCCCCATGAGCATGGAATGTTCTTCCATTTGTTTGTATCTTCTTTTATTTCATTGAGCAGTGGTTTGTAGTTCTCCTTGAAGAGGTCTTTCACATCCCTTATAAGTTGGATTCCTAGGTATTTTATTCTCTTTGAAGCAATTGTGAATGGGAGTTCACTCATGATTTGGCTCTCTGTGTGTCTGTTATTGGTGTATAAGGATGCTTGTGATTTTTGCACACTGATTTTGTATCCTGAGAGTTTGCTGAAGTGGCTTATCAGCTTAGGGAGATTTGGGGCTGAGATGATGAGGTTTTCTAGATACACAATCATGTCATCTGCAAACAGGGACAATTTGACTTCCTCTTTTCCTAATTGAATACCATTTACTTCTTTCTCCTGCCTGATTGCCCTGTCCAGAACTTCCAACACTATGTTGAATAGGAGTGGTGAGAGAGGGGATCCCTGTCTTGTGCCAAGTTTCAAAGGGAATGCTTCCAGTTTTTGCTCATTCAGTATGATACTGGCTGTGGATATGTCATCAATAGCTCTTATTAGTTTGAGAACATTCCATTCAATACCTAATTTATTTAGAGATTTTAGCATGACTCGCTGTTGAATCTTGTCAAAAGTCTTTTCTGCACCTGTTGAGATTATCATGTGGTTTCTGTCACTGGTTCTGTTTATATGCTGGATTACATTTATTGATTTGCATATGTTGAACCAGACTTGCATCCCAGGGATGAAGCCCAGTTGATCATGGTGAATAAGCTTTTTGATGTGCTGCTGGATTCAGTTTATCAGTATTTTATTGAGGATTTTTGCATCAATGTTCATCAGGGATATTGATCTAAAATTCTCTTTTTTTGTTGTTGTGTCTCTGCCAGGCTTTGGTATCAGGATGATGCTGGCCTAGTAAAATGAGTTAGAGAGAATTCCTTCATTTTCTATTGATTGGAATAGTTTCAGAAGGAATGGTACCAGCTCCTCCTTGTACCTCTGGTAGAATACAACTTTGACTTTTTTTGGTTTGTAAGCTATTAATTATTGCCTCAATTTCAGAGCCTGTTATTGGTCTATTCAGAGATTCAGCTTCTTCCTGGTTTAGTCGTGGGAGGGTGTATGTGTGGAGGAATTTACCCATTTCTTCCAGAATTTCTAGTTTATTTGTGTAGAGGTGTTTATAGTATTCTCTGATGGTAGTTTATATTTCTGTGGGATTGGTGGTGATATCATCTCTATCATTTTTATTGCATCTAAAAGGCCTCTATTTAAAGCAATTTTAAAAAGTTTAGCAGACCATGAATACACACTCATATCAAGATAGGTACTTTGGTCACAGCAGTTGCTTTATTTGTATTATATATTGGAATTCTCAGTAATGCTTGTTTTGTAGGTGAAGGGAAGTCGGAGGAAGTCACAGAACCTTTATAAAACTTTTGGAATTGGCCTGTACATGGTGGATCATGCCTGTAATCTCAGCATTTTGGGAGGCTGAGGTGATACACCAGTAAAGGCTGGCAATGGTCTCCTTGTTTCCTATAATGTCTTACTTTAAAATAGGCAATATCCATTGAATATCAGGTCATACAGCCTGTGCTAATGGTGAGCACTTGAACCATTTTGTTCCATTCTGAATTATCTTTAAGCGAGTAATTGCCAATTTTTGTCTTGTGTCCTTGTGTGAAATAGCTACCAACATTTTTACCCTACTTATTTGATTTTTAAAATAAACATGTTTGTTCAAGATTGTTTAAAATGAATGTTTGTTCAAGATTAATTTTTTAAGTGCTACCCAAAACAGTTGTTTTTGTCCTATTTCCCCTGTTAGTATTGTGCAAACTAATATGATTTCTTAACCTGTTATACAGCACTCATATTGAAACAAACCAAATTCCAGATCTGTGGGTGCAGAAAAATGTAAGACACATCTGGAAATCTGGGAGTCATTTCAACAAACATGTAATTTTCCATACAGATTTTTCTGCCCTCAATGAGCATATAATCCCAAGGGTTATGTTGAAATCCAGCCAAAAGCAGCAGGATGAGTGACAGCAGGAAGATGTGGCTCAGCTGCACAACAGTGGCACATTGATAAGAGTCTTTTTTCCACACTAATGAAGTTGAGGTAGACACTAGTAATCCAAGTCCTGGGTGTGTATGAGTAAAGTTAAGTGACAAATTTCATGTGTGACAAATTTTTTGATGGAGCTGGAAGGAAAGTGGAGCATTAAGTAGGACCTTCAATGTGGGCTACAGATAAAAGTATTGCAGGCATGAAGGTTTGAAGGAGAGCACTCCTGGGGGCACATGGGTAGAACTGTTAGCTGATTGATAGGAGCTGATCATGAGGAAAGATAAGCTGGCAAAGCTGGGATCTTGCAGTAGATTTCCCTTGAAGGCTCCTTAACATAAGAACAATGAAATGAAATCAGTCTTAAAATCAGGCTCCCCTTAGCATGTGTATGTTAGTACTGAGTTGTTTATCTGCTTTCGTACTCCAAAAGTGATCCAGAAGAAATGTGCATATGAAGTTTTTTCCTCTTGCTATAGCCAGAAACTTCCCAGGATACTTCCTTTGGCATGGACATAGATACTGTCAATCCCTGTTTTGCCCATGCTGTACTTGTGATCTTTAACTTTTCAGTCACTTTAACACTCCCTGGTTGTCAGTCCAGAGTTCCAGAAAGCACTGACTGCCCAGATTCCACCTTTCGCTGGGTACCACACTGGTGTGTTTCCCTACTTATCAGTTTACTACTCTACATGACATGTTTATTGTGAGAAAACTTACATGGTGGTGTCATAATATAAAAGTGAAAACAGGTTTGTACAGAAACATAAATAGTTTTCTTCTAAGACAAGAAACAGTATAAATATTTTATCTTCAGCTAGGAAACTTTTCCCAATGATGAAAATTAACAAAAATATTTATTTGATTGTAATGGAATTGTAATTTTCTATCCTCTACTCAGCACATTGTAATTGTTACAGAAGTTATTAAATGTACATTTGTCTATTCTCCAAGTTCTGTAGTTAGCCTTTTTCTATAATCCGAACTTTCTCTATGGAAAAGCTTTCCATTCATAGCTCAAGTCTAGCTAAATATATGACATAATGTATGGAGCAACTTCTGCACCACTGGGAACCACACTTCCTTCAAACTATGGAGCATCATCTCTGGTTCTTCTGTCCAAGGTGGCTCTGCAGCTGCTTCTCACTGCTCCTGCTGCTACACTCAACACCTGCTTTGTTCTTCTATCATTTTCTATTGTATTTTTTATTAAATATTTCCAGATGGCAATATTGAGTGAGGCCAGGAAGAGAAATGTTTTGATGTAATTTTTCAAAACTCCCCTCCCTATGTGAAAGCCACCTCCCCTCACCCAGCATGTCCTTTGATACCCCCATCACTCCCCAGTTGCAGGTCTCATCCACATTCATTCCAAGCTTCAGTTAACTTCCATAGAATCAGATAGTCACCAATTGCACAGAATATGAACATCCACAAGAGGCCACAATTTGCTTTATCAAGTCTGATCATTGCAGCAAGGATTTTTTTGAAACAAACACAAAAAACCTCGAGAGCAATTCACTAAACAATGTTCCGTATTAGAGGAGACACTAAGTAAATACATGGCCTAATAAAGATGTCTTGATTCACCCTCTGACAAAGTACAATCCTTCTTAGTATTTCCTTTGAAAGTGATAAAATTAGCTTGTGTCTTGTGTTAAAAAGGAATGGATTAACTTGAACTAGAAGACTTTCCAGAGGGGTCAAGAATGTGACACAAATATTAACTATCCCATTAGTGGAATTGTCAGTTTGTATCCTCCACACACACGTTATAATTGTTAAATCAGTTATCAAATGCAAATTTGTCTTTTCTCCAAGTTCAGTAGTTAGCCTTTTTCTGAAAACTGAACTCTGTATGGAAAGATTTTTTAGTCATAGACAGCTCGAATTTAGCTGCGTGTGTGACAGACTGTATGAAGCAACTCTTTTACTACTATTGGCCCTTCATCCTCCTGGGGCTGTGAAACATGATCTATTGTGGTAGAAGTTCATTAATGGCACACAAATGATGAGTAATTGCTAGCGAGAGTAATCCTAATGATATGTAGAATGAAAATAAAAAATGTGAAGTAATTTTGGAAAGGATAAAGAAGTAAATTAAATAAGAATGCATTGCAAATACATTAGATTCATATCTAACATTATTGCTTTAGGAAATCGTTATCTTTCACCAAGAATAGAATGCTAATTGTATAAAAATCATATACATACAAAAGTATTTTCCCATTTTTCCAGGAAAAAAATCTGAGTATAAATTCTAGAGTAGTCAAGTTTCTTATTTTAATTATAATTTAAGTTTTGGTCATCTCATTTATTAGCTCTCTATTTGCATATGTAAATCAAGCAATGTTTTCAGAAAACCATTACAATTTATAAATGTAAGGTGCCATTATTGAGAAAATATATTCCTCCATGAGTGAATGTGTCCCTTCTCCCACCCACTAATGATACAATAATATAGACTCACTGAATTGTATTAGTAAAGTAATACACTGCTACAAACACTAATTCTCTTCTCCAAGTACGTGTTGATTTTCTTTATACATGTGAGTTGGTTAGAATGCATCTGCCTTATCTCTAACACTCAACAGAAAGATGAGCAAGGCTTGGGGTTTAGGTGAAGGTCGACCATGCCTTTGTGCATCAAGTGATCTGACATATCCTCAGTTGCACGAATGTTTTGAAACCCTTCCTCAAAGGCTGCTGCTGCATTTGTGGCATCTTTTGCACTTTTGACAAAGTAAGGATAGTCACTGTTCTCACTGCATAAGCTTCACTTCTTCTATGAACACCTGCCATTGGATTATGCCAGTCTAGGAATCCAGAATCACAAAAGGAACGCTCTCGGGTTCTTCTACCTCTGCATAACTTATGAACTCTTTCTTCCAGTTAGTTAAGTTCTGGAACCTTGTAAATCACTTATACTAAAAGTAAGCAGACAACTCTCAGAATGTCTGTAAAATGGCTGTCCAGGAGCTGGTTTTTTGAAAGGATCAACAAAATTGATAGACCGCTAGCAAGACTAATAAAGAAAAAAAGAGAGAAGAATCAACTAGACACAATAAAAAATGATAAAGGGGATATCACCACCGATCCCACAGAAATACAAACTACCATCAGAGAATATTACAAACACCTCTACGCAAATAAACTAGAAAATCTAGAAGAAATGGATACATTCCTCGACACATACACCCTCCCAAGACTAAACCAGGAAGAAGTTGAATCTCTGAATAGACCAATAACAGGCTCTGAAATTGGGGCAATAATCAATAGTTTACCAACCAAAAAGAGTCCAGGACCAGATGGATTCACAGCCGAATTCTACCAGAGGTACAAGGAGGAACTGGTACCATTCCTTCTGAAACTATTCCAATCAATAGAAAAAGAGGGAATCCTCCCTAACTCATTTTATGAGGCCAGCATCATTCTGACACCAAAGCCGGGCAGAGACACAACCAAAAAAGAGAATTTTAGACCAATATCCTTGATGAACATTGATGCAAAAATCCTCAATAAAATACTGGCAAACCGAATCCAGCAGCACATCAAAAAGCTTATCCACCATGATCAAGTGGGCTTCATCCCTGGGATGCAAGGCTGGTTCAATATATGCAAATCAATAAATGTAATCCAGCATATAAACAGAACCAAAGACAAAAACCACATGATTATCTCAATAGATGAAGAAAAAGCCTTTGACAAAATTCAACAACCCTTCATGCTAAAAACTCTCAATAAATTAGGTATTGATGGGACGTATTTCAAAATAATAAGAGCTATCTATGACAAACCCACAGCCAATATCATACTGAATGGGCAAAAACTGGAAGCATTCCCTTTGAAAACTGGCACAAGACAGGGATGCCCTCTCTCACCACTCCTATTCAACATAGTGTTGGAAGTTCTGGCCAGGGCAATCAGGCAGGAGAAGGAAATAAAGGGTATTCAATTAGGAAAAGAGGAAGTCAAATTGTCCCTGTTTGCAGACGACATGATTGTTTATCTAGAAAACCCCATCGTTTCAGCCCAAAATCTCCTTAAGCTGATAAGCAACTTCAGCAAAGTCTCAGGATACAAAATCAATGTACAAAAATCACAAGCATTCTTATACACCAACAACAGACAAACAGAGAGCCAAATCATGGGTGAACTCCCATTCACAACTGCTTCAAAGAGAATAAAATACCTAGGAATCCAACTTACAAGGGATGTGAAGGACCTCTTCAAGGAGAACTACAAACCACTGCTCAAGGAAATAAAAGAGGACACAAACAAATGGAAGAACATTCCATGCTCATGGGTAGGAAGAATCAATATCGTGAAAATGGCCATACTGCACAAGGTAATTTACAGATTCAATGCCATCCCCATCAAGCTACCAATGACTTTCTTCACAGAATTGGAAAAAACTACTTTAAAGTTCATATGGAACCAAAAAAGAGCCCGCATTGCCAAGTCAATCCTAAGCCAAAAGAACAAAGCTGGAGGCATCACACTACCTGACTTCAAACTATACTACAAGGCTACAGTAACCAAAACAGCATGGTACTGGTACCAAAACAGAGATATAGATCAATGGAATAGAACAGAGCCCTCAGAAATAATGCCGCATATCTACAACTATCTGATCTTTGACAAACCTGAGAAAAACAAGCAATGGGGAAAGGATTCCCTATTTAATAAATGGTGCTGGGAAAACTGGCTAGCCATATGTAGAGAGCTGAAACTGGATCCCTTCCTTACACCTTATACAAAAATCAATTCAAGATGGATTAAAGATTTAAACGTTAAACCTAAAACCATAAAAACCCTAGAAGAAAACCTAGGCATTACCATTCAGGACATAGGCGTGGGCAAGGACTTCATGTCCAAAACACCAAAAGCAATGGCAACAAAAGCCAAAATTGACAAATGGGATCTAATTAAACTAAAGAGCTTCTGCACAGCAAAAGAAACTACCATCAGAGTGAACAGGCAACCTACAACATGGGAGAAAATTTTCGCAACCTACTCATCTGACAAAGGGCTAATATCCAGAATCTACAATGAACTCAAACAAATTTAGAAGAAAAAAACAAACAACCCCATCAAAAAGTGGGCGAAGGACATGAACAGACACTTCTCAAAAGAAGACATTTATGCAGCCAAAAAACACATGAAGAAATGCTCATCATCACTGGCCATCAGAGAAATGCAAATCAAAACCACTATGAGATATCATCTCACACCAGTTAGAATGGCAATGATTAAAAAGTCAGGAAACAACAGGTGCTGGAGAGGATGCGGAGAAATAGGAACACTTTTACACTGTTGGTGGGACTGTAAACTAGTTCAACCATTGTGGAAGTCAGTGTGGCGATTCCTCAGGGATCTAGAACTGGAAATACCATTTGACCCAGCCATCCCATTACTGGGTATATACCCAAATGAGTATAAATCATGCTGCTATAAAGACACATGCACACGTATGTTTATTGCGGCACTATTCACAATAGCAAAGACTTGGAACCAACCCAAATGTCCAACAATGATAGACTGGATTAAGAAAATGTGGCACATATACACCATGGAATACTATGCAGCCATAAAAAATGATGAGTTCATATCCTTTGTAGGGACATGGATGAAATTGGAAACCATCATTCTCAGTAAACTATCGCAAGAACAAAAAACCAAACACCGCATATTCTCACTCATAGGTGGGAATTGAACAATGAGATCACATGGACACAGGAAGGGGAATATCACACTCTGGGGACTGTGGTGGTGTCGGGGGAGGGGGGAGGGATAGCATTGGGAGATATACCTAATGCTAGATGACACATTAGTGGGTGCAGCGCACCAGCATGGCACATGTATACATATGTAACTAACCTGCACAATGTGCACATGTACCCTAAAACTTAGAGTATAATAAAAAAAAATAAAAAATAAAAAATAAATAAATAAATAAATAAATAAAATAAAATAAAAATAAAGCAAAAAAAAAAAAAAAAAAGAATGTCTGTAAAATGGCATCCTCAGGCTTTGCAATATCTCTTGACCTGCCATGCCACAAATGTGCATGGTAAAAAAAAATGTCCATCCCTTTCAAATCTTATTTAAAATGTTCACATCTATTGCATGGAACAGTAGAGTATCAAACTTATCCATTACATATCTGTTCATAAACGAACTCCTCCCAATCCCACCATTTCCAAAGAGAATTACTTTAAGAAGTGATTAATTTCCTTCCACTGTTCATCTCAAGGGCTTCAAGAGCCCTAGAAAATAAAAAAGGTACCATAACATTCCTTTTTACCTACCTATTCTTCTATATGAGTCTATGAATATCAGCATTTAGCTGAAATAAAACATAGCCCTAGGGAATATGTAATAATAAGACTTGTTGTTTACTGAGCATGTAGCCGTGAGCAGGGTACTATACTACCATGATTCTCTAAAACGACTAAAAAGGGTTTACTCTTCCCCTTTCTCAGGTCACAGTTGACTGTGAAGCTGGCACTTTAGCCTAAATGTGACATCAAAGCTCTTGTTATGAACAGTGAATCTATGATAAGCCCCTCTCTGCTCATACTAAGCTCCACTACAGTTTGGTTAGAGATGGATAAAAGACCAAAGTTTGTAGGTTTCTGAAACAGCAAGGTTCATGCTTTAGGGAGTATATTTATGACAAATGTAATAGAAGTTAGTGTTGAGAGAACAGAAAACTGTATAGTTATGTCTTGGCCAAAAAGAAGAGCAAGGTTTAAGCTGTACATTTTGATCTACGCCTGTAATCCCAGCTCTTTGGGAGGCCAAGATGGGTGGATCACAAGGTCAGGAGTTTGAGACAAACATGAAAAACATACTGAAACCCTATTTCTACTAAATATACAAAAATTAGCCAGGTGTGATGGTGTGCACCTGTAAACTTAGATACTCAGGAGGCTGAGGCAGGAGAATCCCTTTAATCCGGGAGGAGAAGGTTGCAGTGAGTCAAGATCATACCCCTGCACTCCAGCTTGGGTAATAGAGCAAGACTCCATCACAAACAAACAAACAAGCAAACACACAAACAAACAAGCAAACACACAAACAAACAAGCAAAGTAGTTTTAGTCTTTTCACATAGTCCCATAATTCTTGGAGACTTTGTTTCTTCCTTTTTATTCCATTTTTCTAATCTTTTCTTCATGCTTTATGGCATTAACTTGATCTTCAATCTCTGTGCTGTGTTTTTCAGCTCCATCATGTTGTTCATGTTTTTCTCTAAGATGGTTATTCCAGTAAGCAATTCCCTGACCTTTTTTTGAGGTTCTTAGCTTCCTGGCTTTGGGTTAAAACATTATCCTTTATCTCAGAAGAGTTTGTTGTTACCCACCTTCTGAAGCCTACTTCTGTCAATTCCTCAAACTCATTCTCTATTCAGTTTTGTTTTCTTGCTGGTGAGGAATTGTGATCTTTTGGAGGAGAAGGGGCATTCTCGTTTTTGGAATTTTCTGCCTTTTTGCACTTGTTGTTGTTGTTGTTTTATCTTTGTGCATTGATATTCCTTTGGTCTTTCACGTTGGTGAGTTTTGAATAGGTTTTTTTTTTTTTTTTTGGAAATCTTTTTAGTAGATGTTGATACTGTGCCTTTCTCTTACTAGTTTTCATTCTAACAGTCAGGCCCTTCTGCTGCAGATGTGCTGGACTTTGCTGCAGGTCCACTTCTGACCATTTTCGTCTGTGTATCGCTATCAGAGAATGCAGAAAAGCAAAGATTGCTGCCTATTCCTTCCTCTGAAAGCTTCATCCCAGAGGGGCAGCCTCCAGGTGCCAGTCAGAGCACTCCTGTATGAAGTGTCTGTCGATACCTGCTGAGAGGAGTCCGCCAGTCAAGAGGCATGGGATTTATGGATCTGCTTGAGGAGACAGTCTGTTGGAGATCTGCAGCTTTCTACAGAGCCAGCAGGCAGGAAGGTTTAAGTCTGCTGAAGCTGCACCTACAGCCACTCCTTCCCCCAGATGCTCTGTTTCAGGGAGATAGAAGTTTTATCTATAAGCCCCTAACTGGGGCTGCTGCCATTCTTTCAGAGATGACCTGACCAGAGAGGAGGAATCTAGGGAGGCAGTGTGGCTACAGCAGCTTGGCTGAGCTGCAGTGACTTCCCAGTGGCTTTGTTTACACTGTGAAGGGAAAACCACCAACTCGAGCCTCAGTATTGGCAGGTGCCCCTGTCCCCAGCAATCTGAAGCATCCCAGATTAACTTCAGACTACTGCACTGGCAGCAAGGATTTCAAGGCAGTGGATTTTAGCTTGCTGGGCTCCATGGGCATGACATCCACTGAGCTAGATAACTTGGCATCCTGGCTTCTCCCCCCTGTCAAGGGAGTGAACCATTCTGTCTTTCTGGCATTTCAGGTGCCACTGGGGCACCAAAAAAAAAAAAAAAAAAAAAAAAAAAAAAAACTCTTCAAGCTAGCTCAGTGTCTTCCCAAACCAATTTTTAAATTTTTAATCAAAATGTACATTTTTATATCTTTTTACAATTTTTTTATTGTTTTTATACACCTTGCATGAAAATTAATGTTTAGCACTTTTGATTACATGTTATAATGAAATTTTAGCAATTTTTAACTTTATGTAAAACGTGTTAAGTTGTTTTGTTTGTTTTTCCTGTAAATGGCAGTAACACTAAACCTTTCCCCTTGGTACAATTGAATAATATATTTTTACATTCTCGTACTTAACAATTAGCATTTCTGGGAAGCTGGATTTGCTATAAAGGTATTTTGAAAAATGTCTGTTTTGTTCTAAATGTCCCCAGACAATAGACAGAGACCCGGAATCCTCTTTATGAAAGAGGACAGTTACACTGAGAAAGCACTACATGTCCCCAAGGTTTCCTCTAGCTTAGTCCTATTGGTCGTTCGAAGAACTCGACAGCAGGCTGGACTTTCTCCAGTACCAAGAGAAAGCCAGGAAAAGGTAGATCTTACCAGACGACTGAATTAGTGTTGTCTGTTGGATGTTCCACTTGGAATTGTCAAAGGGACTCCAAGACTGGAGCTATATGAGGAACAGAGAGTAAGAGAATGAGAGAGAGAGAGAGAGAGAGAGAGAGAGAGAGAGAGAGAGAGACAAAGGGAGAGAGAGAGAGAGAGAAAGGGAGAGAGAGAGGAAGAGAGAGAGAAGAGGAAAGAGGGAGCCAGTGTTAGGGGTGGATTCCTGAGACTTGAGGGTTTTATAGACCTGGCCTGAGCCTTGCAGTTTCCTTCAGGTCATTTGTCCTTCTCACACAAACTGCTTGAAGAGTAAAATGAAAGAAAAGTTGGGGCAGGTGGCCAGAGACACTCAGGATCCAGGAGTTAACTTAGGATAAGCTGCCACTGCCCACAGCTTCCTGGGATCCAACGGGGCCTCTACCCCCAACACTGGTCCTGGGTTTCAGCACCAAATGTAAAAATTAAAGAAAGAGGTGAGAAACCCAAAGGGCAGCATGACTGTCAACAAGGACAGGTTTATTTTGAATCAACCTGAGAGGGGTGGCTGGCCAGGTTAAGTCAGAGCCACATTCTCTTAACAGACTAAGAGATTTTCAAGATTCAGTCTCAGAGAGTTTGTCAGAGTCTTGGACGGCTTCTGTGTCTCTTTGTTGTGGTTATCTGACAGAGAGAGCTGTGGGTCTGTTTTCATACATCTTTCTGGAGTTGCAGGCATATTTCCCATGTCTGCTTCTAGCTTCCTTATCTTACTGCACCTGAAGGGAAAGGAATGTGCTTACTATTTGTAGTTAGAAGACAAGTGATTTCCTTGAAATGCATGAGGCTAAAAAGAGAGTTGGATGTTAAAGTGGTGATATTTGTTCAAGATGAAGGTGCTCCTGTTCCATCAATTTCTAGTCAGGTAATTGCACAACCATTAGTTTTTTTCTTTGTTTGTTTGTTTTGGAGTAATTATATACTTAGAAGTAAATTCTGTTGTCTGTAAATTCAAATCAGCAAATTTATATGGCTCTATTTGATGTATTTGCCTTACACAAATGCATGCTTTATATTATAGAAACATTATAACACCTGTGAGTTTTAAAAGTTATTTTATGGTAATGAAGAGTGATTTCTTGGCCCTCTGAAAAACAAGATTAAATTATTTTGTGTATTGAATATTCACAGTTATTAAGGAAATCCCAAAGGTTTATTTTTTTAAATTAACTTTTCATTAAATTGAAGGGTATTTTAGTAAAAACACTGTAACATAAAATTAAAATTAGTGATAATACGAATAATTAAATGACTTTAATTATTCTGTTGAAGTTGTGGAAGTGTTGTTGTTATTTTAATTAGAACAGCATACAAAATCTACAAAAAAATTTACCAAAGCTCTTTATTTTCTCTCTCAAATAGGAATTTGTATTTAATAATTTTCTGTGTGAGATGTTTGCTCTTTATAAGAACAGGACTCTTTATTCAAATAGAAGCTGTTTTGTAATCTTGATTCTATTACACCAATGAATACTTATTTTTCACAGAAATGTAACAACTTGAACAAGGGTGATCAGTTACTAAGAGGAGTATTTAATCTCCTGAGAAGAAAATATACAGAGCATAGCTATTATATTTACAGAAATATATTTAACTGTTTGTAACATATGCCAGTTTAGGTAAGATATTTTCATAATTTTATGTCAATTAGGTTTTTATTTTAAAATATTAAATGAGAAGCACATTTTAATCATTATAATATGTAAAGCATCCTAAAGTACAAGCAATATTCCATATACATACATACATATACATATAAATATATATAAATGCATCCCAAATCTGTGTAACTTTAATGTATTTCATGTATTCTCAGGTTATTTATGCACTTGTTTCATTTTTCTGGTAATCTTTAAGTTTAGATATTGTACCTGATTGATGTTGTCTTTCTCTCTCTCTCTCTCTTTTTTTTTTTTTTTTTTTTTTAGATGGAGACTAGCTCTGTGGCTAGGCTGGAGTGCAGGGGCAAGATCTTGGCTCACTGCAACCTCCACCTCCCATGTTCAAGTGATTCCTCAGCCTCAGCCTCCCTAAAAGCTGGGACTACAGGCATGCCACCATGCCTGGCTAATATATATATTGGCCAAGATGGTCTCTCTCCTGACCTTGTGATCTGCACATCTCGTCCTCTCAAAGTGCTGTGATCACGGACTTGAGTCACTGTGCCCAGCAGACGTTATCTCTTAGTATTGCTTTTTGAAAACTACTGGCTTCCAGGTCATATGCCACACTATCTAAATCAGAATTTCTAGAACTTGGAAAAGGAATCTATATCCTTAAGGGATCTCAACTGGTCATTTTGTTTGTCAGTTTTAAAAATGTCTTCTATGAGAAACTTTTAGAACGTATGTGTGTTTTTGTTAAAATAAAGTAAAATAAACAGTTACAATGTAAATAAATAATTTACTTAAATTTTTTGTTGATGTTAACATAAATTAAGAAATGTGATTTTCACTAAATCTCTCTTAGGGTAGCCTGATTTTTCTCACATCAACCTATTGCACAGTAGTACTAAAGGCATTGATAGATTGTCAAAAATGTAAAACAAAAATATTTGTACTGTTTTCAGTGTTAGGGCAACATTTCAAAGTTACTAATTTATGGATATAGTTAAAATTTAATTACTATTAAATTTTACATTTATATGTGATGTTGATAAATATTATGTCACACATATGAATGATTGACTCAGACAATTAGGATTTCACTTCATGTAACTTGTTAAAGTCACAAACATTTTACTATCAAAACTAAGTTCTATGGTCACACATTCCTGTAATGAAAGTGTTATTTTATTTACCTTCAAGAGGAAACAAATTTGACCCTTTACTCTTCCTGCTCTGATCATCTCTGTGCTTTCTTTTTTCTCATCCTTGCCTGACTACATCTGAGATGCTGGGATACTTTTAGTAGAGTAGGAGCATATATTCAAATATAAATACAATATTTATTTTAAATGTAAAAATATAAAACTTAAGAACTCAAAAAAAATTTGTTTTGCACAATTTAACTTGAGATTTCAGTGGCTCATACACAACACATGATTGGTTTATAATATAACCTAAGTGTAATTTTAATTGACAAGATTCATTATACATTTATACATCTGAAGGCATTTAGGCAGTGTGTTTTAGGTTTTAGGAATTTTTGAATTTGAGGAAACTGAGTCAACACATTTGCAACACATTGTGTACTATTCCTTGTGAGGCCCCAAAGGTACCCAAGAATCAAACATACTAATGTTTCTATGAAGAGAAATGAATATTCCCTTTAAGGATGAAGGGTACATGAATGAAGACTTAATAGCTTCCCTCAATTAAGTCTTTATTACATCAGAAATCAAATTACATACCAACCTTATTTTTAAAAGCCTTGCTTAATTGAGCATTTTGAATTTCAGATAAAGTGTTTTGAATCTGTCTTAATTATGATTTTGAAAATACAGTACTGAATAAACAGCCCAGGTGGGATACAAAGCTTCATAATAAACAAGAAAAATACAAAGTGACCTGCTGCCTGTTGTAGGGAGTATATGACTTAGATTTGGAGGTAAAAAGCATCTTGCAGTAAAAAATACTTGCTTTGTTAAGCTTTTTTTTTTCTAAATAGCTAGTTGGTACAGACTTAGTATTGACATAACTTGACTTTTTAGCAATTATGTGCGATATTCAGTGTGACTTGATAAACCATTAGAGGATCACAAAAGGCATAAATTAGTAACATCTCACTGGCTATAGCATAGAAAGTTTCACAATAAACCACAGTAAGAAAGTATTCAAAATTATGTGTAGAAAAAGATTGTGGGTACTCTGTATTATGTAACTAACCTGCACATTGTGCACAAGTACCCTAAAACTTAAAGTATAATAAAAAAGAAAAACTGGCAATGTGGAACATATGTGTGGACAGATTCACGAGCTCTTTATGAGTTACAATAGGTAGGTGTTGGTAATTGGATATTTGAGGAAGTGGAATAGGAAAGAGATGTTAACACCTATGTCTCTTGTGTGATTTGATATGCTGAGGGAATAGTAATGCAATTTACTGATAGAAAGAAAAGAATCTGAGCGGATTGTGATTTAGAAGCATATGGGAGATCAAATAGAAAATTGTAATGGGGAGTTGGATACCTATGTCCAGAATTTGGAATCATCTAAAACAATACATGTGTTACTACAGATGTAACAATGAAAAAAAGTCATAGAAAGGAATGTCATTGAATGGAAACTTTTTTAAAAAAAGTTAATGTTATCATGGTAGATAACATTAAGTTATCCAAAAACAATCCATAGCCTCTATAAGTAGTTAGTTTAACTTGTATGTAAGAAGGAGAGTTTTTGTTTGTTTGTTTGTTTTTTTGAGGGAGTCTCACTCTGTCACCCAGACTGGAGGGCAGGAACGCAATCTCGGCTCACTGAAACCTCCGCTTCCTGGGTTCAAGCAATTCTGTGTGTCACCCTCCTGAGTAGCTGGGATTACAAGTGTCCACCACCACACCTGGATAATTTTATATTTTTAGAAGAGATGGGGTTTCACAACCTTGGCCAAATTGGTTTTGAGAAAAATTATAATTTTAAAAAACTGTGGTTACACTCAAGACAGATCTTTAGCCTTCTTCTAGAATTCTTAGCTGTGTCATCTGCAGTAAAATAAGACTAAGATTGACCAGAATTAGTTACCCAACTCTGCTAGGAGATTAAAAGTTTTATTGTTATAGGATTGTAGAAACAAATCATAGTATATAACTGGAAACTCTATACACACACGCCCCCCCAAACACAAAATCATACACAATTTTCACTCAATAGACATTATAATAAGCATACTAAAAAACCTGATTTTCACTCAATAGACATTATAATAAGCATACTGAAAACCTGATAATAAACTAAAGGTATTATAAAGTTGTAGAACACGATGATTAAAGCCAAATCATAATCTTAAATTTTAAACAACTGAAAATGTTAGATTTTAACAATTAAATTTTTCTAATTGTTCTTTGGTCCACCATCATAGATTTCAAGCAGATTAATTAATGTTGTAAAACGACATTAAGAGTCTCTATCAATGGGGTTTAATTTATACCATTTAAAAAATAGTTTGTAGTCATATATTGTTTACTATGTAACTTCTTTTATTTGCTCTAAAGTAAGGCTAAATCACATCTTAACCTCATCTCATTCAAGGAAGTGATTACAGTAAAATTATACATGTTGGGTTAATGTGGAAAACAGTGAATGTAGATTAATGTGGGTTTTTTGCAAGAATTTAGTATTCTCCTTATTAAGATTAGCTTGAAATGTTTTGTGTAATGAATATTTAGTCTATTCAATAGGCGTTATTCAGATATATATCAACAGATATATATCAACATCTGCTATGTACCAACCACTGTTCAAGGCAGCAGATAACAATATAGGCAAAGATAATATTAATCCAAATTGCACGTGAAAACAAATGATACTATTGATAATGTGGCAAATGACTTGATTTTCACTTTATTATAATTTTTAAGAGAATAATACAATGAAATATGTACTGTCAGTGTTACAAGAAGTCTATCCATGTTATTCCTTACCTGAAATAATTAGATTACACAAATTACCTTTTTCAAAAGAAATTTATATTATAAATGCTCCTATGGCAAAAAAAAAAAAACATAGCTTCTGACTTGGAATATAATATTACTATATTAAGTAAGACACATGGTAGAGAGAAAAAAACAATTTTATTTATCTTTCATGGTAATGACAAAAAAGGTAGAAGTCTCTATTTTTTGCATTTTTAATATTGACTCTTAAGAAGAGTAAACAATTTTCAGTGTCAATATGTTGCAATTTAGCCAGACCTAGAAGAAAAATGACTGATTATTAGCAAATCAGGAAAATTTTATTGTTGCCATTGAAAATTGCTTTAGCCATCATGTGTGTGTTCTTACACTATTAGAATTGAAATCAATTTTCTACTGCCAATTTATATTGCTGTTCTATCATCATGGGATTCTTGCTTTACATTCTTAAATGTTGTCTCTGAAAAATGAGTGACTACCAAACAAGTTTTTCTTTTTTATTCAAAAAGTTAGTCTTAAAAGGCTATTCCTCTTTAATAAAAATAATGAGGTGAGTGAATATGGTGAGGCATTTCTCTAATCCCAAGTAGTTGGAAGGCTCAGGCAGGAGTATTCCTTGAACCCTGGAGTGTGAGACCTCATTGAGCTATGAGCTATCATCATGCCACTGTAGTCCAGCCTGGGCCACAGAGCATAATCCTATGTGTAGAATAAAAAATAGAACTATGAAAAGTAATAAAGCCTGACTGTTTTTAATTCACTTTTAATAATGCATGGATAGTATATTTAGCCAAAACATTTTAAATTAGTAACATGCCAAGAGATCAGATGTTTTAGTCAGATTGCTAGCTCCTCAACTGGCTAAATATGTAACATTTGGCAAAGTATTTCTCCTAACAGTAATTGATTTTTTTATTTGTTAAATGGATTTACTAGTGCTACCCTCTTAGGGAACTAACTCTGATATTAATTAGATTACCTCAAAAACTTGTTACATAATAGGCAATAAAATATTAGCACATATTAGGCAATAAAATATTAGGCACATATTAGGCAATAAAATATTAGCTACTACTAGATATTACAGATTATTTTCATCTGCTTATTTTAAAGCTCATAGTGCATATAATAAAATTCCAGCAGAGCGAAAATGACTGTTAGATACAATAGAACACTCTAAGAGTCATTATCAAAAATGAGCATATCAGTGTGTAAAATGTATGGTAGTTTTATTTAACGGTTGTTTCATTGTTTACCGTAGTGTTTTTTCTTACAATTTTGTGGAAGCCTGTGTCAGAGTTAAGAACTTTTATAGAAGAGGATAATCATGGATGATTGAAATTGACATTTTAAGCTGATACTGAAAGTTATTCTAACTTCTATTACATTTATAGTTGTATTTTCTTTCAAAGGATAATGGAAGTCTTAAAAAGAAAATGGATACTTCCCTGACAGGGGAGATACCTAGGAATCCAACTTCCCAGGGCAAGACTGATCTATTGCACTATGGATGTGCCGACCCCTGAGATTTACAAAATTGTGGGAAACTCAACTGCATAATTTATGGAAATGAAGGACTGTGTTTGCGCTTTCACGTGGAAAAGAAACAGAAAAGAAAAGAAAAGAAAATTGACTTGTTTAGTGGATATAGAAACTTGAAACTAGACCATGTACTGGAAACAATTCAGTATGCCTACAAAAGTTGGTCTCCAGCACAAAACAATAAAACATCAAATGGTTATGTCTTAGGCAGATCAAATAGTGTTAGGATGACACTTGCAAAACCTTGCAAACTGAGTCCACATGAGGGGACGAGGGGAAGCACCCAAAGGAAGCAGATAAATCTGGGAAAAAGAGAAGTCATTTTTAAATGTGTAAGCCAATGTTTATGTATTAATATTTCCCTTAAAAATATTTATTTTATTAAATGGTTAACATTGGTTTCTTTGACCTTAAAAAGTAGGTTTTCTTTTGGAAATGACTGATGTGAAATGGTCTAGAAATTACACAGCTAGAATAATTCAGATTTTTCCCTGACTTATACATCATTTGCAGGAGTTGTGAAGATGTTAAAGATGCCAGCTTTTTTGCATTTCTTAGAAGTTTATTCTAAATGAAGAAAATTAAATATAAGGTATAAAGTTACTTTCATAATAAAATTGTCAATCTTTTTAAATATTTTGAATTTGAAGCCAGATAATCAAGATTCCTTAGATGAGCATAAGTCCTCTTCAACAGAAGATGCCACATTATGTCCTCATCCAACAGGATTTATGTATGAACAGGTAAAAATAAATAAATACATACATACATAAATTTTTATTTTTCTTTTTCAAACTCATTTTGATCTTTACTTATATGGTCTTCAATTTTATTTCCTTACATATTTGGTAACATATCAGCTGTGACTTCAAATTAAGAAAAAGAAGTTATTGAAAGAAATAAAGGGTATTCAATTAGGAAAAGAGGAAGTCAAATTGTCCCTGTTTGCAGATGACATGATTGCATATCTACAAAACCCCATTGTCTCAGCCCCAAATCTCCTTAAGCTGATAGGCAACTTCAGCAGAGTCTCAGGATACACAATCAATGTGCAAAAATCACAAGCATTCTTATACACCAATAACAGACATAGGGCCAAATCATGAGTGAACTCCCATTCACAATTGCTTCAAAGAGAATAAAATACCTAGGAATCCAGCTTACAATGGACGTGGAGGTCCTCTACAAGGAGAACTACAAACCACTGCTCAATGAAATAAGAGGTTACAAACAAATAGAAGAACCTTCCATGCTCATGGGTAGGAAGAATCAGTATCATGAAAATGGCCATACTGCCTAAGGCAATTTATAGATTCAATGCCATCCCCATCAAGCTACAAATGACTTTCTTCAAATAATTTGGAAAAACTACTTTAAAGTTCATATGGAACCAAGAAAGAGCGTGCATTGCCAAGTCAATCCTAAGCCAAAAGAACAAAGCTGGAGGCATCACACTACCTGACTTCAAACTATAGTACAAGGCTACAGTAACCAAAACAGCATGGTATTGGTACCAAAACAGAGATATAGACCAATGGAACAGAACAGAGCCCTCAGAAATAATGCCACATATCTACAATTATCTGATCTTTGACAAACCTGACAAAAATAAGAAATAGGGAAAGGATTCCCTATTTAATAAATGGTCCTGTGAAAACAGGCTATGTAGAAAGCTGAAACTGGATGCTTCCTTACACCTTATATAAAAATTAATTCAAGATGGATTAAAGACTTAAATGTCATACCTAAAACCATAAAATCCCTAGAAGAAAACCTAGGCAATACCATTCAGGACATAGGCATGTGCAAGGACTTCATGTCTAAAACACCAAAAGCAATGGCAACAAAAGCCAGAATTAACAAATGGGATCTAATTCAACTCAAGAGCTTCTGCACAGCAAAAGAAAGTACCATCAGAGTGAACAGGCAACCTACAGAATGGGAGAAAATTTTTGCAATCTACTCATCTGACAAAGGGCTAATATCCAGAATCTATAATGAACTCCAACACATTTACAAGAAAAAAAAAAACCATCAAAAAGTGGGCAAAAGATATGAACAGACTCTTCTCAAAAGAAGACATTTATGCAGCCAAAAGACACATGAAAAAATGTTCATCATCACTGGCTATCAGAGAAATGCAAATCAAAACCACAATGAGATATCATCTCACACCAGTTAGAATGGCAATGATTAAAAAGTCAGGAAACAACAGGTGCTGGAGAGGATGTGGAGAAGTAGGAACACTTTTACAGTGTTGGTGGGACTGTAAACTAGTTCAACCATTGTGGAAGTCAGTGTGGCAGTTCCTCAGGGATCTAGAACTAGAAATATCATTTGACCCAGGCATCCCATTACTGGGTATATACCCAAAAGATTATAAATCTTGCTTCTTTAAAGACACATTCACATGTATGTTTATTGTGGCACTACTCACAACAGCAAAGACTTGGAACCAAGCCAAATATCCAACAATGATAGACTAGATTAAGAAAATGTGGCACATATACACCATGGAATACTATGCAGCCCTAAAACCTGATGAATTCATGTCCTTTGTAGGGACATGGATGAAGCTGGAAATCATCATTCTCAGCAAACTATCGTAAGGACAAAAAACCAAACACTGCATATTCTCACTCATAGGTATGAATTGAACAATGAGAACACATGGACACAGGAAGGGGAACATCATACACTGGGGACTGTTGTGGGATGGGGTGAGTGGGGAGGCATAGCATTTGGAGATATACCTAATGTTAAATGACAAGCTAATGGGTGCAGCACACCAACATGGCACATGTATACGTATGTAACTAACCTTCACATTGTGCACATGTAGCCTAAAACTTAAAGTCTAATAAAAAAATTGTATCAAGCACCTACTAGAAAAAAAAAAGGAAAGAATTATCTAGGACAGCTTTGGCAAGATGATCAGAAGAAGAATACTTTTTTTTTTTTTTTTTTTTTTTTTGAGACGGAGTCTCGCTCTGTCGCCCAGGCTGGAGTGCAGTGGCGGGATCTCGGCTCACTGCAAGCTCCGCCTCCCGGGTTCACGCCATTCTCCTGCCTCAGCCTCCCAAGTAGCTGGGACTACAGGCGCCCGCCACTACGCCCGGCTAATTTTTTGTATTTTTAGTAGAGACGGGGTTTCACCGTTTTAGCCGGGATGGTCTCGATCTCCTGACCTCGTGATCCGCCCGCCTCGGCCTCCCAAAGTGCTGGGATTACAGGCGTGAGCCACCGCGCCCGGCCCAGAAGAAGAATACTTTAAGTGTGGTCATGTTTTATTTTACCCTTGTGACATTTTCTTTGTCAATAGGTACTACCTTGTCCTAGTTCATAAAAATTTGTGAGATTTCAAGAAGAGCATAAAGTAATTTATTTATTCTTTCTCAAAATGCAGAGACAGTAAAAATTAACCATTTTACGGGCTTTAATACAAAGTTTACTAAAAAACAAATACTGATCAAAATATAAATAAATACCATTTATGAACACTTCTAAGTTAAAACGAATATTTTTGTTAAAATTTTCTGGGAAGATTAGCCACAACAAGAGTAATGCAGTCTTCTCTTTTCTTTTCTTACCTTTTTTCTTTCTCTTTCTTTCTCTTTTTCTTTCTTTCTTTCTCTCTTTTTCTTTCTTTCTTTCTTTGTTTTCTTTCTTCCTTTCTTTCTTCCTTTGTTTTTTCTCTTTCTTTTCTTCCTCTCTTCTTTCCTTTCTTTCTTTCCTTTTTTTTTTTTTTTTTTTTGATGGTGTTTCACTCTTGTTGCCTCGGCTGGAGTGCAATGGTTGTGATTTTGGCTCACTGCAACTTCCACCCCAGGAGTTCAATCGATTCTCCTGCCTCAGCCTCCCAAGTAGCTGGGATTACAGTCATGTGCCACCACACCTGGTTAATTCTGTATTTTTGGTAGAGACAAGGTTTCACCTTGTTAGCCAGGGTGGTCTGGATCTCCTGACCTCACGATCCACCCTCCTCAGCCTCTCAAAGTGCTGGGATTATTTTGAGTCATGGCACCCAGCCAGGTTAATCATTTAAAAGATTTTAGTGTGCTATAACATTTAGCATGACTTCTCACCAAGTTCATGTAGCCAAAAATTGGAATTACCTAAATTACAGCAGTTGTCCAGAGTAACAGCTCTATTTCTCAGAAACCTTATTTTTTTATGCCAGAAACAATCAAAGACAGGGTAAAAATGTAAAAAACAAGCAGATTTTAATTCTACACATTCTTCACCTTTAATGTTTGATAGCTTAATTTCTTGCTGAGATAAAGATATTGCCATATTTTTAATAGGAATTCTTAAATATTACAACCAATATACATACTTTTCATATGTCACAATGTTTGGAGCATGGGAAGTTGTATTTTTTTGTGCTGGGGGCACTTTTGTGGTAGAATTTACTAAGGGATGCTTCTAAAATTTGCTTCACCTAATTCCAGTAAAGTGCATATTATCAGAATCCACAGTACTTTGAAGCACCATTGTGCCAAGATTTCTGACTGTTTTGCTAGCCAGTCACAATTTTCCTTGAAAGCAGTAAGTCTCCTAGTTTATTTCTATATTATTTTAAAGCTTTTGTCATTAGATGTAGGGTTTACTGAAGATAAAAGTGCCTTCTGATTTTAAATAATTAATATAATTTTTTATTTGATGTAATATCTCTATGCCCCTGTTGGAAACAGTAGGATATGAAGTGTGTTGCATAGTGTGAGGATCAGCAATTCATTTGTTTGAACCGGTTACAATATACTATGTTTTTATCTTTTTATAGTATATAAGCATTAGCATTGAACACCATGAATGCAAAATGCAGTCTACATTAGTCAAGACCTATAAATACACTATCAGGGCTACTGATATTGGTATATTGTAATCCAACTATGTCATGTGTCTTCCTATATGGACTATTGTTATTTGCAGTCTATGTTTCTCTTCTGGCCTAGACTTAGATTTTGGAATTTCTGTTCCTTAGAAAGTACAAGAGAAGCATATTTAGATTAATCCCATTTCTGCATTACTGCTGCACCTCTTTAAGGTTGCCACTTCAAGGGACTACATCATGATGTCCTGTTTCTAATGACCTCCCAATCATCCTGCAGAAGATTCTTCAAATGGGGATCAACATGTCCTTATTTAAGGTACCCCTTAAATTTCTACTATTAAGTGGATGCCAGGATATGATTCAGCCCATTGAAAGTCCGTGTATCACATACTGGCATCTGTTTGAAAGTCCAGTTTTCTATTGTTCACATGGCCAGGATACTGATTACTGTTTACGACTCATGAATTCAAACAATTGCCTTTATAAAACAATCATTTAACAGCATAGAGTTCAATCATTGAGCTAATTTACTCATTCAATCTTCAACTGGTCTTCATTTCTGGTCTCTATGAGAGCCTTGCAACAGGACATTATACACCCACTTTGAAACTGCCATTCATCAACTAAGCAGGTTGTTGTTGTCAATAGGGAGCTCTTCAAAGGGCATTGCCCATGTGACAGTGGGATCCAGTAATTCCTGAGGTTATTGCAAACTACATGCTAGAAAATACCAGACTGCCTGCTCTTGAATAGGATCATCATCTCATTGCACTTCCCTGGTAATATTTTCCTCTATAAAACCATCTTTTTATGTTATTTGAAAGTCTTCTGAGCACTTCCTCATTAGACTGTTTCTTTAATTTGCCCAACACTTTATACGTGTTGCAAGTTTTATAATTATTTTATGGTCTTCAGTCAAAGAAGCTGTCTCAACACTAAGGCAAGAAAACCTAGTAATTATCTTTCCAATGGCACATATTGTTTCATGGCATCCAGGAGAGCCCTGGACCACAATTTCCAGCTAATGCTGAAGAGGGGCATGTGTGGCTTTTCTGCCATGTCCTCAGTCTGCCCAAGAACATGTCGCAAGTACTTCTAAAATCAGAATTTGGATCACAAAGTCCCAATGTGTAGAGAGAAAGAGGTTTTTACAATTCAGAAATGGCCACATTTAGTGAAATTTCTTATTTAAACAGACCACTATTTATCATTTTTAAACTGATGCATTATAATTTTCCATATTTACAATGTAGAACCGTTATCTTGATACATGCACAAAATCAGCAATGACCAAATTTTTAAATGGCATACTGGTAATTGGTATATTAGTCATTTCCGACATATATGACATATTTGTTTCAAGAACTTTCCAAATCTAAACTTCTAGTTATTATGAAATCTATAATAAATTATTCATACCTATAACCTCCCTCCTATACAATCAAACTTTAGAACCTATTCTTTCTAACTATTTTTTACACATTAACTAACTCATTTATTTGCTTAATGTCTTTCATAGCCTATAATAATCTGTCATTCTATTCTCTACCTATATGAGATCAACTTTGTTATTTCTCACATATGAATAAAATCAACCAATCCTTGCGCTTTATATTTCCTGGCAAATTTCACTTAATATAATGTCTCTTAAATGAAGTATTTTGCCTCAGTAATATTTAGTTAACTTATTGAGGCTTTTATACAACTGAAATAATCACTCACCTAAAATTTACCATAACTGTTACCAAAATTCTTTGGGTACATATGATTGTACTTTGAAAACAGCTCAATGAACAAAGATGTCTTGAAGATGTCTTATGACACAAATATTGTTCTCTTTTCTATCTTCTGTCTTTATTAACTCTGGATTGTCTTCCAATTAATAAAAATATTCTGATAAATTACCTTGGGGATCAACATTAATGACCAAAAAATCAGTAATGCACTCATTTAACTTTATAAATATAAGGAAAGAAGTTGAAACAAATAAAAAACTTGCTGAATAAAATTATATACATTTTGTACATTCCTAATTTTCAAAACACTTAAATTACTTTTTATTTTTTACTCTTATTGCTCAGTTCAAACATAGACTATTATAACTGGGTTTACAGAAAAGTTATCATAAAAGATTCATAAAATAATAACCTACACTGGAGATAATATAATATAGTAAAATTTGTTCAAGCAGGCAGGAGTAAGACAAATGAGTCCTCTGCCATGAGTAACTTTGGGGAATAAGTAACTTTGGGGGAATAAGTTACTTAGTCTTTGTAGGATTCTGTATCTTCTTCTGGGAATAATGCATTTTCCAAATTACATAAGATTATTTACATGATGAAATCAGAATTATTAACACTGAATAAATATGCCTATTAACCCTAGTTTTGGAAGGATGGGGTGGGGGGCATAGAGAGAAGCTCCAAAAGTCAAAACATGATTGTAGCCATAGAGCAAAGTACAGTTGCTTTCCAAGTATCTGAGAGGTTTCTTATTGTTTTCGTTGTGTCATAGGTTTGTGATGAAGAAATAAACAATCCCCAGTTCCTGCCCTAGAGAAGCTCATTGCATAGAAAAAGGAACAAGGCAGATATACATGCCACAGTACAGTAATGAGACAACATAAATCACAAGCAACCAAGTCCAAAGGTAAGATACCTAATTTGAAATTTTATATTCTGTTTCATCTGCTTCTTGCTGTTGTGATTAACCATCTCTATATGTGTTAAATTCAACGCCCTAGGGGTAACACGGGCTATCATGTCAGAAATTACCTTCCAACTTTTCTTCCAATAGTGTCTGTTAACCAAGTATTGGTGAACATCCCATATGAAGATTCTACTAAAAGTAAAGCTACCCCAACTGCAATGCTTGGATGATATAATTTTCTGGGTCTAAGAAAGAGGAAGAAAGTGTGTGTTTTGTAATGTCTATAAATCATTAAATGCTGGGACACTGGTAACTGAAAGACAAACTATTTCTGCCAACTGAAAGGAAAAAATGAAGACATTGTAGGAAAACAATTTATTACAGTAAAACTATTCTGATTTTTTAATTTAGTTTTTATCAATATCCACACAAAAAGTAAAATTAATAATAATAATAATAATAATAATAATAATAAAGATCTTGAGTATAAACATTACCAAAATTTAGGTGTTCCATGTTTACTTATTTGGAGGTGTATCCTAAATAGGTGATCACCACTGTAACCTAATTTTTTACTGCTTTATGTTCAAATTAAACTTTTCATAGGCAGTGTTATGATAATTCTTAACTAATATTTTTTACAAAATCAGGGAGCATAATTTGAAGAACACATTTGATTCTTTAGCAGAAAAAGCTCTAATTTCATAAAAACATATTAGAGAATTTTAAAAATAAGCACAGCTTATGAAACACAGACAATATAAATATAACAGTCATAGTTTCTCAGCGATTTTAGCCACATTATAAAAATGTACTTACCACAAATTCTTTTAAAGAACAATAATTGCAGAGAGAAAAACCGTAGCTGCTATCAGAATCTTCAAACTATTAGTAATTAATAATTAGAATTTACCTCACTGTTCTGCTTCTCATCTTCAAACAATCATTATCTATATTTTTACCTATGCATTCAATTGCAAGAATACTGTTTTCAGTGTGGGGGGAAACACATACACACACGTATGTATATCTATAACATATATATAGATATATATGGCTGCTGGATCACAGCATTCATATGATAAGTAGCACCAGCATTTTTGAGTCCCGCAAATATTTCTGGCAGGTGAGATCTAACAGAGAGCAGATATTCCCACTCAAAAAGTGCTTCACAACCTGAGATCAGAAGAAAAAACAATGCTTGTACTATGAAAATCATAATTCTGCCCACTCTTCTTTCCATCACGTGACAAATTAATATTGATGACAACTCATTTGTCATCACAGCCATTTTGAAAGAGTACTTTGAATTTTCATACTAACAATAAATCAAGTGACCATTACAGATTTTTAACTTCAGACCCCTTAGGTACATAGTTTAATGCCATCACATCTGTTTGTTTTTTTAAAAAAGGGTTTATTTTAAAAACTGTCTTTTGAATATATATATACATATATAAACTATGTCAATTCAATTGTTAAATAAATTAACATACAAGGTGTTTTTAAGAGGGAAACTCTTCTCTTTACATAGATCTCACGAGACAAATAAAGATCTGACTTTTTAAGTGGTGAGTTTAGCTAGAAACTCCTACAATATGCTAGAAAATATACTCGCCCAGAGAAAAACGTAAACAAATAGAATTTCACATTCATCAATTAAAGATCTGTACAGAATGCTGTTGTTAACTGTATTATTAATCCTTGGTTTTCTCTTGAAATAAGCTGAATTTTGTTATCATTTGCTCATTTACTTATATTAACTCACAGGCTGAGTTTCTGTTCTGTGTAAGATTTGAACATTGATACTTACTTTGTTGGACTTATGTGGACATTTAGAAGTAATAAAATTCACTCAAAAGTTTTCTTCTCACATTATGATTTTTAAAGCCATACCTCTCTTAGAATTTAACTAAAATAACATTAAGTAACTTCGAGGTTTGGGTTATAAAAATCATTTTAATGCATACATTTTAAATATAAAATTTGGACCATTAAATTTGGCTTCTGGATACTCTGAGGTTTCAGTATTTTTTAACATGGGATTCAATAAAACCCACTTTGGTTACCAACACCAAGTATAGGGGAGCACTTAAGAAATACATATATTTTTTTAAATTTAATATTGTCTGACATAAACGGTTTTAAATATATACCTGATGGCTACAAAATGTTAAACTAGTTGATCAAAAGCAAACAAGCAAGAAAACTATGAGTTAATTCCTTCTAAATAAAAAGTAGACTTTCAAAGTAAACTATTATTCCTGAAGAAAAACAGCTTTATAATGTAAAAATTCACTAGTTGTTGCTTTCTCTCTGTAATATATTGCATTCAAACAGTCTACTATCTTTTTAAGGTTCTTTACACAGCCAATAGCTGGTGCTACAAGCAGATCAAAACCAGGATTGATGGTAATGGAAGAGGAACAGACTGGAAGAGCTGGCTCTTCTGGCAGTTTTTTTATTTCTTAGACATTACAGTTAAACTTTTGATGCAGGGAAGACAACAACATCAATTAATTCTTGGTAAGTTAGAAAAATAAATCACAGGTTATTAGTAGAAAACATATGTTATGAAAAATATGTCTTTTCAAGAAAATACTTTTATGTTTATTTGACATAATTAAAATCTCATTATATTTTGAAACAATTTTGAATTTTGTTCCAAAGAAAAATCATTTCAAAAAACCCAAGAACAGTCAATGCATGTAATTCATTTCCAAAATTAGATTATTGAAGAAATTTCTAAAACCTGAGAACTTTACCCAAAACAAAAATAGCATTCTAAATTAACCTACTTTTTAAATTACATATTAATGGAAATAAATTTATTTTCAATAATAATAAGGCATTAAAGTTACATTATTTTTCTTGAATTACGAAACATATAAAGAAAAACATCAAAAATATGATATAAAAAATAAGTTTTTGCAAGATGAATGTTTTCTCAATTAGAAATTCAATCAAGGGACAGGTGTGGTGGCTCACATCTGTAATTCCAGCACTTTTGGAGGCCAAGGCAGGCAGCATACTTGAAGCCAAGAGCTTGAGACAGGCCTGGCCAATATGGTGAAACCCCATCAGGTGTAGCGGTGCTCACCTGTAATCTAAGCTAATCAAGAAGTTCAGGCAGAATAATCACTTGAAACCGGGAAGCAGGGGGTTGCAGTGTGCCAAGATTGCACTGCTGTACTCCAGCCAAAGAGACAGTGTGAGATTCCTTTATAAAAATAAAAGAAAATAAATTAAATCAATTAAGAATTGAGATATATTACTTATTTACTTTTCAATGTAGTTTCTGGCAACTTCGAATTGCAATTACAAAAATGTCTTAAATAAAGTGTGGCACACATTTCAAAGTTACTGTAACCTCACCTCTACAAAAAGAAAGCTTTTTTTTTATTTAATGTATTCAATTTCATTTTATATTAAGTTCCAGGGTACATATGCAGGGCATACTGGTTTATTTCATAGGTAAACTTTTCCGTGATTGTTCACTGCAACTATTAACCCATCACCGAGGTTATTCAGCCCCACATAAATAAGCTATTTATTCTGAAGGTCTTTTTTTCTCTGCCTCTGGACAGACCAAGTCGAAAGCTGTTCTGTGTGTCTTTAATGTTCAGTGTGAACGTTTAATGATTGTGAACATGGAGTGCTTGTTTTTTCGTTTCTCTGTTAGTTTTCTGAGGATGATGGTTTCCAGCTTCATCCATCTCCCTTCAGAGAACATGATTTCTTTCATTTTAGTGGCTGCATATTATTTCATGATGTATATGTGCCATGCTTTCTTTATCTAGTCTGTTACTGATGGGCATTTGAGTTAATTCAATGTATTTGCTATTGTGATTAGTGCTGTAATAAACATACACATCCATGTATACTTAAAATAGAATGACTTATTTTGAAGGGGAGCTATGTACCCAGTAATGAAATTGCTGAGTCCAGTGGTATTTCTGGTTCTAAATATCTGATGAATTACTACACACTTTTCCACAATGTCCATACTGATTTACACTCCTAACAACAGTGTAAAAGCATTGCTATGTCTGCACTAACCCACTACCATCTGTTGTTTCCTGGCTTTTTAGTAATCTCCATTTTGTCTGGCCTCAGATGATATCTCATTGTGATTCTGGTTTGCATTTCCCTAACAATTAGTGATGCCGACCATTTTGAGTTAAATGTCTTCTGAAATGAAAGACACATAACTCTTTTCTTACCCCAGTGTGGCCTCTTTATATCTGCTAATCAGCACTCATTTCCCGGTGTTTTAACACTACCCTGCAAAAGAAAAAGTATTATAGGCTCAACTTATTAGATAGAGAAAATGACAGGATATTAGAACAGCAGAAAGTTAGAGAAAAATGAGATCTCATATAAAATTTCCACAAGTTTTTTCTTTTTTTTTTTTGACAGAGTTTCTCTGTTTTCATGCAAACTGTAGTGCAATGGTGCAATCTTGGCTCACTGCAACCTCAGCCTCCCCGGATCAAGCAATTCTCCTGCCTCAGCCTCCTCAGTAGCTGAGATTACAGGTGTCAGCCACCACACCCAGCTAATTTTTTCTATCATTGTCACATCAAATCTACAGCTAAGCATATGAAGAGATAATAAGTTATCAGAAAAATGAAAAATCAAGCCACAATGAGATACAAGTTTATATTGAATAGAATGGACTGTAATGAGAAATAAATGACAGATGTTTTCAAATATATGGAAAAATTGGGAAACTCATCCAATTGCTATCGGGAACATGAAGTGAGGTTGCTCCTTTAGAAAACAGTCCAGTAGTTTCCCAAATAATTGGATGTACATTCAGCATATTTCCCAAAAATTAAGGTATATTTATGCCAATTTGTATAGGAATGTTTGTAGTAGCATTATTCACAATATAAATATTTCCATCAACTCCTGATGTGGAGGTGGACCTAGGCCAACACTACCCTTGCAGTGCATTCGCATCATACATTCCCTTACCATATATCTGATACAATTGATGCAAATTCATTTATTTCATAGTGAAACCACCAAGATAAAGAATTTGGACAAAATACTGGAACTTTTTTCCATCAGTATGCTTGGTTTAAAAATAGGACAGAATATTAAACCTGTTTCAGAAATCTCAAGCTTAGGAAATGCCGGCATTTTAAAGAAAGGACACTCTGCCTTGGAAGGAGGCATTATCTTTATCTTTCATGGGTGTTTGTTATACATAGCCCCATTGAGGATAATCTACAGCACAAGGCTGTAAGTCACAAAGAGCCTCATATTGTATGAGTCCATTTATATGAAGTGTCTGTAGTAGGCAAATCCATAGTGACGGAAAATGTCTTATTGGATACCAAGGGCTTTAGGAAATGGGGAAGCTGGGATTTAATGGTAATGGGTGCAGTGGTATTTTTTTATTTATTTCAGGTGATGGAAATCTGTATTTAAAAAGTGGTGATATTTGTACACCTTTATGAATACCCAGAATATCATGGAATGTGTACTTTAAAATGGCTAATATGATAGTTTGTGCGTTATCTCTCAATTAAAAATGTGTTGAAACCTCAGTGAAAGTTTTGAGCACTACAAGCCTTAGCAGGAATGTAGATGCAAGTTAAACACACAGATATGTGTTTAAAAGCAACTTAAAAGTACGAAATGGGCCCCAGTCACATAAAGTGGAAGGGAATTGAACAACTGAAAAACAATGTGAGGTAAACTCAAAATTGGAATTAAATATGAAAGAATGCTTTCTCCAGTCTACATAGCAAAAAGTGGAGGAAAAGGCCATGTAGTTGGATGATGCTTTCCTTATAAATAATGCCTCTAACTATGCCCCTAAATGTTAAATCATTTTTTATAAGAAAGCGAAACTCAGAATCTGGAAAGAAGTCAGGAATATCAGCATTAAATTATAAATTGTTCAGCATACACCTGAAGAATTTAATTTACCTTTTAATTCTTGTTATACATAAATAGAATCACACAGAATTATCTAGTTTGTTAATAAAACCAGCAGGATAAATAATTGCTTAACCTTTTATTGCTTCAATCTCCACAGTTTAATAAGAAGACCAAATAATAAGTCTGTTGCAGAAATTATGTCTATGAATCTTTTAGAATAGAGATCATGCCAGGCATGGTTAATCACACCTATAATTGAAAGAATACAGGGGGTCCAAGGCGGGTGGACAACCTGAGGTCAGGAGTTTGAGACCAGCCTGGCCAGCATGGTGAAATCCCGTCTGTACTAAAAATGTCAAAAAAAAAAAAAACATCAAAAAAGAACTGCCAGTTGGGCTGGCAGTCCCCTGTGTTCCCAGCTACTCAGGATGTTGACACAGGAGAATTGCTTGAACTTGAGAGGCAGAGGTTGCAGTTAACTGAGATCCTGTCACTCCAGCTTGAGCAACAGAGCAAGACTTAATCACACCCCACTGCAGGCCAAAAATAGGTAAATAAATAAATAAATAAATAAATAAATAAATAAATAAGAAAAAAGGATCAAATTAACTGCAAATATATCAGGTATTATTTACCCCAGTTCACCTGACAAAAGACAAAAATCCACATACTGATGGAACTTATATTTTGGCTTTAGTGGAAAGTAGTGACAATATCTAGTGATTTAATTTTAATTAAGAAGGACAAGGATGGTGGGTTTATTTACGGTGGAAGGTAGAAGATAACTAAAGGGGATGAGTGAATCAGATGAGAAATGTGGATGACCTGTATCTGGGTGACGCAGGAGAAATAGGGAAAAGTGGTTAGATTGTGAACCTATTTTAAAAAGAAAACATGCAGAATTTGAGGATTAATAGAAAAGATGAGATGAAAATAAAAGCATCAAGGATGACCTTACAGTTTTAGGCCTTTGCAACAGGACGTGATTACTATCAGGTGAAATGGGAAACAATTCGGGAAGGTTATTTGGAAAAAGCATTGTTTCAGGAAGTCAGGAACCCCGAACAGAGGGACCTGCTGAAGCCATGGCAGATGAACATAAATTGTGAAGAGTTCATGGACATTTATTAGTTCCCCAAATTAACACTTTTATAATTTATTATGCCTGTCTTTACTGCAATCTCTGAACATAAATTGTGAAGATTTCATGGACACTTATCAATTCCCCAATCAATACCCTTGTGATTTCCTATACCTGTCTTTATTTTAATCTATTAATCCTGTCATTTAAGTAAGCTGAGGAGGATGTATGTCACCTCAGGACCCTGTGATGATTGCGTTAACTGTGCAAATTGTTTGTAGAGCATGTGTGTTTGAACAATGTGAAATCTGGGCACCTTGAAAAAAGAAGAGGATAACAGCAATGTTCAGGGAACAGGGGAGATAACAAACTCTGACTGCCAGTGAGCCAGGCAGAACACAGCCATATTTCTCTTCATTCAAAAGCAAATGGGAGATATATTACTGAATTCTTTTTCTCAGCAAGGAACATCCCTGAGAAAGAGAATGTGCCCCTGAGGAGAGGCCTCTGAAATGGCCGCTTTGGTGATGGCTGTCTTTTATGGTCATAGCTGAGGGAAGAAATAAGACCCGGTCTCCCATAGCACTCCCAGGCTTATTAGGACGAGGAAATTCCTGCCTAATAAATTTTGGTCAGACCGGTTGTCTGCTCTCAAACCCTGTCTCCTGACAAGATGTTATCAATGACAATGTGTGCACAAAACTTCACTTGCAATTTAAATTTTGCCCCGGTCTTGTGGTCCTGTGATCTCACCCTGCCTCCATTTGCCTTGTGATATCTTATTACCTTATGAAGCATGTGATCTCTGTGACTCAAACCCTATTCATACACTCCCTCTCCTTTTGAAAATAACTGTTAAAAATTTGCTGGCTTTGAAGCTTCTGGGGCATCACGGAACCTGCCAACATGTGAGGTCTCCCCCGGACACCCAGGTTTAAAATTTCTCTCTTTTGTACCCTTTCCCTTTATTTCTCAAAGAGGCCAACACTTAGGGAAAATAGAAAAGAACCTACGTGAAATATCAGGGGCTGAATTTCCTCCAATAGAGCATCAGAATTCAGTGTGTAGCCTTGAGATCAAATTGCCCGTTAAACATGAGTACATGTAATAGAGTCATATATGATTTGGGGTTTGGTAAGAGACTGGCTGGAATAACAATTTGGGAATCATAGTACCATGCAGAAATTGATTGTACAGGAAGACATAACTGAGAGATTGACAGTAAATTCATCAGGGATAGTTCAAGGAAGAGGGAGACTAAGAAATAACTCATATTTGGCCAGGCCTGGTGGCTCATGCCTCCAGTGGCTGCACTTTGGGAGCCTGAGGCAGGCAGACAGCTTGATCCCAGGAACTCAAGACCAGCCTGGGATAATGGAAAGGCCCTGTTTCTACCAAAATTAGCTAGTCTGGGTGACCTGTAGTCACAGTCACCCAGGAGGATGAGGTGGAAAGATCACTTGAGCCCAGGAAGTTGAGGCTGCAGTGAATTCTTGATTGCACCACTGAACTCCAGCCTGGACAACAGAGGCAGACCCTGTCTCAATAGACACACGAACAACAAAGACAAGAATTTTTGTTTTAAAACTATTATATTTGGCAAAAAGGAAGTTGATTATTTTAAATATAGTACATTTGATAGATTGTTGGGGATGAAAGCCTGAATGGTAAAGGTAAGTGGAATTTTGAAATGAGAGCATATTATCAATGGTAAAAATATTCATCTGAAATTCAAGGTAACATTTTAAATTTAGCAGTTAGGGTGTCACTGATGACCTTTGAGAAAGGACCGTGACTTCACTGATGTGGGATAAAACCTGAGACAGAATAAGAACTGATCAAAATCAAATAGCTAATAGAAATTCTGTGTGGAAATTAAAAGCAGACGAAAACATCAGTAACAAAAGAGACAGTTTTTGTTGTGGATCATAAAATATGGAGTTTGTTTTACATTTGCGATAAGGAAATCAGGGTAGTGAAGAAGAGAATAAAATAAATTACATGAAAGAGGAAAAGATCAATCATATTAATGGGTTGGGTCCAGGAGGATGTATTTTAAAATATGATAAAGGTTTTTTCTTTGTGTTTGAATAAATAAGTGCATGTAGATAAAGGTGTGATTTAGATCAGAGTAACCAACCACAGAAGTTGAGGAATTTAAAATTCTGCAGCATAAAACTTAACAAATTGGAGGAAAGCATATTTATGTTAAGTTATGAGAATCAAAGCAATGCAAAGAAAGTTCAGGAAATGAACATCTTATCAAATAAAATAAAATAGGTAACTTCTTGATTCTTCCCTCCCTCTTTTTAAAACTACTACTTCAGTTTTCCCCACTGATATATTTTAACCAATGACCAACATCTTCTGGGGAAATATTATGCTTTCTCTCTTGTAATTTGCATTAGATTCTTACATATTTCATGTGTTTTTATTATATTAACAACATTTTTAATCAGAAAAAGGTTTCTGTCTAAATTCGGTTTCAATATTTACTGTTGCCTTTTATCTTCCTTCTTATTCATGTTTGTTGAATATTGTTTCCCACAAATAATGGCTAATTGACCTTCACAATATATTAGTAATTTATCTGGCTGTTTGACTAGAAAGCACCTAATATGAGCTATTTGGCCTCCCCCCAACCCCCCAAGAAAAGAGATTTTAGATCTTCAATAACCATGCAAACTCTGGATTTCACATCTATATAAATTGAAACTTTACTTGATTCATAACTTCATAGCATTAAATCAAGCCAAGAAACAGTTTTTTATATGCAAAATGGCCATCGTCTAACAATAAGTGGAACTTACAGGGCTCACTGTTTTTTATTTCTTTCCTAATCAGAAATATCTGCTAGATATTTTTCTTAGTGTCATCATCATTAGAATTGGCTTAGACCTTGTGCTGTTTTGTTTTAGTCAATGTCAGCATCAGACAGTGGCTGAAGAGCACACACACACACACACAAACACACAAACTTATGAGAAATATACACCTTGTTTCATACTACTTGAAGACAGGACTATCATCTTGGCGTTAAGAGGTAGTTAAGGCCTCATAGAAGTTTTATTGTCTATTTCCTTAAAACACTGTTTGCTAAAGAAATAATATGTCAAGTTATTTGACATATTGACTAACTTATGACAAATGCTTTAATTGACTAAATTATGTCAAGTGGTGGTTCAATATTTCCTAAACCAGACATAGATTTTTTTATCGTGATTAGTGATCCTTATTTACCTTTTTAGATTTTCCGTGAATACTGAATTATACAGAATCTTGTTTTCTTCTGTTTGGATCTGATACCAAATTATACTGGATGCACTGACAGAAGAGTACGAATTAGCAGCATGCTGAGAATGGACACAGCGTTTGAAGAGACTAATAAATAAAGTACAGCTTTCCTTTCAGCATTCTCTGCTCAACTGTTCTCTGCTGTGGTGAGGCCACCTATGCTTTGTATAGGTTTGAAATTAATTGAAAAGCTATTGACATATTCTAATGTTATTTGCTATGAGCTTTATTATTGTGGAGGTAATTTTGGATCAAATTACCCTAAAGTTTTTCAGTAAAGACTTGAGGTGAAATAAAGCTGCATTACTTTTGTTGGCGCATTCTTCCTTTAGGACATATCATGAGGTAAGTGACACAAATATCTCTCGTTCTCTGTTTCCAACAAGTAAATAAATATGAATAGTTCACTAACAAGATTAAGATGTGATCATCATTCTTCTAATAGAAATGTGTCCCTGTTTGTTTTTCACAATTCTGAATTATTTTCTATGCAATTTTTCAGTCTTAAGGTAATGATAGTTTTTAAAAAATGCAAATGCGATTAAGTCGGTCATTTTTTCTGTTTCTTTTAATATGATTCTCATTCAGCCTAATGAGCATTCTAAATAGTTATGAGGAATAGAAATATAACCTTAAATTAATGAATGAAAGTAGAGTGAGTGAGAAAAGACTATGGTTCAGAAATAATCTTGTAGATTTTATTTGTCAACTGATGTGATTTAATATGTTAGTGGTAGATTTTCTAGACTCCTTAAATTTGTAGCTGTGACTTTGAATATCAAAACATAGCTAAGCAACTCATTTCCATATGACTTCTATCTGTTACTATAGTGATTTACATGAGTACTATAAATTTTGTAAGAACTAATTTCATTCAGATCTGCACTGACAGTTCCAAGAGAGTAAAATGTATAAAAATTATATACATTTTATAGATTTAGGAACCAATGGGGATAAGTGTTACCTTTCATTAAAAAGGTAAGTGAAGAAGTTTATAAACACATGCAAAAATATGCAACCTCACGATTTAAACTTCTTTGCAAATAAAAATTAGTAATCGCAGGGACAGTTAGTAATACTAGCAGGGCAATAAACATTCCTGCAAAGCCAAAGAGTTAATTCCAGTGACAATGCATGAAGTGATTTTGGGCCGTACTCTGGAGCGAATTTAAGTTTAATTGACTGAATCTCCTGAAAGAAAAGGATTTAGGCAGAAACAACAAAAAAAATGAACAACACTTTAGCCAGTAAACTCAACAAGTAAATAAAACTCCTGGCAATATTAGAACCAATAAATCTCCATGTAGTAAATCTCCATGTACCTAATTTTGTTGCTATACTTGTTGTTTGGACAGTGTCTTGCTCTGTCGCCCAGGCTAGAGTGCAGTGGCATGATCTAAGCTCCTGCAACCTCCAACTCCCAGGTTCAAGGGATTCTCCTACCTCAGCCTCCTGAGTAGCTGGGGCTACAGGTGCACACCAGCACACCCAGCTAATTTTTACGTGTTTAGTAGAGATGGGGTTTCCCTATATTGGCCCTGCTGGTCTCAAGCTCCTGATCTAGTGATCCACCCACCTTGGCCTCCCATGTGCCATCGTACCTGGCCAACTTTTTCTTTTTTACAAGCCTAATTTAAGAAATTTTATAAATTTCTTAAATTTACATTCTTTAATTTTATACATTTCTTAAATTTCTTAAAATAAGCCAAGCATGGTGGCTCACACCTTTAATCCCAGCACTTTGAAAGGCTGAGGTGGGCAGATCCCCTGAGGTTGGCGGTTCATGGCCAGCTTAGCGAACATGGTGAAATCCCATCTCTACTAAAAATACAAAACTAGCTGGGCACCCTGACTCATGCCTGTAATCCCAGCTATTCAGGAGATTGAGGCAGTAGAATCGCTTGAACCTGAGAGGGAGAGGTTGCAATTCTGTAATGAGGAGAAATGTTGAGAATATATATATATACAAACACAAACACACACACACACACACACACACACACAGCCACACAGAGCCCACCCCCCCACACATACACACATCTGTTAGCTGTATATATATACTTTTGAAAACAGAAGATACTTATTTTTAATTGGGTTATTATTTTCTTATTCTTTTGAATCTGTTTTTAGTTCCTTGTATATTTTGATTAACCCCTTTTCTGATGTACACTTTGCAAATATTTGCTGTCATTCTATTACTGTGGTGACTTATTTTATTTTATTTTTATTTTTTGCTGTATGGAAGTTTTCTAGTATGATGTAACCTCGTTTTTCTGTTTGTGTGTTTTCTGCTTGCGTTTTTGTCTGATCCAAAAAATACTCTTGCCCAGACCAAGATCATTAAATGTGTTTTGTGATTTGTTCTACTAGTTTGACATTTTGGTGTTTTCATTACATCTTTATTTTTAAATGTTTTTAAAAATATATTCTTATTGGTGAGGTCTCACTATTTTACCTAGTGTGGAGTGCAGTGGCACAAGTCTTTCATGCTATAGCTTTGAACACCTAGGCCCAGATGATCCTCCTGTCTGACACTCCTGAGTAGCTGAAACTATAGGTGAACACCACTCCACTAGGCATTTTAATCCATTTGAGTTAATTTTTGCATGTGGTGAGAGATAGGTTCTTATTATATTCTTCTGCATGTAGCTCTCTTGTTTTCCCAGCACCACTTATTGAAGAGACTGACCTTTCTTCATTTTGTGTTCTTGGCACCTCTGCAGTATATCAGTTGGCTATACAGGTGGAAATTTATTTTTACTCACTGTATTATATTTTATTGGTTTATAGCATTGTGACATTGTCAGTTCACTCCACAACGCCAATCCCACTGCCATCTTCAGGAGTGCTTTGGCTATTCAGGATTTTTTTGTGGTTTCATATTAATTTAGGATATTTTTCAATTTCTGTGAAAAATGCCATGGGTGTTTTGATAGATATTGCATTCAATCTGTGCACTGCTTTGGATCATATAAACATTTTAATGACATTACTTTTTCCAATCAATGAACATAGATATTTTTCCATTTATTTATGCCATTTTAACATTTTATTAATGTTTCATAGGTTTCAGAATGTAGATTTTTTTTTACCTCCTTGGTTAAATTTACTGCTTTTTATCCTCCATAGCTACTGTAAATGAGATTTTTTCTTAAGTTTTTTTAATATATATCTTGCTATTAGTGTATGGAAATGCTATGGAGTTGTATATGTTGATTTTGTAAACTGAAACTTTACTGACTTTCTGAATTAGTTCTAACTACTTTTTAGTGGTGTGTTTAAGGATTTTCATATTACATCATTAGCATATATGGAAAATTTTACTTCCTCTCCAATTTGGGCACCTTTTCTTACTTTCTCTTGTCTAATTACTCTGGCTAAGGACTTTTAGTATTATGTGAATATAAGTAGTGGAAGTGAACACCCTGGTCTTCTTCCAGCTCTTCACAGAAACCTTTCAACTTTTAACTCCCATTGAGTGGATATTAGCTAAGGTTTTGTCATACATAGCATTATCTGCTTATTTGGGTCTAGGTCATTTGTTGTGTTGAGTTACAGTTGTTCCATGCATAATTTGTTAAGAGATTATACTGTGAAAAATGTTGAATTCTATCAAATTTTTTTTCACATATTGAAATGACTGCATAGATTTTGTTCTTATTTTGCTGATGTAATGTATGACATTTAATGATTCTTGTGTATTAAAACATTCCTGCATCCCTGTAATCTCTCTTGATCACAGTGAATGACTTTCTAAATATGCATGATAAGTCATTTTCCCAGTATTTTGTTGAGGGTTTTTGCACTATGTTTTTCAGATTTATTGGCCCATAGTTTTCTCTTTTTTCTTGTATCCTTGTCTGGTTTTGCAATCAGCATAATGCCGTCCTGACGGAATGAGTTGGAACAAACAGTTCCCATATATTCATTTCTGTTTAATGATTTTGTTTTTGTTTTGACTAGATTACACAAAAAGTGGCAGTAGTTTATTTTTTGTGGTAGGTAGAATGCAGCAGTGAATACGTCAGGTCCTGGTCTTTTCTTTAATAGGTGCCTTTTTATTGCTGATTCGATTTCTTACTATTAATTTGTTTCTTGGTATCAGTTATGGTATCTCTTTTTTGGCTCCAATACACTTTATTAAGAGATTGTTTGTTTGTTATTACTTTTGAGTTTAGCTTTCTGTTTTTATAATTCCTTGATTGAAACATCAAGTTGTGTATTTAATATCTTCTTTTAGTTGAAGGCATTTATTGCCATAACTTCCGTCTTAAAACTGCTTTGAATGTATCCCATAGGTTTTGTTGTGTTGTGTTTCTGTTTTTGTCTCAATAAATAGGGTGTTTCTCTTTAATGTCTTCATTGACTCAGCGGTTGTTCAGGAGTATGTTGTTTAATTTTGATGTGCTTATGAATTAGTGATTTCAGAAGAGACACTTGATATGACTTTGATTTTTTCAAATTCATTAAGATGTGATTTTTTGGCTAATGTATGATATATCCTGAAAGATGTTCCATATATGCAGTGGAGAAGAATGTTTACTCCATAGCTCTTGGATGGATAGTTCAGTAACTGTTTTTAGCATTTTCCCTACGGGGCATTTTAATCCAGTGTTTACTTGTTGAATTCTGTCTGCATTATCTATTCATTGCTGAAAGTAATGTGCTGAAGTTTTCTAGGATTATCTTGCACTTCTTTTCTTCCTTTGGATCTATTAACATCTGCATTACATATATGCACATATTACTTATATAGCTGTATTCCAGATATAATATTGTCTTTTTTTTGTTCTGCTTAATTCTGTATCCTCTCTTTGTCTTTGATATTTGGTGGTTTGATTAGATTAAGTTATGGGAATATTTTCATTGAAATTGAATCTGATTGGAAGCCTTCAATATTCCTGTAGCAGAATATTAATATTTTATATCAATTTGGAAAGGTTTCTGTTATTATTTATCTAAATAAGATTTCTACTCTTTTTTAATAGTTTTTATTGAGTTGGAGGTTTGCTCTTGTCTCTTAGGTTGGAGTGCAATCATGTGATTGTAGCTCACTGCAACCTCCACGTCCTCAGTTCCAGTGATTCTCCTGAGTTCCAGTGACTCTCCTGACTGAGACTTCTGAGTAGCTGGGATTACAGATGTCCACCAATATACCTGGCTAATTTTTGTATTTTAGTAAAGAAACTGTTTCACCATGTTGTGCAGGATGCTCTCAAGCTCTTGACAACATATGATCCACCAGCCTTGGCCTCCCAAAGTGCAGGGGATACAGGCATGAGTCATTGGGCCCAGCTCTACCACACTCTTGAATGCCAGTGTCTGATACCTTTGCTCTTCGGATGTTATCCCATTAATCTCATAAATCTTATTTATGTTTTCTCTCTGATTGCATATTTTCAATTGACTCCTGTTTGAGTTTTGCTGCTTGGCCACTTCCGTTGTCACTACTGTCAATTGCATTTTTTATTTTGTTGTGTTTTATTCTTCAAGGTTTCTGTTTGTTTTTCCATCCTGTTATTTTAAACTCTCAGGTAAATTTCTCCGATAAATTCCAGAATTCTTTGTGTTTTGCTGAAGTCCTCTGCATTGTCGTAAAATAAATATTTTGAATTCCTTGTCAGGCCATGTTCCATGCCCATCTCTTTTGGGTCAGTCACTTCTAGCACCTTATTTTGACCATCTGATGCCATCATGTTTCTCTCATTGATCCTAATCCTTGTGACTATGCACTGATGGCTGTGCAGTGATGTAGGTGCCTAATTCAGTGTTCATGGTTTGGCTTTGTTTGGAAGCTTTCTTCTACAGTAAGCCTGTACAGAGATTCAGGGCAAGGAGAAGAAGGAAACTAAGGTCTTTAAATCTATGATTACTTCAGCCCTGGTAACACAAGGGAAAATACTAATGAGCAGAATTTCATGGCTGGAGTAATTTGACTGGTAAAGCTGACTCATTTCCAGGTTTATAACTGGGTTAACAGAAAAGTTATCATAAAAGAGTAGTAAAATAATAATCTACACTGGAGGTAATATAATATGGTAAAATTTGATGAAGTAGGCAGGAGTAAGACAAATGAGTCCTCTGCCATGAGTAACTTTGGGGGAATAAGTAACTTTGGGGGAATAACTTACTTAGTCTTTGTAGGATTCAGTATCTTCCTTTGAGAATAATGCATTTTCCAAATTATATAAGATTATTTACATGATGAAATCAGCATTATTAACACTCAATAAATATACCCATTAAACACAATTTTGGAAGGTTGGGGAGCATAGACAGAAGCTCCAAAAGTCAAAACATGACTGTAGCCATAGAATAAAATACAGTTGGTTTCCAAGTATCTGAGAGGTTTCTTATGGTTTTCATTGTGTCTTAGATTTGTGATGAAGAAATAAACAATCCCCAGTTCCTGCCCTGGAGAAGCTCATTGCATAGAAAAAGGAACTAGGCAGATATACATGCCACAGTACAGTAATGAAACAACATAAATCACAAGCAACCAAGTCCAAAGGTAAGATACCTAATTTGAAATTTTATATTCTGTTTCATTTGCTTCTTGCTGTTGTGACTAACCATCTCTATGTGTGTTAAATTCAACCCCCTAGGGGTAACACGGGCTATAGTTCCAGAACTTACCTTCCAATTTTTCTTCCGATAGTGGCTGTTAACCAAGGATTGGTGAATATCCTATATGAAGATTCTACTAAAAGTAAAGCTACCCTGACTGCGATGCTTGGATGATATAATTTTCTCTGTCTAAGAAAGAGGAAGAAAGTGTGTGTTTTGTAATTTCTATAAACGGTTAAGTGCTGACACACTAGTAGCTGAAAGACAAACTATTTTTGCCTATTGAAAGGAAAAATGAAAAAATTGTAGGAAATCCATTTATTACAGTTAAAATATTCTAATTTTTTAATTTAGATTTTATCAGTATCTATACAGAAAAATAAAAATAATAATAAGGAGAAAGAGCTTGAGTATAAACATTACCAAAATTTAGGTATTCCATATTCACTGATTTGGTGTTATATCCTAAATTGGTGATCTGCCACTATAACCTAACTTTTTAACTGCTTTATTTTCAAATGAATACTCTTCATAGCAGTTTGATGATAATTCTTAACTAATATTTTTTACAAGTTCACATAGCATAATTTGAAGAACAAATTTTTTTCTTTAGCAGGAAAAGCTCTGATTTGAGAAAAATGTATAGATAATTTTAAAAATAAGCACGGCTTTTGAAAGATAAATATAAATACATCAGTCATAGTGTCTTAGAGATCTTAGACATATTATGAAAAAGTACTTCCCGCATAATTCACTTAAAGTAAAATAATGTCAGAGAGAAAAACAGTAGCTGCTATCAGAACCTTCAAAGTGATAGTAATTAATAATTAGAATTTACCTCACTGTTCTGCTTCTCATCTTTGGAAAATCATTGTCTATATTTTCAGCTATGCATTCATTAGCAAGAGCACTGTTTCTAGTGGAATATATATATATGTATAATATGTGTATATATACATATGTGTGTATGTATATATATATACTGCATCACAGAATTCATTTGATAAGTAGCACCAGCATTTTTGAGTCCCACAAATCTTTCTGGTGGGTGAGATCTAACAGGGAGCAGGTATTCTCACTTAAAAAGTGCTTCACAACCTGAGATCAGAAGAAAAAATAATGCTTCTACTATGAAAATAATGATCTTGCCCACTCTTCTTTCCATCTAGTGGCAAATTGATATTAACAAACATTCACTTATCAACACAACCATTTTGAAAGAGTACTTTAAATTTTCATGTTAACAACAAGTTGAGAGACCATTACAGATGTTTAACCACAGACCACTCACGTCCATATTTTAATGGCATTACATCTGTTTATTTTTTAAAAAAAGTTATTTGTTTAAAAAATCTCCTTTGAATACATATATGTTAACTATGTCAATTCAATTGTTAAATAAATTAACATAAAATGTGTTTTTAAAAGGAAACTCTTCTCTCTACATGGATCCCACAAGACAAAGATCTGAATTTTTAAGCAGTGAGTTCAGCTAGAAACTCATACAGTGTGCTAGAAAATATACTCACACAGAGAAAAACATAAAAAAAATTTCACATTTTTCAATTAAAGATCTGTTAATTCAATTAAAGAATGCTGTTAATTGGCCTTTTAACACTCAGTTTGCTCTTGAAATAAACTAAATGTTGTTATCGTTTGTTAATTTACATATATTACTTCCCACCCTCAGTGTCAGTTCTGTGTAAGATTTGAACATTACTGCTTATTTTTTTGGACTCTAGCAGACATTTAGAACTAATAAAATGTACTCAAATTTCTCTTCTCACATTATGATTTTTAAAGCCATACCTCTCTTAGAATTTAACTAAAATAACATTAAGCAACTTCAAGTTTATAAAAATCTTTTTAATGCATACATTTTAAAGATAAACTATTTGTAGCATTAAATTTGGCTCTGGTTACCCTGAGGATTCAGTATTTTTAAACATGTGATTCAATAAAACCCACTTTGGTTACAAATGCCAAGTATAGGGGGGAGCACTAAAGAAATACATACATTTTTTAAATTTAATATTGTCTGATGTAAATGGTTTTAAATGTACACCTGATGGCTACAAAATGTTAAACTAGTTGTTCAAAAAAAAAAAACCACAAACAGACAAAAAAAAAAAAACATGAGTTAATTTTTTCTAAATGAAAAATGGACTTTCAAAGTAAACAATTATTAATAAAGAAAAACAGCTTTATAATTTAAAAATTCATGAGTAATTGCTTTGTCTATGTAATATATTTCATTTAAACAGTTTACTATCTTTTTGAGGTTCTTTACACAGCCAATAGCTGGTGCTACAAGTAGATCAAAACCAGGATTGATGGTAATGGGAGAGCTACAGACTGGAAGTGCTGGCTCTTCTGGCAGTTCTTTACTTCTTATACGTTACAGTTAAGCTTTTGATGCAGGGAAGATAACATCAATTAATTCCTAGTAATTTAGAAAAAGGAATCATATATTATTACTAGAAAACATATGGTAAGAAAAATATGTCTTTTCAAGAACATGCTTTTATGTTTATTTGACATAATTAAACATCTCATTATATCTTAAACAATTTTGAATTTTATTCCAAAGCAAAATTATTTAAAAAAGAAGTAAATCAATAAATATAATTCATTTCCATAATTAATTTTTGAAGAAATTTCTAAAACTTGAGAACTTGACTGAAAAGAAAAATAGCATTCTAAATTAATCTACTCTTTTAATTACATATTAATGGAAAAAAATTATTTTCAATAAAAATAAAATGCATGAAAATTATCTTATTTTCCTTGTATTATGAGACATATAAAGAAATTCATCAAAAATATGATATGAAAAATAGGTTTTTGCAAGATGGATATTTTTCTCAATTAGGAGTACAATCAAGGGACAGGCATGGTGACTCACACCTGTAACTCCAGCACTTTTGGAGGCCAAGGCAGGCAGCACACTTGAAGCCAGGAGCTTGAGACAGGCCTGGCCACTATGGTGAAACCCCATCAGGTGTAGAGGTGCTCACCTGTAATCTCAGCTAATCAAGAAGTTCAGGCAGAATAATCACTTGAAACTGGGAAGCAGGGGGTTGTAGTGTGCCAAGATTGCACTGCTGTACTCCAGCCAAAGAGACAGTGTGAGATTCCTTTATACAAATAAAAGAAAATAAATTCAATCAATTAAGAAGTGATATATAATAATTTAGTTTTCAATGCAGTTTGTGGCAACTATGAATTTTAATTACAAAATGCCTTGAATACACTGCCTCCCAAAGTGCTGGAGTCAGGGGACAGGCAAATAGAATTCCCAAGGCAAAAAAGTCCGATGCCTATTTCCTTTGCCCAAGCAATCCTCCCATCTCTGCCTCCTGAAGAGTTGAGACTACATGCATGTGCCACCAGGCCCAGCTAAATTTTTTTTATTCTGTTGTTGTTGTTGTTGCTGGGCTCCAGTGATCTACTCACCTCAGCCTCCTAAAGTGCTAGGATTATAGATATGGGTCACTACACCAAGCTAAAATTTACTTTCTAAAATTTAATTTTTAGGTCATTTATTTTTATTCAGTCTTATTTCTCATAAATGAAGTTAAGAATGTTATTGCTTTAGAGCTTCTTTTGGGGTATTCCTGAAGTAATAAATGGATTCTTAACATTTGGGGTATTCCTGAAGTAATAAATGGATTCTTAACATTCATTTTCTAAATGGTGTTAGAAAATGAGTAATTGCTTCAGATGAGTAATGATTATTTGGCCTCTTTTTGTTTTCTGGCTTCATTTCATTGTGTATGAAGAATGTACTTTTTTTTAACCTGCCTGTATATGTGAAATGAATTTTTCCTCTTTCAACATAATGTAGTACAAAACTGTTTAAACTGGTTATTCAATGACTTCATAATTTTGGTTTTCTTCCTTGTGCATATTGGTCAAATTATTGGGACAACAATGTCAAAATTAATTCGCTTATGAAAAACTTTCTGATATAATGACATAAATACAAATGAACAAAAACAAGCACACACATACCAATTAATTTCTAAAACTTTTAATTTTTTCTGCTAGTCTAGTACCTTGTATTGCATTACTCAGCAAAATCTGTCAGCTCCACTTCCAGAATTGACTTTAACTCCACAGCATATGTCTTGTTTCCTGTTATCACCTTATTCTAAAACACAGCTTATATTACATTCACCACCTACTTTAGACTGTAATTTCCTATTTTACACTCTAACTTTCTATAAAAAGAAACTACCTTTTCAAGGTCTAATTTAAGTAATTTTATTTTTTCTTAATTGAGACTTCTTTCTATGTGCTGTCACACCTTACAGCGTCAGATATGAATATCTCTATCCTATTTCAGCTGTTCCAGTTTTATTGGGGGGGGAATGTGTATATATATTTATAAATGTGGGTATATATGTATTAGCTTATTATTTGTTTTTTCCATGTGTAATATATGTTTTGCATGCAAATATTTACTAAATCCCTGATAATGGAAAGTTAACAAATCTTTTTTTTTTCCTTTTTTAAGTAAATTATTTTCTGAAGGAGGAGGGTTGGGAGGAATATATCTTAACATGGCAAGATTGAAAGAGAAAGTGGCCATTACTAATGAAAATTATTCCGTAACATTTTCATGTTTATCTAATAGCATTGCTGATGACATTTTCCCTTTTATCAGCTGTGTATGGGGCCATTCACTGCAATATACTGGCCATCCACACCAGCAACGACTTTGCTGCCATTAAGCTACAGGTGATAAAATTCATCCGTGTCGTGGTATTGCGTTCCTTGGTGGTAATCTCATGTGTAATGGCTCTGGCATTTTTGCCTGCATCTCTGAAACTGAGGAGCCTACCCTTTCTATTAATCATGTATTTTGTATTATTGTTGGCACCATGGCTGGAGTTTTGGAAAAGTGGAGCTCATCCTCCCAGCAACACAGAAAATAATTCTAGCATGGTGGGTACAGTACGGATGCTTATTTTAACCATGCTAGCATATGCTGCCATCAACTTCTCTTGCTGGTCAGCAGTGAAACTGTAGCTGTCAAATGAGGAAATAATTGATGAGAGACAGGTGGGCCATAGAATCCTATACTACAGCTTTGAGTTTTTAGAAAATGTGATAATAATATTGGTATTTAAGTTCTTTGGAGGGAAATTTTACTGAAGACTTGTGACTCATTAATTGCCATGTAGCTCATCATAACCTACCTATTAGCCATTATTTTAGGCTCCGCTTCTGTCAGTATTTGCACTCAAGGTCATCAGGCAAAGTATTGCCAGAACATACTGAAAATCATCCAGAAGCATTGTGATATTGTGTAAACATGTAGAGAAAACTCAGTTAAAAGAATAAAAATAAGCAGCTGAGGAATTACTATTATTCATGGAGAAGGGTTGGATATTTTCAATAAAAAAGTATGCAATATCCACAAAATACACATATATACTTTCACAGAACTAACAGTAGAGAAGCTGAATGTGACTTTATAAAGATACTCATAAAAAATTATAAACAGCAAAATTGTGGAAGTAGTTTCTAATAAAATTGATTTTTCTCCTGTGACTATACATTAGTAATTTTTGTTTTCTGAAATATAATTGTACAACTTATTAAACAAAACAAAACAAAAAATCCATCTGGGTCCAAAAACTGAGCACAAAAAAATAACTATAACTAATTTTTCACCTAGTACATTTTTAGAACCTATGCCTTTAATTTAACAAGTGTTTGTAATCTAGCATACACATTATCGGTGAACTTTTTTTTATTTTTCAGAATTGGTACTTACCACAGGTTTCATTCTGTACTTAATGAGAATCTGAAAGAGAAGTCTTATGAGCATGCTCCAGTTTATATTAATTTAAGGTAACTAAAGTCTTTTTCATTAAACTTTGACTAACAGAAAGCAACTCATATTAATGCATCTTAAAGCACAAACCTGTTTTATTAAAAAGACATCACCATGTTAACAATTTAAAATACTAATTTACATTCCTACCAACAGTGCACAAGGATTCTCTGTGCTCCATATTCTCAAAACACTTGTCATCTTTCATCCTGATAATAATAGCTATTCCAACATGTGTGAGAGGAGGGCTCATTTTTGGTTTTAATTTGCATTTCCCTGATGATCGGTGGTTTTGAGCATCTTTAAATATACAGTTGTTCAGGAATTAGCCGGGCGACAGAGTGCACATCTGTAAACACCTACTAGGGAGGATGAGGCAGAATTGCTGGAAACCAGTGGGTGGAAGATTCAGTGAGCTGAGATCACACCATTGCATTTAAGCATGGATGACAGAGTGAGAATACCTCTCAAATCAATCAATCAATCAATATTAAATATAGAGTTGTTGGCCAGTTGTATATCTTCTTTTGAGAAGTGTAAATTCAGGTCCTTTGACCATATTTAATAGACTTAATTGGGTTTTCTGTTGTTAAATGACTTGTGTTCCTTGTATGTATTCATTATTCGCCCTTTATCATACATATGGTTTGCAGATATTTTCTCCAAGTGTTTGGGGTGTCTCTTCACTTTACTATTTGTTTCCCTTTTCCCTTTGCTGTGCAGAAACATTTTAGTTTGATGTAACGTGATCCACTTGTTTTGTGTGGTGCTTTAGTAGCCTGTGTTTTGGGGTCATAGAATTGAGGTTTCAAAAATAAAATAAAATCAAAAATAGAATTACTACATGATCCAGCTACTCTACTTCAGAATATGTACTCAAAGGGTATACAATTAGATTGTCAGAGACATATCTGCAGTCCTATATTCATCTCAGCATTATTCCTAATAGCTAAGATATGGTAACAACCCAAGTGCTCATCAACAGATCAACAGATAAAGTGTTGCACATATACACAATGAAATATACTATGCATCCTTAAACAAAGGAGGAAGTTCTGTTATTTATTTGTGACCAAATGAATGGTATGGGAAGATACGATGCTCAGTGTAATAAGAGAGGCACAAAAAGACAAGTATAGAATGATCACAATTATATGTAAAATCTAAAAAAGTTGAACTCATTCAAACAGTGAATATGCCAGATGTGGTGGCTCATGCCTGTAACTCCAGCAATTTGGGAGTAAGAGATGGCTGGATCACTTGAGGTCAGAACTTTGAGGCCCCAGTGAGCCACTGTACTCCAGCCTGGGCAATGCAGCAAGGCCCTGACTCTTTAAACAAACCCACAAAAAGTAGTCAGAGATTGGACTGGGACGTGGTGATGGGGGTGGATAGAGAAAGGCAAGATGTTCGTCAAAGGGTAACAAATTTTAGTGAGACAGGAAGAAGTTCTGATCCATTGCACAGAATGGTGACCACATTAATACATGTCAACTTCAAAATTGCTTAATAAAAAAAAGAGCAGGCATGGTGGCTCATGTTTGAAATCCCAGCACTTTATGCAGCCATGGCAGGAGGATCACTAGAGGTCAGGAGTTGGAGGCCAGCCTGGCCAACACGATGAAACATCGTCACTACTGAAAATATAAGAATTAGCCAGGTTTGGTGGCATTCACCTGTCGTCCCAGCTACTTGAGTGACTGAGGCAAAATAACTTGTACTCGGGAGATGGCAGTTGAAATAAGCTGAGATTGCGCCACTGTACTCAAGTCTGGGCAACAGGAGCAAAACTCTATCTCAAAAAAACAGATTGTTTAAAAAGTAGAATTTATATATTCTTACCACAAAAAAAGAAATGATAAGTATGTGAGGTGATGGATATGGTAACTAGCCCAATTTAATTCTTTTGCAATATATACATGCATTATAAAATCACTTTGTGTCCCATAAATATTTACATTTGTTAGTTTAAAATAAAAATTTTAAAAGAATGAATTACAATTAAAATAAACTTGGCTTAATATACATAGACAATAAAATATGCTAAGGTTTTCTTCTATTTTGACTATTTGGCTTCTGTTATTTCTTAGGGAAGCAATCACCTTGGGAAGGGATGAAGAACAATAAAGCTTAATATTATACAATTTCCATTATTTTGTTTTTGTTGTTTTTCTCCTTTTTTTCCTACCAAAGTAATGGAGACAACTTTCTTATTCACACTTTCTTTTGTGTTTCTTTCTCAGGAGAAATCGCCACCAAAAAATAATGTTCATGTAGATTTGTGTAAATTTTTTCTGCTCCTATCTATGACCCTTTTTGCCTTTGCTTTGGATTTCATAGCTTCATAAAACACTGATTTACTTACTATTTGTCATCTCATTGTACCACTACTTCTTCACTGTACCTGCAGGATCGTTTTTTTCTTTTTATTTTCTTTTAGTCTTTTTTTTTTTTTTTTTTTTTTTTTTTTTTTTTTGAGATGGAGTGTCTGGCACAATCTCAGCTCACTGCAACCTTGGCCCCCCAGATTCAGGTAATTCTCCTGCCTCAGCCTCCTCAATACCTGACATTACAGTCATGCACTACCATGCTTGGCTGACTTTTGAATTTTTAATTGTGACGTGGTTTCACCATTTTGCCAAGGCTTGTGTTGAACTGACCTCAAGTGATCCACCCTCTCAGCCTCCCAAAGTGCTGGAATTACAGGTGTGAGACACCACACCCGGCTTGATCATTTCCTTTACTAGAACTACATGCTGCTTGTCCCAGTCCTAGATATGCCACTATCTATTCATTTATTTATTTTATTTGATAGCAAGACTCATGGAAAGAGTTGGCCCTGAAAAGGTTTAATTTTATTTCTCTTAACTATCCTTTTTTAAGGCATTTACCCTGTTTTTTTAGAATCGTATCTTATATTTGTCACTAAATCCCATATTTCATTTATCTGTAGCATATTACTCAAACAGTCATGTGTATCTGTAAAACTGATTCCCACCCTCATTCCTGAAATACTATTTTGTTTTGGATTACATGATTCAACTTTCCACTGATTTCTCTATTTAATTGTCAGTGTGCTTTGTTTCATTTTATCTCATATATGTCTATTCATTAGACTACTAATGTAACTACAGAGAATACCTCTTTCTCCTTCTCTTTCTCTTTTTCCTTTTCCCCTTCTCTTTTCCCTTACCTCTTTTCTTTTCTTTTTTTAAGAGATGGTTCTGTCACCCAGCCTGGAGTACAGTAGTGAGAACTTGACTGACTACAGCCTCAAATTTCTGGGCTCAAGCAATCATCCTGGATTGGTCTCCTCTGTAGCGGAGACGACAGCAGTTCTAGGGAATTCAACTAGTGATATTACTTCTGGAATCCTATACATTGTGCTTTTTTTTTTTCTTATGAGCATACCAAGATTAAGACAGCTAAATTGTAAACTTCTCCTGAACTTCTTCACACTTCCTACATGCCTCTGTCTTCCACCCTTTTTTGTATAAAAATATATCATCTATATAACATAAAAACTGGAGATATCCCAAATGCATTATTTTCCCTCATCTTTTACATATTTTATCTACAAGAACTTTTTTATTATCTACCAATTACAAATGTGTTTTTCTTATTGCTCTTTATACATTCCAGTTGAGGTCATCATTCATTCTTCACTAAATGATAATATCAACAACTTAATTTACTTCCTGCTTCTGTGTTACCCTATTCAATTTATTTTTTATTGAGGGTCTAGAATTATTCTTCTTTTCAATGAATACAACACATCTCTTTCCTTTTTCTTTCTTTTCTTCTTACCTTCTGCTTTAATACTGTTACTATACGAATTGAGGAGCAATTTCAGTGTACTATTATATCCACCATTTTAAGCTAAAATTCAGAGATATAATAGCCTCTCTATAAGTGTTTAATATTACAAAAATAATGAAACTATAATTTCAGTATTAAATTTTTGAATAATGTCTATAGATTATTCATAAAACAAGATTTTAGTTGAGTTGCAGATAAGCTTATGCTATTTTTTTACTCACTCCTTCCATTTTTATCCATCCTAGCTATAAGATATTTAGAGGTATGAACCTGGCATATTCTTCCCTGTACTTGACAGCCTATTGAAGTTATATGAATAAAGAAAAGTACACTGACAATTTAATTCATGTAACTAAATATAAATGTATTATATTTAAAATCTATTTATTTTAATTACTTAAATTTATTATTACAGTTATTATTTAGATTTTTATTATTTAAATCTCAAACAATACAGGAAACAAAAATGTGGGAAAATCTCAAGTAATTCATTATTTATCTTTCTTTTTATCATAGAAAACACAGGCCATCTCCTTACTGCTTAAGGCCGTATTTCCAGAACACTCATAACATTTCACTTTTCATTTCCCAAGGAAATCTGAGGAGTTTCTTTTGAACTCCATAGTGATATGCCTAAAACTACCCAGTGTAATTGTGTCTTCTTGGACGGTATGATTCTACAAGGTGAATATGATAATGACCTAAAATATCACCCTTACATTTAATTATATAAAACACCACTAATATTAACAATATATGAGCTGTACATTATGTAGTCTAATTAGAGAGTTAATTTTACACTCAAATAGTTTAGTTAGATACTGTGAGATTAAACTGGCCAAGATGGAAATTAATTATTTGTAAAAACTACCACACTGTGATGAAATGAGTTAACTGGACTCTTTTTTTTTTTATTATACTTTAAGTTTTAGGGTACATGTGTACATTGTGCAGGTTAGTTACATATATACATGTGCCATGCTGGTGCGCTGCACCCACTAACTCGTCATCTAGCATTAGGTATATCTCCCGATGCTATCCCTCCCCCCTCCTCCAACCCCACAACAGTCCCCAGAGTGTGATATTCCCCTTCCTGTGTCCATGTGATCTCATTGTTCAATTCTCACCTATGAGTGAGAATATGCAGTGTTTGGTTTTTTGTTCTTGGGATAGTTTACTGAGAATGATGATTTCCAATTTCATCCATGTCCCTACAAAGGACATGAACTCATCATTTCTTACGGCTGCATAGTATTCCATGGTGTATATGTGCCACATTTTCTTAATCCAGTCTATCATTGTTGGACATTTGGGTTGGTTCCAAGTCTTTGCTATTGTGAATAATGCCGCAATAAACATACGTGTGCATGTGTCTTTATAGCAGCATGATTTATAGTCCTTTGGGTATATACCCAGTAATGGGATGGCTGGGTCAAATGGTATTTCCAGTTCTAGATCCCTGAGGAATCGCCACACTGACTTCCACAATGGTTGAACTAGTTTACAGTCCCACCAACAGTGTAAAAGTGTTCCTATTTCTCCACATCCTGTCCAGCACCTGTAGTTTCCTGACTTTTTAATGATTGCCATTCTAACTGGTGTGAGATGGTATCTCATTGTGGTTTTGATTTGCATTTCCCTGATGGCCAGGGATGATGAGCATTTTTTCATGTGTTTTTTGGCTGCGTAAATGTCTTCTTTTGAGAAGTGTCTGTTCATGTCCTTCACCCACTTTTTGATGGTGTTGTTTGTTTTTTTCTTATAAATTTGTTTGAGTTCATTGTAGATTCTGGTTATTAGCCCTTTGTCAGATGAGTAGGCTGCAAAAATTTTCTCCCGTTTTGTTGGTTGCCTGTTCACTCTGATGGTAGTATCTTTGGCTGTGCAGAAGCTCTTTAGTTTAATTAGATCCCACTTCTCAATTTTGTCTTTTGTTGCCATTGCTTTTGGTGTTTTAGACATAAAGTCCTTGCCCATGCCTATGTCCTGAATGGTAATGCCTAGGTTTTCTTCTAGGGTTTTTATGGTTTTAGGTCTAACATTTAAGTCTTTAATCCATCTTGAATTGATTTTTGTATAAGGTGTAAGGAAGGGATCCAGTTTCAGGTTTCTACATATGGCTAGCCAGTTTTCCCAGCACCATTTATTACATAGGGAATCCTTTCCCCATTGCTTGTTTTTGTCAGGTTTGTCAAAGATCAGATAGTTGTAGATATGCAGCATTATTTCTGAGGGCTCTGTTCTGTTCCATTGATCTACATCTCTGTTTTGGTACAAGTACAATGCTGTTTTGGTTACTGTAGCCTTGTAGTATAGTTTGAAGTCAGGTAGTGTGATACCTCCAGCTTTGTTCTTTTTTGCAACAAAAAAAAGAGAATTTTAGACCAATATCCTTGATGAACTTTGATGCAAAAATCCTCAATAAAATACTGGCAAACCGAATCCAGCAGCATATCAAAAACTTATCCACCATGATCAAGTGGGCTTCATCCCTGGGATGCAAGGCTGGTTCAATATATGCAAATCAATAAATGTAATCCAGCATATAAACAGAGCCAAAGACAAAAACCACCTGATTATCTCAATAGATGCAGAAAAAGCCTTTGACAAAATTCAACAACCTTCATGCTAAAAACTCTCAATAAATTAAGTATTGATGGGATGTATTTCAAAATAATAAGAGCTATCTATGACAAACCCACAGCCAATATCATACTGAATTGGCAAAAACTGGAAGCATTCCCTTTGAAAACTGGCACAAGTCAGGGATGCCCTCTCTCACCACTCCTATTCAACATAGTGTTGGAAGTTCTGGCCAGGGCAATTAGGCAGGAGAAGGAAATAAAGGGTATTCAATTAGGAAAAGAGGAAGTCAAATTGTCCCTGTTTGCAGACGACATGATTGTATATCTAGAAAACCCCATTGTCTCAGCCCAAAATCTCCTTAAGCTGATAAGCAACTTCAGCAAAGTCTCAGGATACAAAATCAGTGTACAAAAATCACAAGCATTCTTATACACCAACAACAGACAAATAGAGAGCCAAATCATGAGTGAACTCCCATTCATAATAGCTTCAAAGAGAATAAAATACCTAGGAATCCAACTTACAAGGGATGTGAAGGACCTCTTCAAGGAGAACTACAAACCACTGCTCAAGGAAATAAAAGAGGATACAAACAAATGGAAGAACTGAACTTTTAATAATTTGGAAAATAATAAAGTTATATTACTTAAATGTTACTAACAAAAACGTGTATTTCTTAACTATTTGTTACTACCTGAAAGACCGAATGGCTCTCATGATAATGATGGAAGCAGCTTCAAATGAAATGTTACAAAACAGTCTGGACATGATGGCCTATGCCTGTAATCCCAGCACTTTGGGAGGCTGAGACAGGTGGATGACTTGAGGTCAAGTGTTTGAGACCAGCCTGGCTAACATGGTGAAACCCCCTCTCTACTAAAAATAAGAATATTATCCAGGCATGGTGGTGCATGCCTGTAATCCCAGCTAGTCAGGAGGCTGAGACAAGAGAATCCCTTGAGCCTGGAAGGCAGAGGCTGCAGGGAGCTGAGATCGGGCCACTACACTCTAGCCTGGGTGAGAGAGTGAGACTCCATCTCATAAAAACCCCTCTAAACTTTAAAAAGCAAGGTAAATTTAATCAAGTTTCTATTTCATGCTATCATATAAGTTCATTAGGATAAAAGGGAAGAGATACAAGGAAGATAAAATAAACCTCAGACTTGATTTTGGGGGCTCTGGAATCTAACAACATAACTCAGGGGAATGTTCAATGAAGAAAGACCAGACCTCTCCATTTGGGCAAAAGAGTATGTGGTATTTTAACTGCCCATCATCATCCACTTCATGGCTTCTAAACATTAAAAAGCAAGGTAAATTTAATCAAGTTTCTATTTCATGCTGTCTTTAAAGTTCATTAGGTTAAAAGTGAAGAGATATAAGAAAGAAAAAAAGAAAACTTCAGCCATGATTTTGGGAGCTCTGGAATCTAATAACATAACTCAGGGGAGTGTTTATTGAAGAAAGAACAGACCTCTAAATTTGGGGATGATAGTATGGGGCATTTTAACTGCCCATCATCATCCACTCCATGGCTTCATGGAAACTGTGAAGAAGATTAAATTATAGATTCAGCTTTTGATGTCTGTGGGGGAAATACAGAGCTTATCTCAAAGAATTGTGGTTGTGTGATTTAAAATGTTTGAGGTTCCCTTGAAGATTACTGGCTCAGAGGCTTTTCTTTAGCTCACCACACAGTTTTCTTGGGGGCAGAAGCTGACTCCCGGGAGGCATTTGTGGAAAGGAAATATACTAGTCAGAGCCATCTGTAGCAAGGAATAAGAGTCAGGTCAAGCAGTACACCAACAAAATACCTGGAAGGAAGAGGCTGAGGAAAAAAATTGATGTGGAAAACCAGGTTTGAAAAACCCTCAGTTTGTTGTTGTTTGTTGTGGATTGGGTTTTAAATAGAGACAGAGTTTGCGCTGTGGCCCACGTTAGAGTCCTCTGGCATGATCATGTCCAAAGCTCAACCTCCTTTGGTTCAAATGGTCTTCCCACTTCAGCCTCCTGAGCATGTTATGTCTCTGGGTTCCACCTATCCTCCCCTCTCAGTGTCTCACAGTACAGGCATTGGCCACCATAACCAGCTTATTTTTGTATTTTTTTTTTTATACAGAAGAGATCTTGCCATGTTGTCAAGGCTTGTCTCACACTTCTGGGCTCAAGTGATTTGTTCTCCTAAGCCTTCCAAATTGGTGGGGTTATAGATATGAAGCACCACATCCATATTCCTACTGATATATTTAGAGGGATATAAGTATGTCCATTTTTGGATGCATGTGTGGAGAAGACCCCGAAACTTTTCATTTTTCCTTGGCTTTGGGCTAAATACTAGAGTTCCTCAAGGAGTCCATATGCAAAGTCTGGGCGGTTTTTCTCTACTTTCTTTTTCTATTTTTTCTTTTCTTTGCTTGGATTGTTTTTTAAAAATGTGGCAATAAGAGTAGATGACCAAAAGGGTGACAGAACACAGGTAAAGTGGCCATACATGACAAAGAATTCAGACTACAAACATAGGTCTGGATGGCTCCTAAACAAGCAAACAACCCACAAACTAAGCATTTGTGGAGATCAAGGATTTGTTATCTGAATATGCTGAATAATATCCAAAGTGTTCAGTGTTCAACAATAAACTGAAAGGCATTCAATGGAAAAAAAAGGTACACCACGAGAAGTCATAACAAACAAACAAACAAAAAAAAACTACTTCCTGAAGCCCAGGCATGGTACTAATTAGGGAAATATTTCAATTCACTAAATTTTAATGTTCTCAAAGACCTAAAGGAACCCAGAAGAATAGCGATTCAAAATTGAAAATACCAATAAAGACAGACAAATTATTTTAAAAAATGAAATCAATAATCTGTAACTAGAAGGACTGAGTAGCCTGGGTGAGCATGCAGAACACAGAATGAGGCAACTTGAAGATGGATTGTTTGATATTATTCAGTGTAAGGAACAAGAAGAGAAACAACAATAATGAAAAAAACTAAGGTTTTCATGGGACACCATCAAGAATATCAACATAGTGATAATGGGAGTCCCACTGGAAAAGGAGAGATGGGGGAAAAAAGGAATATTTGAAGAAACAGTGGATGTAACTTGCCAAATGTGTTGGTAGATATAAATCTACTGATCCAAGTATCTACAAAGAAAAAGGCACTCCAGAAAGAATAAATTCAAAGATACCCACAGTGAAACACATGCACTGAATTTGATAGAAGACAAATAAATAGAGAACTTTAAAAGAAGCAAGGCAGAAGTAACTGACCATATGCAAGTTACCCTCCATGATATTAACAGCCAATATCTCATTAAAAATTATGAGGAAAGAAGTCACTGTGATGAGATCTTTAAAGTGCTGAAATAAAAAATGAAGTTGATCATAAATTCAATATCTGGCCAAACCAAAATTCAAATTTATGAGCAAATAAGTCATTTCCAAGCAAACAGAATAGATCAGCTTTATAAAACATGATAAAAACAAGTAAGGAATGAAAGAAAAATAGTAACTCATTGTGCAAATAAAGAAATAAAGAATATCAATAAAGTAATTACACCAGATTATAGGGGGTGGACCCAAGATGGCCAAATAGGAACAGCTCCAGTCTCCAGCTCCCAGCATGAGTGAAGCAGAATATGGGAAATTTCTGTATTTCCAATGGAGGTACAGGGTTCATCTCACTGGGGAGTGCCAGACAGTGGGTGCAGGACAGTGGGTGCAGGGCACCGTATGTAAGCTGAAGCAGGGCAAGGCATTGCCTCACCCAGGAAGCACAAGGGGTCAGGGAATTCCCTTTCCTAGTCAAAGAAAGGGGTGACAGAGGGCACCTGGAAAATCGGGTCACTCCCACCGTAATACTGCACTTTTCCAATGGGCTTAACAAATGGCACACCTGGAGATTTTATCCCACACCTGGCTCAAAGGGACCTACACCCATGGAGCCTTGCTCATTGCTAGAACAGCAGTCTGAGATCAAACTGCAAGGTGGCAGCGAGGCTGGGGGAGGGGAGCCCGCCATTGCTTAGGCTTGAGTAGGTAAACAAAGCCGCAAGGAAGTTCGAACTAGGTGGAGCCCACCATAGCTCAAGGAGGCCTGCCTGCCTCTGTAGGCTCCATCTCTTGGTGCAGGGCACAGACAAACAAAAGACAGCAATAACCTCTGCAGACTTAAATGTCCCTGTCTGACAGCTTTGAAGAGAGTAGTGATTCTCCCAGCATGCAGATGGATATCTGAGAACAGGCAGACTGCCTCCTCAAGTCGGTCCCTGACCCCTGACCCTGAGCAGCCTAACTGGGAGGCACCCATCAGTAGGGGCAGACTGACACCTCACACAGCCAGGTACTCCTCTGAGAAAAACTTGCAGAGGAACGATCAGGCAGCAGCATTTGCGGTTCACCAATATCCGCTGTTCTGCAGTCACCACTTCTGATACCCAGGCAAAGAGGGTATGGGGTAGACCTCCAGTAAACTCCAACAGACCTGCAGCTGAGGTTCCTGACTGTTAGAAGGAAAACTAACAAACAGAAAGGACATCCACACCAAAAACCCATCTGTACATCACCATCATCAAAGACCAAAGGTAGATAAAACCACAAAGATGGGGACGAAACAGAGTAGAAAAACGGAAACTCTAAAAATCAGAGTGCCTCTCCTCCTCCAAAGGAAAACAGCTCCTCACCAGCAATGGAACAAAGCTGGATGGAGAATGACTTTGACGAGTTGAGAGAGGAAGGCTTCAGAAGATCGAACTACTCTGAGCTAAAGGAGGAAGTTCGAACCAATGGCAAAGAAGTTAAAACTTTGAAAAAAATATTAGATGAATGGATAACTAGAATAACCAATGCAGAGAAGTCCTTAAAGGAACTGATGGAGCTGAAAACCACAGCATGAGAACTACCTGATGAATGCACAAGCCTCAGTAACCGATGCCATCAACTGGAAGAAAGGGTATCAGCGATGGAAGATGAAATGAAGTGGGAAGAGAAGTTTAGAGAAAAAAGAATAAAAAGAAAAGATCAAAGCCTCCAAGAAATATGGGACTATGTGAAAAGACCAAATCTATGTCTAATTGGTGTACCTGAAAGTGACGGGGAGAATGGAACTAAGTTGGAAAACATTCTGCAGGATATTATCCAGGAGAACTTCCCTGACCTAGCAAGGCAGGCCAACATTCAAATTCAGGAAATACAGAGAATGCCACAAAGATACGCCTCGAGAAGAGCAACTCCAAGACACATAATAGTCAGATTTACCAAAGTTGAAATGAAGGAAAAAATGTTAGGGCAGCCAGAGAGAAAGATCAGGTTACCCACAAAGGGAAGCCCATCAGACTAATAGCTGATCTCTCAGCAGAAACTCTACAAGCCAGAAGAAAGTGGGGTCCAATATTCAACATTCTTAAAGAAAAGAATTTTCAACCCAGGATTTCATATGCTGCCAAACTAAGCTTCATAAGTGAAGGAGTAATAAAATATTTACAGACAAGCAAAGGCTGAGAGATTTTTGTCACCACCAGGCCTGCCCCAAAAGAGCTCCTGAAGGAAGCACTAAACATGGAAAGGAACAATCAGTACCAGCCACTGCAAAAACATGCCAAATTGTAAAGACCATCAAGGCTAGGAAGAAACTGCATCAACTAACAAGCAAAATAACCAGCTAACATCATAATGACAGAATCAAATTCACACATAACAATACAACCTTAAATGTAAATGGGATAAATGCTCCAATTAAAAGGCACAGACTGGCAAATTGGATAAAGAGTCAAGACCCATCAGTGTGTTATATTCAGGAAACCCATCTGATGTGCAGAGACACACATAGGCTCAAAATAAAGGGATGGAGGAAGATCTACCAAGCAAATGAAAAACCAAAAAAGGCAGAGGTTGCAATCCTAGTCTCAGATAAAACAGACTTTAAACCAACAAAGATCAAAAGAGACAAAGAAGACCATTACATAATGGAAGACTTTAACACCCCACTGTCAACATTAGACAGATCAATGAGACAGAAAGTTAACAAGGATATCCAAGAATTGAACTCAGCTCTGCACTAAGCGAACCTAATAGACATCCACAGAACTCTCCACCCCAAATCAACAGAATACACATTCTTTTCAGCACCACACCACACTTATTCCAAAATTGAAAACATAGTTGGAAGTAAAGCACTCCTTAGTAAATGTAAAATACTGGAAATTTTAACAAACGGTTATAATTTCCCCATTTATTAAATGCAAAGATTCCCCATTTAATAAATAGTGTTGGGAAAACTGGCTAGCCATATGTAGAAAGCCGAAACCGGATACATTCTTACATCTTATACAAAAATTAATTAAAGATTGATTAAAGACTTACATGTTAGGCCTAAAACCATAAAAACCCTAGAAGAAAACCTAGGCAATACCATTCAGGACATAAGCATGTGCATGTCTAAAACACCAAAAGCAATGGCAACAAAAGCCGAAATTGACAAATAGGATCTAATTAAACTAAAGAGCTTCAGCACAGCTGAAGAAACTTCCATCAGAGTGAACAGGCAACCTACAGAATGGGAGAAAATTTCTGCAACCTACTCAGCTGACAAAGCGCTAATATCAAGAATCTGCAAGGAACTCAAACAAATTTACAAGAAAAAAACAAACAACTCCATCAAAAAGTGGGTGAAGGATATGAATAGATGCTTCTCAAAAGAAGACTTTTATGCAGCCAAAAGACACATGAAAAAATGCTCATCATCACTGGCCATCAGAGAAATGCAAATCAAAACCACAATGAGATACCATCTCACACCAGTTAGAATGGCTATCATTAAAAAGTTAGGAAACAACAGGTCCTGGAGAGGATGTGGTGAAATAGGAATATTTTACACTGTTGGTGGGACTGTAAGCTGGTTCAACCATTGTGGAAGTCAGTGGGTTGATTCCTCAAGGATCTAGAATTAGAAATACCATTTGATCCAACCATCCCATTACTGGGTATATACCCAAAGGATTATGAATCATGCTGCTATAAGGACACATGTACGTGTATGTTTATTGTGGCACTATTCACAATAGGAAAGACTGGGAACCAACCCAAATGTCCAACAATGATAGTCTGGATTAAGAAAATGTGGCACATATACACCATGGAGTACTATGCAGCCATAAAAAATGATGAGTTCATGTCCTTTGTAGGCACATGGATGAAGCTGGAAACCATCATTCTCAGCAAACTATTTCAAGGACAAAAATACAAACACCGCATGTTCTCACTCATAGGTGGGAATTGAACAGTGAGAACACATGGACAGAGGAAGGGGAACATCAAACCCCAGGGACTGTTGTTCGGTGGGGGATGGGGGAGGGATAGCATTAGGAGATATGCCTAATGTCAAATGATGAGTTAATGGGTGCAGCACACCAACATGGCACATGTATACCTATATAACAAACCTGCACGTTGTGCACATGTACCCTAAAACTTAAAAGTATAACAATAATAATAAGAAGAAGAAAAGTAATTACACCAGGAAATAGAAAAGCCAATATTATTGTATTTGCGGATTCTGCAACTTTATTTTTCTACTAGATTTAAATGACAAGAGGTAAGCCACAGTATCTCACAAATGTAATACCAACCAATGTGGGAGATTTCCTTGAGCACAGGAGTTTGAGACCAGCCACGGCAACAATGTGTGACTCTGTGTCTACAGAAAATAAACAAAATTATCCAGCTATGGTGGCATGCACTTCTATCCCAGGTACAGGGAGCTGAGGTGGAAGGATCCCTTGAGCCCATGAGCTTGAGGCTGTAGTGAACAAGGGTTAGCCTGTGTGACTGAAACTCTGTCTCAATAAAGTAAAATAAGATAAAGAAATAATAAAGAATAAAACAATAATTACACATCTGTGTTGTTCTCACTCATTGTATAACAAACAATTTTTGACAATAAAATAGGAAGTTACGGAGAGTACTATAGGTAAATGATTTTTGTATAATATCAACACTCAGTTTTTATAATTCACATTACATAATTACAAAGTTAAGATATTAATTATAATACCATTAATAATCACTAAGAAAAATACTGTTCAAATATACTGAAGAGAAACATGGAAGTCAAAATGGTACCCTAGAAAAACAATCAAATGCAAATTGAACAGTTTTGGGGAAATAGAAGAATAATAACAACAACAAAACTAGTAGAAAAAATGACACAAATAGGAAAATAAATTCTTGTCAGCAATTGCTTTCCATCCAAATAAACTAAAATCCAGTTAAATGTCAAAGATTAGCAGAGTAACATTTTAAATGTTTTAAAGGTGAGGAAAAAAATAGTGCAAACAGTAACCAAATTAGAGCTGGAAAAACTGTACAAATATCAAAATTGTTTAATTCATCAAGAAGATACAATACTTATGTATATATCTAATAACACATTCTCAGGATATATAAAACAAAAATGAATAGATTAGTCTTGGACACCACTCCTGGCCAAGACTCTTTTTTTAAAAACTGAAAAATATATAATGTTGGTAACTAAAAATTACACTCTTCAACAACCTGTGGTTAACTGAAGAATCTGCAAGGAATTAAATAACTTTTGCAGATAAATAAAAAATTAAAACATACTAAAACTTCTGAAATGCAGCTAAATCAATGTTGTGAAATATACACATGTAAACATATAGATAAAAAAGAAGAAATGTAAAATTTCTAACATAAATTTACACACAAGGAAGCAGAAAATGTGCAAAGTAGAGGAGAGTACTTTAAAAAAAAAAAAAAAAAATGGCCTAGTAAAGGAAGCTGCCATCATTGGCCCCCAACACTAACCCCAAAGAACACACACAGAAAAACCAAACCAAGTACACAGTGCTGAGATTATTACCAGCAATAACGCAGAGCCCAAATATGATAATGAGGCAGCTCCTAGGGTGACAGAAAAGTGAAGAAACCAGGCAGATGGTAAGAAAGTTTGCCTTTTATATTCACGACACTCTTCCCCTAGTCAGCTGGCAACCAAGTGTGGAAAAAAACAAAACAAAACAAAAATCCTCTGACTCATGATTACTACACTGGATAAAATAAAGTTGAAGTGGATGACCAGCTTCCCCACGACTTTGGATTCCCTGGCAGGAGACCTATTCCTGCTTTAACCCAAGGAAGCTGGGTTACTCAAAAATACAACAGAGACAAAGTAGAAAGGCAGGACTCCCACCTCCAGCCTGGATATCTCAGTCACAGGAGATGCCAAACCCGAGTGCCTGTGCAGCATTACCATGGGGTAGGAGGGATATTTCATAATTTCCTTGATCACAAATCTATAGACTGCTTTCCCACAGATCCTATAGATCACCTTCAAGATCGCTCAGATAGGAGACTGACTGTTTCAAAGTTTGTTAAAGCTGAGACACACCTGGGATTAAGGCACCATCTACTGCCAAAACAGAGGCACCGAGCTAGCCAAAAGCAAGTAAACAAAACCCTAACAATGGTTATGTCTTAAAGAAAACTCAAAGCAATCATATACAATAAAATGCAAACTAAGACAGAGAAAACAAAGGACTAAATAATTAGGCCTTCAATAAAAATATATAGTTATATTACCACAATAAATAACACCAAACAAGAAATTGTAACCTCCTTAAATGGACAAAGCCATAAACCATTGACCAGTGCTAATTAATGAGATGGCTACCAGTGGTTATTTGATCAAGAATTCAAAATATCAGTTTTCAGGAAACTCAGATCTCTAAAACAGCAGAGAAAAGGAACTGATATACTTCTGAAAGAAATTTTTAAAAATGGACTTAATTAATTTAAAAATAAAAAATTTCTGAAACTGAGAACTATATTTTCTGAAGTAAAAAATTCAAAAGGCTTTCAACAGCAGAATAGGTGAAACAGAATAAAGAATCATTAGCTTTAAAACGAATTATTAGGGCCAGGTGTGCCAGCTCATGACTGTAACCACAGCACTTTGGGAGGCTGTGACAGTTTGATCACTTGAGGTTGGCAGTTCATGACCAGTTTGGACATCATGGTGAAACTCAGGCTCTACTAAGAATACAAAAAATTCTCTGGGCATAGTGGTGCACACCTCTAATCCCAGCTAATCAGGAGCCTGAGAGAGGAGAATCACTCGAACCTGGGAGGCAGATGTTGCAGTGAGTTAATGTCGTGCCATTGAACTCCAGCCTGGGCAACACAATGAGACTTTGTCTCAAAGGAAAAAAAAAAAAAAGAAAAAAGAAAAGAAAATTAACACAGGTTATTAGGAAACAAACAGAATGAAACACAAAAACAATAAAAAATAGAACATTTACATGATATAAAAATTACCTAAAATAAGCAAATCGAAGATTTAGCACTATTCATGGAAGAGCTTAGCAAGAGGAAGGTATATACAGCATATTCACATGAATAATTACAGCTTTCAAAAATTTGAGAAACAGCTACTTATACAGCTTCAGAAAAATCCTAGACTACAAAAAACTTTAATACCCCATAAAACTACCACACAACAAATAAGAATCTAACTCTCAAAGGCCGAGAAATAAAGAAAATTCTAAAAGCAATACTGGCAAATAAACAAAAATTGGAGGAGTTTGAAATCATTCGGCAAAAGACTTGTCAACGATAGGTTTTTAAGGAAGACCCAGAATTAAAAATATAAATTGTGACGTCAAAAACATAGTTGGAAGAAAGGGTAAAAGTCTAGAGTTTTTATGTCACAAAATTTTCAGCTTAAACTACTTGATTATTAACTATAAGATGTTTTCTCTGAGCCTTTAATGGCCATCAAAAAGTACAGCAGCAAAACCAACGATAAATACAAAGGAATTAAAGCTTAGCACTACTGAAAATATTTAAATGCTAAACATTTAAAAGCAAACATCAGAGGAAGAAAGGAAATAATCAATCAGATTTTTTCTTGTTTTCTGACTCAATCAGAAAACAACTAACAAGATAACAGTAGTAAGAACTTACTTATCAATAATTATCTTGAATGTAAATGAATTAAATCATACAACTAAAAGACATAGAGTGACCAAATGGATTTTAAAAATGAGATTCAACTACATTTTAACTATGAGACCCACTTAATCTTTAAGGACAAACATAGGCTGAAAATGAATGAATAGAAGAAGTTAACCTATGAAAATGGTAATTAAAAAAATTAGGGGTGGCTATACTCATATCTGATAAAAGTGATTTCAAGTGAAAACATGTCATAAGACTGAAAATGTCATCATTTAATAATAAAGCAATCAATTCATCAAAAGTATATAACTGTCATATATACACACATATGCACTCAACATTGGAGCACCTAAATATTTAAAGCAAAGATAAATAGAAATGAAAAAAAAACAATAAATAAAATAATAGTAGGTAAAATAGTACATAGCAAATAAAACAACAGTAGGAAATTTCAGTACTTCAACTGCAACAAGGAATAGATAAACTTGACAGATATTTAACAAGTCTTAACAAAATTAAGATGGCTAAAAACATATTTAATATTGTTTCAGGCCATCATAGTAGCAAACCAAAAATCAGTAGCAGGATGGATCTTGAAAAAAATCATGAACACATGAACATTTTTAAAATATTGCTCCTAAATAACCATTGATGAAAAGAAAAATAAAAATGAAAATTTATAAATATCTTCAGATAAATGACAGTGGAAACACAACATACCTAAACCTATGATGTTCAGTGAGGCAGTATTATGATGGAAGATTATAGCAATAAGTGCATGCATTTAAAAAAAAGATAGAGATTCCAAATAAGCAACATCTCATTGTACCTACTGAATTAGAAGACAAAACAACTAAATTCAAAATTAACACAATAAATAGAATAATAATTAAAACAGAAGCAAAGCAAACATAGCTAGATGAAGAAAAAAATGACTGAAAAACAATAAAAAATTAAGTTATAGAAATTACAATAAACAAACAAACAAAACAATTACAAATGATGGATGAGGAGTGATTTTATAAGGCTTTCCAACAAAGAAAAGGTAAACAACAAATGGCTTTGGAGATGAATTCTACCATATTTTCAGAAAAGAATATTAATATGCTTCAAAGTCTTCAAAAAAAGAAGTTAAATGTAATGCTTCCAAATTTTTTTTATGAGTCCTGTATCATCTTGATACTAAGGCAAACAAAAACATCATGAGAAGTGAGAACTATAGGCCATTACCTCTGATAAACATTGGACCAAAAATCCCTAATAAAATATGAGCAATCTGAATCCAGCAACATGCCAAAAATATTATACATCGTGGCCAAGATTTTACATCCCTGTCATGCAAGGCTGGTTATGTATACAAATAAATCAATGTGATTCATCACATTAACAGAATAAAAGATTAAAAGCATGTATACATCCCAATTAATGTGGAAAACACTTTGGAAAATCCCAACAATCTTTCTTGATTAAAAAACCCTCAACAGTTTAAGTATAGAAATAAAGGGTTGTTTTTTTTTTTGTAATAAAGGCCATTTAAGAAAAAAAGGAAAAGCTAACTTTATCATTAACAAGGAAAAATTGATGGTTTTCCAAAGACATCTGGTACAACACGAGGATGCCCACTCTCCCCACTTGTATTTAACATAGTTCTGAAAGTACTGGCAAGAGTAATCGGGTAAGAAAAAAAAAAAGCAAGGCAGACAAATTATAGAGCAAGAAATAAAATTATCTCTATTTGCAGATGACAGACTCCTATATGTATAAACAGCTCAAATATTCTATTTAGGAAACTTTTATAAGTAATGAATAAATTTAGTAAAGTCATTGTACACATAATTACCTAACTGAAAAAGAAATAAACTCTTCTCATTTATAAGCATATCAAAGAAGTTAAATTCTTAAGAAAAAATTTATCCAGAAAGTAAAAGATGTCTCCACTGAAAACTATGAAATGTTGATAAAAGCAATTGAAGAAGACACAAATAAATGGAAAGGTGGTCCATGCTTATGGATTGGGAGAGTTAATATTGTTAAAATGTTTTTAGCATCCAAAGCAATACACAGATTCAATGCTAGCCAATCAAAATTTCAATGGCATTCTTCATAGAAATAGAAAACAAAATATAAAATTTATATAGCAATCTGGAAGTCTTTCAATTGTCAAAACAATTCTTAATAAAGAAAAATGAAGTAGGAGGAATCACCCTACCTTATTTGCAACTGGCATGAACATGGAATCCTGGCCAAATGAACAGAGCAGAGAGTCCAGAAATAAATCCAATCATATATAGTCAATTAATTTTTGAATTGTGCAGCAAAATGATATGATAGAAGGGGATCATCTCTCCTATGAGCAGTGCTGGGAAAACTAGATTTCCACACGCAAAAGAACAAAATTGGACCCACATTTTACATCATACACAAAAATCAACTGAGGATATGTTGAAAATAAATGAGCAAGACTGCATTCAATGAAAAAGCGTTTGCACAGTAAAGGAAACAATCAACAAAATAAAAATAGCCTAAATGTTGGAAAAAATGTTTTCAAGCTACATATATGATGATGGGTTAAAATCTAAAACTTATAAAGAACTTGTACAACTCAATAGTAGAAAAACAAATAAACACACTAAAAGATGGGCAAAAGCTCTGAATTAACATTTCTCCAAGGAACACAAAAATGGGCAACAGGTATTTAAAACATATTTGACATCATTAATCATCAGAAAATTTTAAATCAAAAGTACTTTGAGACATTACATAACTCACATCGGGATGGCTATTATCAAAAACTCAAAAGATCACAAATGTTGGCTAGGATGTAGAGAAAATCAGACTCTTGAAGAGTGTTGTTGGTGATATATAGCCATTATAAAAATTGATATGGAGGTTTCTGGAAAATTAAAAATAGAACAACCATATGCCTCACCAACTCTTCCTTTAGACATATAAACAAAGGGAATCACTACCTCATAGAGGTATCTGTACTCTCATGTTCATTGCAGCATTATTAACAATAGCTAAGATATGAAAAAAATCTTACTGTCCAGTATAATGAAGTATTATTTAGCCCTGAACAAGAGTGAGATCTTGCCATTTGCCAAAACCTGAGGACCTTGGAGGAAAACATGCTAAGTGAAATCAACTAAACACAGAGAGAAAAATACTGTGTAATATCACAATATTTTTGTGAGGGAGAGTGATGCCAGCCTTTTTTTTAAAATCTGTTTTCAAAAGCTAATAGAACAAGATCTCCCTCCTTGTCACAAGAATGATACCGAACTCTTCATAAGGGATCCACCCTCATGAACCGAGCATCTCCCACTCAACCTCACCTCCAACACTGGGGATCAAATTTCAACATGTAGTTTGTAAAGGCAAATATCCAAACTATAGCAGTAACTATGTGAGATTACAAACATGTTAATTTGCTTCAGTATAGTAGCCTTTGAAATATCAAAATACATCCCATAGCATCATGTAGTACACATGAAATGCACATAATAGGATGCATTTATTTATTTGTTTATTTATTTATTATACTTTAAGTTCTAGGGTACATGTGCACAACATGCAGGTTTGATACATATGTATTCATGTGCCATGTTGCTTTGCTGCCCCCATCAATTCATCATTTACATTAGATATTTCTCTTAATGCTATCCCTCCCCAAGTCCCCCACTCCCCACCGCCAGACAGGACCCAGTGTGTGATGTTCCCTGCCCTGTGTCCAAGTGATCTCATTGTTCAAAATTTCCACCTATGAATGAGAACACGCAGTGTTTGGTTTTCTGGCGTTGTGATAGTTGGCTGAGAATGATGGCTTCCAGCTTAATCCATGTCCCTGCAAAGGACATAAACTCATCCATTTTTATGGCTGCATAGTATTACAAGGTGTATATGTGTCACATTTTCTTAATCCAGTCTATCATTGATGGACATTTGGATTGGTTCCAAGTCTTTGGTATTGTGAATAGTGCCACAATAAACATATGTGTGCATGTGTCTTTATAGTAACATGATTTATAATTTTTTGGGTATATATCCAGTAAAAAGATTGCTGGATCAAATGGTAATTCTAGTTCTAGATCTTTGAGGAATTTCCACACTGTCTTCCAAAATGGTTGAACTAATTTACACTCCCACCAACAGTGTAAAAGCATGCCTGTTTCTCCACATCCACTCCAGCATCTGTTGTTTCCTGACTTTTTAATGATTGCCATTGTAATTGGTGTCAGATGTTGTGTGATTTTGGTTTTGATTTGCATTTATCTGATAACCAGTGATGATGAACATTGTTTCATGTGTCTATTGGCCACTCAGATGTGTTTTTTTGAGAAGTATGTGTTCATATCCTTTGTCCACTTTTTGGTGAAATTTTTTTCATGTAAATTTGGTTTCTTTGTAGATTCTGAATGTCAGTCTTTTGTCAGATGGGTAGATTGCAAAAATTTTCTCCCATTCTGTAGCTTTCCTGTTCACTCAAATGTAGTTTCTTTGGCCGTGCAGAAGCTCTTTAGTTGAATTAGATTTCATTTGTCTATTTTAGCTTTGGTTGCCATTGCTTTTGGTGTTTTAGTCATGAAGTCCTTGCCCATTGCCTATGTCATGAATGGTATTGGCTAGGTTTTCCTCTAGGGTTTTTATGGTTTTAGGTCTAATATTTAAGTCTATAATCCATTTTCAATTAATTTTTGTGTTAGGTGTAATTAAGGGATGCAGCTTCAACTTTCTACAAATGGCCAGCCAGTTTTCCCAGCACCATTTATTAAACAGGGACTCCTTTCCCCATTTCTTCTTTTTGTCAGGTTTGTCAAAGATAAGATGATTGTAGATGTGTGTTTTTATTTCTGAGGCCTCTCTTTTGATCCATTGGTCAATGTATCTGTTTTGGTAACACTACTATGCAGTTTTGGTTACTGTAGCCTTGTAGTATAGTTTGAAGTCAGGTAGCGTGATGCCTACAGCTTTGTTCTTTTTGCTTAGGATTGTCTTGGCAATGTGGGCTTTTTTGTGTTCCATATGAATTTTAAAGTAGTTTTTCCAATTCTGTGAAGAAAGTCTTTGTTAGCTTGATGGGGATGACCTTGAATGTACAAATTACTTTGGGTACAATGGCCATTTTCAAGATATTGGTTCTTCTTATCCATGATCATAGAATATTCTTCCATTTGTTTGTGTCCTTTTTTATTTCGTTGAACAGCGGTTTGTTGTTCTCCTTGAACGGGTCCTTCACATCCCTTGTATGTTTCATTCCTACATATTTTATTCTCTTTGTAGCAATTATGAATGGGAATCCACTCATGATTTGGCTCTCTGTTTGTCTGTTAATGGTGTATAGGAATGCTTGTCATTTTTGCACATTTATTTTTGTATCCTGAGACTTTATTGAAGTTGCTTATCAGCTTAAGGAGATTTTGGGATGAGATGACAGGGTTTTCTAAATATACAATCATGTCATCAGAAAACAGGGATGATTTGACTCACTCATTTCCTAATTGAATACTCTTTATTTCTTTCTCTTGTCTGATTGCCCTGGCCAGAACTTCCAACACTATGTTGAATAGAAGTGAGCATCCTTGTCAAGAGAAGGCATCCTTGTCTTGTGCCGGTTTTCATAGGAAATGCTTCCAGTATTTGCCCACTCAGTATGATATTGGCTGTGGGCTTGTCACAAGGAGCTTTTATTATTTCGAGATACATTTCTGTCAATACCTACTTTATTGAGAGTTTTTAGCATGAAGGGCTATTGGATTTTGTTGAAGGCTTTTCTGCATCTGTTGAGATAATCATGTGGTTTTTGTCATTGGTACTGTTTATGTGATGGATTATATTTATTGATTTGTGTATGTTGAACCAGACTTGTATCCAAGGGATGAAGCTTACATGATCATGGTAGAGAAGATTTTTGATGTGGTGGTGGATTCTGTTTGCCAGTATTTTATTGAGGATTTTTGCATTGACGTTCTTCAGGGATATTGGTCTAAAATTCTCTTTTTTTATTGGTATCAGAATTATGTTGGCCTCATAAAATAAGTTAGGGATGATTTCTTCTTTTTTATTGATTGGAATAGTTTCAGAAGGAGTGGTACCAGCTCCTCTTTGTACATCTGGTAGAATTCAGCTGTGAATCAAACTGGTCCTGGACTTTTGTTTTTGGTTGGTAGGCTATTAATTATTTCCTCAATTTCATAGCCTGTTATTGGTCTATTCAGAGATCCAATTCTTCCTGCTTTTGCTTTGTGAGGGTTTGTTTGTCCAGGAATTTATCCATTTCTTCTAGATTTTCTAGTTTATTTGTGCAGAGGTGTTTACAGTTTTCTCTGATGGTAGTTTGTATTTCTGTAGGGTCGGTGGTGATATCCCATTTATCATTTTTATTGCATCTATTTGATTCTTCTCTCTTTTCTTCTTTATTAGTCTTGCTAGTGGTCTATCAATTTGGTTGACCTTTTCAAAAAACCAGTTATTGATTTCATTGATTTTTTGAAGGATTTTTTTTCTCTCTATCTCTTTCAGTGTTGCTCTCATCTTAGTTATTTCTTGCCTTCTCCAAGCTTTTGATTTTGTTTGATCTTGCTTTGCTAGTTCTTTTAATTGTGATGTTAGGGTGTCAGTTTTCCTGGTTTTTCTTGTGTGTTTAGTGCCACACATTTCCCTCTACACACTACTTTAAATGTGTCCCAGAGATTCTGGTACATTGTGTCATTTTTCTCATTGGTTTCAAAGAACATCTTTGTTTCTGGTTTCATTTCATTTCTTACCCAGCAGTCATTAAGGAGCAAGTTGTTCGGTTTTCACATAGTTGTGAAGTTTTCAGTGAATTTCTTAATCCTCAGTTCTAATTTGATTGCACTGTGGTCTGAGAGACAGTTTGCTATGATTTCTGTTCTTTTACATTGGCTGAGGAGTGCTTTACTTCCAGTTATGTAGTCAATTTTAGAATAAGTGTGATGTGTTCTGTAGATATCTATTAGGTCTGCTTATTGCAGATCTGAGTTCAGGTCCTGAATATCCTTGTTGATCTTCTGTCTTATTGATCTGTCTAATACTGACTGTGAGGTGTTAAAATCTCCCATTATGATTGCATGGGAGTCTAAATCTCTTTGTAAGTCTCTAAGGACTTGCTTTATGAATCTGGGTGCTCTTGTATTGGATGCATACATATTTAGGATACTTAGCTCTTCTTCATTAATTGATCCCTTTATCATTATGTAATGGTCTTCTTTGTCTCTTTTGATCTTTGCTGGTTAAATGTCTGTTTTATCAGACTATGATTGCAACCCCTGCTTTGTTTTTCTCTGTTTTTTTTTTTTCTTTCCATAGACTTGGTAGATCTTCTTCCATCCCTTTATTTTGAGCCTATGTGCATCATTGCATATGAGATGGGTCTCCAGAATACAGCACACTGATTCATCTTGACTCTATGCAATTTGCCAGTCTGTGTCTTTTAATTGGGGCATTTAGCCCATTTACATTTAAGGTTAATATTGTTATCTGTGAATTTGATCCTGTCATTATGACGTTTGCTGGGTAGTTTGCCCATTAATTAATGGAGTCTCTTCATAGCATTGATGTTGTTTACAATTTGGCATGTTTTTGCACTGGCTGGTACCAATTGTTTCTTTCCAAGTTTAGTGCTTCCTTCATGATCTCTTGTAAGGCAGGCCTGGTGGTGACAAAATCTCTCAGAATTTGCTTCTCTGTAAAGGATGTTATTTCTCCTTCACTTACAAAGTTTAGTTTGGCTGGATATGAAATTCTGGGTTGAAAATTCTTTTCTTTAAAGATGTTGAATGTTGGTCCCCACTCTCTTCTGGCTTCTAGAGTTTCTGCCAAGAGATTCGCTGTTAGTCTTATGAGCTTACCTTTGTGGGTAACTCAACCTTTCTCTCTGGCTGCCCTTAATATTATTTCCTTCATTTCAACCTTGGTGAACCTGACAATTATGTGTCTTCATGTTGCTCTTCTCGAGGAGTGTCTCTGTGGTTTTTTCTGTATTTCCTGAATTTGAATGTTGGCCTATCTTGCTAGGTTGGGGAAGTTTTCCTGGATGATATCCTGAAGATTGTTTTCCAGCTTGGTTCCATTCTTTCCATCACTTTCAGGTACACCAATCAAATGTAGATTTGGTCTTTTCACTTAGTCCTATATTTTTTGAGGCTTTGTTTATTTCTTTTTGCTGTGTTTTCTCTAACCTTGTCTTCTTGTTTTATTTTATTAATGTAATCTTTAGTCACTGATATCCTTTCTTCCACTTGATTGAATCAGCTACTGAAGCTTGTGGTATATGTCACAAAGTCCTTGTGCCATGGTTTTCAACTCCATTAAGTCATGTAAGGTCTTCTCTACATTGTTTATTCGAGTTAGCCTTTCATCTAATCGTTTTTCAAGGTTTTAACTTTCTTGTGATGGTTTTGAACATGCTACTTTAGTTTGGAGAAGTTTGTTATTACTGACCTTCTGGAGCCTACTTCTGTCAACTTGTCAAAGTGATTCTCCATCAGGTTTTGTTCTGTTGTTTGTGAGGAGCTGTAATCCTTTGGAGGAGAAGAGGTGCTCTCAGTTTTAGAATTTTCAGCTTTTCTGCTCTAATTTCTCCCCATCTTTGTGGTTTTATCTACCTGGATTTTTGAAGTTGGTGATCTACAGATGGGGTTCTGCATAGATGACCTTTTTGTTGATGTTGCTGCTATTCCTTTCTGTTTCTTAGTTTTCCTTCAAACAGTCAGGTCCTTCAGCTTCAGGTCTATTGGAGTTTTGTGGAGTTTCAATACAGATTCTGTTTGCCTGGGCATCACCAGCAGAGGCTTCAGAACAGCAAATATTGCAGAACAGCAAATATTGATGCATGATAATTTCTGTGGAAGCTTCATCCCAAAGGAGCTGCCACCTATATGAGGTGTCTGTTGACCTTTACTTGGAGGTGTCTCCCAGTTGGGCTACATGGCAATCAAGGACCCACTTCAGGAGGCAGTCTGTCCATTCTCTGCACTCAAACAGCATTCTAGGAGAACCACTGCCCTCTTCAGAGCTGTCAGACGGAGATGTTTAAGTCTGCAGAAGCTGTCTGCTGCCTTTTTTTCAGCTATCCCCTGCCTACAGAGGTGGAGTCTTGAGGCAGTAGGCCTTGTTGAGCTGTGGTGGTCTCCACCTAGTTTGAGCTTCCTGGGTGCTGTGTTTACCGACTCAAGCCTTAACAATGATGGCTGTCCCTCTACCAGCTAGGCTGCCACCTCGGAGCTTGATCTCAGAATGCTGTGTTAGCAGTTACCAAGGCTCTGTGAGTGTGGGACCCACCAAGCAAGGCATGGGAGAGAATCTTTTTGTCTGCCAGTTGCAAAGACCTTGGGAAAAGTGCAGCATTTGGGTGGGAGTGTCCTGTTTTTCCAAGTAGTTTGTCACAACTTCCCTTTTCTAGGAAAGGGAAATCTCCTGATCCCTTTTGCATCCCAGGTGGGGTGACTCCCCAACCTGCTTTAGCTCTCCCTCAATGGGCTGCACCCACTGTCCAACCAGTCCCAATGAGAAGAACCAGGTACCTGAGTTGGAAGTGCAGAAGTCACTCATCTTCTGTGTCGATCATGCTGGGAGCTGCAGACTGGAGCTGTTCCTATTTGACCATCTTGGAACACCCTCAGAAAAATAAATAGGATGCATTTTTAAAGGTAATTTTTTTTTAGATGGAGTCTTGTTCTGTCACCCAGGCTGCGTGCAGTGGCATGATTCAGGCTTACTGCAAGCTCCGCCTCATGGGTTCATGCCATTCTCCTGCCTCGGGCTCCCAAGTGTCTGGGACTACAGGCACCTGCCACCACGCCTGGCTAATTGTTTGTATTTTTAGTAGAGATGGGGTTTCACCATGTTTGCCAGGATGATCTTGATCTCATCACATTGTGATCTGCCCCCCTCAGCCTCTCAAAGTGCTAGGATTACAGGCATGAGCTACTGTGCTTGGCCCAAGGTAAATTCTCTATTTAAGTGCTCATACATCCAGTTTTGTTGAACATATACTTTAAACCTGTGTTACAGATAAACGTGAATTGCAGGGTTTTCTTGTTTTCTTCACCCACTTCCCTGTCCCTTTCAATCAGCTGGCTGTGAGATCACTTAAACCAGGGACCTGAGGCTCAGGACTGGCCCAAGGGGTGTTGTGGGTGCCCCTCTGCATTTCAAGGTCACTGTGTGGCAGGGTCAGGTCTTTGGCTGGAGAAAAGTGCATTGTGTCACCAGAGGAGGTCTTGGTCAGTTGATTTGAGAAACAACACAAGCACTAATATTTGGAATGTCCCAGGTTAGTGTTGGGGAAACCAGCCCCACATCACCTGATGGGTACCCCAATACTGGCAGAGACAAATGAGTTGCAAAGAGACAGAATAACTGCTTAAAGGTTGGGACCAGGGGTCTGGAGCATAGGAGGCTTGCTTACAGCCCAGATCTCTAGGGCTCCACCCAATTTATTGGTTTACAAGCTCTTTGTTCTCATGGTAGCTGCGAGGATGAGGAAGCGATGAGGAAAAGGATTAGCCAGTGAAGGAGAACTCACGAGTCATTCAATAAGGTGTATAGTGGGGGCAGTTTCTGTGAATTTCCTAGAGCAAAGGCGTATGTCTAAACTACTTAAGATCTTTAAATTATTGGGGCTGAAACAGTTCAGAGTGGGTTTCAGGAAGAGCCAAGATATTTGATTATACTCTACTGCTTCAAGGGAGTGTTATCTCCCTGAGCAACCTGTGAAATGCTGCTGAGCAGTTACGCTCTCAGGGCATATAGACTTGAAGGCAATAAGGAGACTTTTCTCCACAGAAGCAGCCCATGGCTCCCCATGGATGTCTCACAGAGGGTAGACCAACTCACCTGGAACCTGAGAAACTCTCTTTTCCAATTACAGATTGTTGGTTTAGACCAAAAGCAGTAAAAGAGATAAACAAAGCGTATTGGAGTGGCCCTGTGGTGACAGCATTTTCTGGCTGGGCCTCAGAGTCCCACAAAACCTCCCCTGCTATCTGATCTCTTGTAGAGGGACATGAATAAAATGGACCACTCAAGGACCATCAGAACCACTGGGCTTGGCCTTGGACTTTCCAGGAGACAAGAACATTTGAAATCCACTGACTGCCAGGTACTGTCATCCTATGGGCCATGGGACCATCTCACCTATTCAGTTCCCCTCTACCATCTAGTAGTGAGTAGAGCATGGAGTGGGCCTAGGGATGACAGGGCCCTGTCACTGTGATCAAGTCAGACCCCAGGGAGGAGAAAACCACCAGCAAGGAGCCCATGTCAGGGGCCAGGTTTGGGGAGCAGCTTTCTCTAACCTTACACTTGCTCCTGCAGCCTGACTCATCACTTGAATTCACATATATATTTGGAGAATGGAGACAACAAACTTAGAACAAGACACACAGGCCTGCCACCTAAAGACAAACCCAGCTGTCATTGTGGGGTGTTTATTTTTATTATTTTCTTTTTTTTACTCTTCTCATGTTTCTGATACATATCAGTGCTTTTTGAGCACCCTCCTTGCACTCTGTGATCTTCCTTTGATGAAGAGGATCCTTTAAGGATAAGAAAAGTATATAGGTTGGCCAGCTGTGGATCTGGTCTACATGTGGGGTAGGCCTACATCTTGGCTGGCCTTCACACCATGTGCACATTTGCTCCTTCATTTCACATAACATTATGACTATAGCATCTTTCTTGACACCTCATGTGCCTGCTTATATTTAGATCCTGCACTGCCTAGGTGTGTGACCCTAGGCAGATTCATGTGACATCTCACCTGTACAATAGGGATGCTGCCAGGACCTGCCATGGGATTGTTGCAAATGTTAAGGGGCGGTGGTTATCAAAAGCCTGAGTACCATTGAGACACAGTGAGCATTCACAAAATACCAATTCTTTTTTTATCAACTGTTGCCTAATAGATCTTTAGGATAAACTGTCGTTTATTCACATAACTAGTAAGCTCTTGTTAATTGTTTTCCTAGTTTCAAAACTGGAGAACAATACTTCATTGAAAGTCATTGTAAATAAAGTGCTAAAATATTATCGTTTTCCAGTAATAGGCTTTATTAAGTGTTTCAAGTTGGCCAGGTCAATCAGAGCCTGGCCAAAGTCTTTGCAACCACAGGGAAAATGGTAAAGGCATTGCAATTTGTGATATCCTGGAGCCCACAGCCACTAGTAGCCAAATTGAAACAGGAACCCACATTCTTAGCTTGGCTTCAGTTTCTTTCCGGGTCTTACTGAGAGGTGAAGCCAGGCTTCTGGGTGGGTGGGGACTTGGAGAACTTTTCTGTCTAGCTAAAGGATTGTAAACACACCAATCAGCACTCTGTGTCAGGCTAAAGGTTTGTAATTGTACCATTCAGGGCTCTGTGTCTAGCTAATTGGGTGGGGACTTGGATAACTTTTGTGTCTAGCTAAAGGACTGTAAACACCCCAATCAGCACTCTGTGTCTAACTGAAGGTTTGTAAATGCACCAGTCAGCACTCGGTCAAAAGGGACCAATCAGCTCTCAGTAAAATGGACTAATCAGCACTCTGTAAAATGGACCAAACTGAGCTCTGTATAATGGAACAATCAACGCTCTGTAAAATGGAACAATCAGCAGGACATGGATGAGGCCAAATAAGGGAGTAAAACCTGGCCACCTAAGCCAGCAGTGGCAACCCGCTTCATTCCCCTTCCATGCTGTGGAAGATTTTTCTCTTGCTCTTCAAGATAAATCTTGCTGCTCCTCACTCTTTGGGGCAGCACTGCCTTTATGAGCTGTAACACTCACCATGAAGGTCTGCAGCTTCACTCCTGAAGTCTGCGATACCACGAACCCACCAGAAGGAAGAAACTCGACACATCCGAACATCAGAAGGAACAAATTCCGGACACACCATGTTTAAGAACTATAAAACACACCATGAGGGCCCGCGGCTTCATTCTTGAAGTCAGTGAGGCCAAGAACCCCCGAATTCTGGACACAGTACTGCTCTGGTCTGAGAGAGCCTCTGCCCACAAAAATATGGTGTCCTCTGTGTCCCGCAGGTCACTGCAGGGTGGCGAGATGTACCAGTATGGGCACGACCATGATGCTCCCACCCTCCCCTTCATCTTTCCTGGTCCTTTCCTCTGCCCACTGGTTGCTTGCAGTAACATGCTAGAGTCCTCTATGGCTGCAACTGAATCATGGCTGAGGCCTCTACCACTGGCATCCTCCAAGGAAGTTTCCTTCCAGGCTCGGCAGTTGGTCTACAGTTAGGGGCTGGACTTCATGATGCACACTGCAGACACCTCTGTGGCTGTGTCTATTGATACCTTTGGTGATGCCTACATGTGGATCTCCTTTGACAGATCTTGATTGAGTTTTTGAGCTGGATATTGTGACTACTCAGTTCTTGTTTTGTTTTAAGGGAGAGGAAGTGGGGTAGAGCCAGGATTTCCTGCTGGAATCTGTGGTACTTAATTAGGCTTCAAACCAGTAGAGCTGGAACAAAGACTCTTCCTAGAGTCTCTGACACCACAGATTATTTCTCATATATTTCATTTTGAAAATAAAAATGTATCCACATGACTGAAAAATACAGAAGTGAGGCAAGAGTTACACAGAAGGAGCTGCCACCATGTGCACCTAAACCTAGTGCCCTGAGTTACCTGTTAACACCAGGTACAACAGAGGAAGGCTGAGCTTCTTAGACTCCTAACCTTTCATCCACCCTCAGCCAATGGTAGGCATATCATGAGTTTAGTTTCCTTCTTAGTGATCATTGAAGTTGTAAGCAATTGTAGAATATATATATTTAGATATCTATTTCATCAGTCCAATACAGGACAATCTTGAGACTGTCCTCTTGTAAGGAGTATATTGGCATTGTGAATTCACCTACGTTTCTTAGTATTCTATGGGTAATACATATTTTGTCTTTAGCTTTCTGTTTTCTTGTCATTTCTAATTGCCTTTTCTTCTTTCCATTTTAAATTAAACTGTCTACTTTTATTACATCCTTAATGTTTTCCTGCATTTCTAACCTGCCATCTGAAAAGTCACTGCTGGACGCCTTCCTTTTCCCCTTTCCCATCCAACCAACATCTCTCTAGGCCTGGGGTGGGTCTGTCATTCCCAGAGCTTTTATAATTGCCTCTCTGGGTTTTTACGTGTGAAATTCTATTTCGCTACTGCAGCTTTGGAACAAATCTCCCAGAGAGCTAGACAATTTTCTTATGATTTATTTTTTTAATTGTATGTGCTTTTGAAATATATTTCAGATTCTCTCTTCCATTTTTTTTTGAAAGCTACACATTTTAAGAGAATTTGAAGCTATCTTTCCTAATCTCTGGATTTTCCTCTTATCTTCCTAAATTTTGTTTTAAAGAGGGTCAATTTATCTATTTTTTCTTTTGTTTTCTGTGCATTCTCTGTCATACCCAGGAAACTTGATGAATTCAATGTCAATAAGTCCATAAAAATATGTTTGACATCACTAGCCATTAGGTAAAGGAATATCTAAACCACAATGATATTACCACTTTTTACCCACTAGAATGTGATTTTTATTTTTTTGAAGAAGGGACAACTGGAGAGTATGTGGAGACAATGGAACCCTTGTGCATTGCTGGTGAGAAAGTGAAATGGTGGTGATGGTTGCACAATAACACAAACATACTTAATGCCACTTACGTATACACCTACAAATGCTTAGATTGGTAAATTTTATGTTACATTTCTTTTACTAAATACAACAAAGTCTTCCTGAGAACTGGTCCTGAAATAGTTCCATGTGAATGAAAGAAGACCCGTCTCTCCTAGAGGGAGTAGAAGCTTTTATTTATTTATTTACTTTGAAATTGAGTCTTGCTCTGTGGCTCAGGCTGGAGGAAAGTGGTGCGACCTCTGCTCACTGCAAGCACTACCTCCCATCTTCACACCATTCTCCTGCATCAGCCTCCCGAGTAGCTGGGACTAAAGGTGCCCACCATCATGCCTGGCTAACTTTTTGTACTTTTTAGAAGAGACGGGATGTCACCATGTTAGCCATGATGGTCTCGATCTCTAGACCTCATCATCCACCCTTCTTGGCCTCCCAAAGTGCTGGGAATACAGGCTTGAGCCACCACACCTGGCTGAGTAGGAACCTTTTTATCCATGCTGGTACCACACACTCCTGGCTCTTCCACACACAAAGCATGACCTCACAAATCACAAGCAGTCCAATTCTAACTGGTCTGTTTGCACCTCTTTCCAACATCCTATTCCCCTATTCAACTTACTCCCTGCCCCGCTACAAGCCACTGTACATCACAGGTTTGCTTACCTTCTCTGTAGACTTTTCTATAATGTCATAGGAATGCTATCATACAATATGTGATCTCTTCAGACTGGCACTTTTTGTTACTAATGTTTTCTCGTTATTCCATAATTGCTGCCAAAATAAGCATGCATGTCTTGTGCCACAGAAAACTGATCACACACTAAGCTCTACTTAGTAAAAACTAAAAAAAAAAAATGCTAGTACATATTGTCACATTTATACCCTTATTTTTTTAATTCATGATTTCTACAATGAATAAATGGATGAATAAAGTACACTGACACACAAATATTCTGCCTTGCCAGTCCAGCTGAGCATTGGGCTGATTACAGACCCCAGGCAGAGTGTTGTAAACAGTTTTGACTGTGACCCGTACCAGCTAGTGAGACTCGCATTTATTAAGTAAAGATTAATTGACCAAGGCTTTAAGTCAACACCACTAAAGGGTAAATGACAGTGTGGACTTCCCAATTAGAAAGCAATTAATCACTGTGGTAAGTCAAAGATTAGTCTTAGGACCACATGAACAAACAAGCTATTAAGATAAACACCCCATATTCCTTTGTTTCTACTCTAACTTATTTAACTAAATGGAAAAGGCTGCCTTTAGCCAAGTTTATTACTGGAGCTTATGCCAATCCCCAAAGCCTTCCAAGAAGGTTTGCATCTGATAATTTTCCCCACCATCCTGACTGAACCCACACAGATGTCAAAGCTGCAATAAGAATTTCTGGAGTACAAACTAGTTTCTCTGGGAATTGAAAAAGCCATTGATTTCAATTTCAGTACATATATTCATTGCTTAATACATGATACAGATTAGAACTCTGGAGGTTTACCTTCTTGAATCTGCTTTTTCAAAAATGAGACAAAGTGTAAAATCACATGTATTTGGTCTGTTAGTTTTTCTTCACCTTTCAAAACATGGCACTTCCTTTGATTGATATTTGAAGACAGAGACTAATTTATTAAAATATTTTTCACTGTCCTTTTCATTGTTGCTTTTACACATTACATGTGAAATTGCTGGAAACTTCAACAGTGCACATTTTAAATAAGAATAAAAGACAGTTGGCATCTAGCAAGATGGTTGAAAAAGAGCAGCTCTGGTCTGCAGCTTCCAGTGAGATCAACACAAAAGACAAGTGATTTCTGTGTTTCCACCTGAGGTACCCAGTTCATCTCATTGGGACTGGTTAGACATTGAGTGAGGCCCACAGAAGGCAAGCAGAAGCAGGGTGATTGTTGCCTCACCCAGGAAGCGCAAGGGGCTAGAAACTTCCTCCCACAGCCAAGGAAAGCCATCTGGGGCTGTGTCATCAAGCCCGTATCCTGCACTTTTCACAGGGTTTTTGCAACCCACAGACCAGGAGATTCCCTAGTGTGCCTACAGAACCACAACCCTGGATTTCAAGCATGAAACTGGGTGGCTGCTTTGACACATACTGAGCTAGATGCAAAAGATTTTTTTTGTACCCCAGTGGCACCTGGAACCCTACTGGGACAGAACAATTCACACCCCTGGAAAGGGGGCTGAAGCTAGGGAAAAAAGTGGTCTCATTCATCAGGTCCCATTCACATCAAACACAACAAGCTGAGATCTACTGGCTTCAAATTCTCACTACGTGCATAAAAGCCTGAAGTCAACCTTGAATGATCAAGCTTGGTGGGGAGAGGGTCGACCACCATTACTGAGGCTTACATATAAGGGTTTCCCTAACAGTATTAAGAAAGCTGCCAGGAAGTTTGCAAAAGCATGCAAAGCAGCTGTGGCCAGATTGGCTCTCTAGATTCCACCTCACTGATTATGTCATTTCTGAAAGAATGGCAGCAGCCCCAGTCAGGGGATTATACTTAAAACTCCCATCTCCCTGGGACAGACCACCTGGGAAAAGGGATGGCTGCGAGTGAAACTGCAGCAGACTTAAACATTCCTGCCTGCCTGTTGTGAAGAGAGCTGTGTATCTCTGAGAACAGTGTTCAAGCCCTGCTCAGGGACAGATTGCCTTTTCAACTATGCCCCTTACCCCTGTGTCTCCTGACTAGGGAACACATCCCAGCAGGTTTCAACAGACACTTCATACAGAAGAGCTCTGGCTGGCACCAGTCAGGACCCACTCAGGGCAAAATCTTCCACTTATTGCTGTTCTGCAACTTCAGATGGTCATACCCAGTAAAGCAGCATCTGAAGTAGACCTCTTGCAAACTCCAGCAGACCTGCAGAAGAGATGCCTGACTGATCAACATCAACAAAAAGGGCGCTCATACAAAAACCCAATCCAAAGACCATCGGCATAAAATATCCCAGGTAGATAAATCCATGAGAAATAGGAATAACCAGCACAAAAGAGCTGAAAATTCAGAAAATTAGAACGCTTCTTCTCCTCAAAATGATTGCAACTCCTCCCCAGCAAGGGCGCAAAAGTGAATGGAGAAGGAGTTTGATGAATTGGCAGAAGTAGGCTTCAGATGGTGTGTAATAACAAAATTATCTGTGGTAAAGGAGTATGTTCTAACCCAATGTTAGGAAGCTGAGAACCTTGATAAAATGTTACAGGAACTGCTAACTAAAACAACCAGTTTAGAGAAGAACATGTATTACCTAATGGAGCTCACAAACACAGTGCAAGAAACATTGTGAAGCAAAAACAAGTATCATTGGTCGAGTCAATGAAAAGGAAGAAAAGATATCACAGATTATAGATCAACTTAATGAAATTGTGGGGAAAAGAAAGAAAGATCAGACTGTAACTCTATCTATGTAGAAAGAATTAGACATAAGATACTCTATTTTGTTCTGTACTAAGAGAAATTTTTCTGCCTTGAGATGCTGTTAATCTGTAACCCTAGCCCTGACACTGTGCTCACAGAGACATGTGCTGTGTTGACTCAAGGTTTAATGGATTTAGGGCTATGAAGGAGGTGCTTTGTTAAACAAGCTCTCGAAGGCAGTATGGTTGTTAAAAGTCATCACCATTCTCTAATCTCAAGTACCTAGGGACACAATACACTGTGGAATTCCACAAGGACCTCGGCCTAGGAAAACCAGGTATCATCCAATGTTTCTCCCCATGTGATAGCCTGAGATATGGCCCCATGGGAAGGGAAAGACCTGACCATCCTCCAGCCTGACACCCTTAAGTGGTCTGTTCTGAGGAGGATTAGTAAAAGAGGAAGGCTTCTTTGCAGTTGTGATAAGAGGAAGGCATCTATCTCCTGCTCATCCCTACCATCACCCTCGCGAGATGGTAGAGATAATGATTAATAATACTGAGGGAACTCAGAGACCAGTGCTGGCACGGGTCCTCCATATGCTGAGTGCTGGTCCCCTGGGCCCACTTTTCTTTCTCTATACTTTGTCTCCGTGTCTTATTCCTTTTCTCAGTCTCTCATTCCACCTGATAAGAAACACCCACAGGTGTGGAGGGGCAGTCCACCCCTTCAGAAATAAAGCATGAAGACAAGATTAGAGAAAAATGATTGAAAAGGAACAAACAAAGCCTCCAAGAAATATGGGACTATGTCAAAAGACAAAACCTACTACTGATTAGTGTACCTGAAGTGAGGGGGAAAATGGAACCAAGTTTGAAATTACGCTTCAAGGCATTATCCAGGAGAATTTCCCCAACCTAAAAAGACAGGCCATCACTCAAATTCAGGAGATACAGATAACACCACTAAGATACTCTTTGAGAAGAGCAACATCAAGACATATAACTGTCAGATTCTCCAAAGTTGAACCAAAAGAAAAAAATGTTAAAGACAGCCAGAGAGAAACGTGAGGTTACCTAGAAAGAGAAGCCCATAGTACTAACAGTGGATCTCTCTGCAGAAACTCTACAAGCCAGAAGAGAATGGGGCCAACATTCAACATCCTTAAGAAAAAAAAAATCAACCTAGAATTTTGTATTCAGCCAAACAAATCTTCCTAAGCCAAAGAAAAATAAAATTGTTACACACAACCAAGTGTAGATGATTTATGTAACCACCATGCCTGCTTTAGAAGAGCTCCTGAAGTAAGCACTAAATATGGAAAGAAAAAACTGTACTCACCACTGAAAAAAATAGCAAAATATAAAGACCAACAACACCAAGAAGAAAGGGCATCAACTGATATACAAAATAACCAGCTAGCAATGCCAATGCAGGATCAAATTTACACATAACAATATTAACCTTAAATGTAAATGAACTACATTTGCCAATTAAAGTACACAGACTAGCAAATTGGATAAAGGGACAAGACCCTCTGGTGTGCTATATTCAGGAGACTCATCTCATGGGTGAAGACAGGCATACACTCAAAATAAGGAGAAAGTCAAAAAAAAAAAAAAAGAAAAAACAGGGGTTGCAATACTAGTCTATCCTAAGACAAACTTTAAACCAATATAGATCAAAAAAGACAAAGAAGGGAATTACATAACGGTAAAGGGATCAGTGCAACGAGAAGAACTAATGATCCTAAAAATATATGAACTTAATACAGGAGCACACAGATTTATAAAGCAAGTTCTTAGAGACCTACACAGACTTAGACTACTACCCAATCATAAAAGGAGATTTTAACAGTCAGATATATTATGCAGATAAATGAGACAGCATATTAACAAGAATACTTAGGACTTGAACCCAGCTATTGACCAAGCAGAGCTAATAGACATCTACAGAACTATCCACCCCAAATCAACAGAATATACATTCTTCTCAGCACCACATAGCACTTATTCTAAAATTGACCACATAATTGGAGGTAAAACACTCCTCAGCAAGTGCAAAAGAACTGAAATCAAAACAGTCCCTTATGCCAAAGTGGAATAAGATTAGAACTCAGGATTCAGAATCTCATTCAAAACTGCACAACTAAAAGAAAACTCTAAAACCTGCTCCTGAATGTCCACTGGGTAAATAATAAAATAAATAAAGAAAGAAATAAGTTGTTTAAAATCAATGAGAACAAAGACACAACCTACCAGAATCTCTAGGACACAGCTAAAGAAGTATTAAGAGAGAAATTGATAGCATGAAATATTCATATCAAAAAGTAGGAAGGATCAAAAATCCACACCCTAAAATCACAATGAAAAGAACCAGAGGGATGGACATGGTGGCTCATACGTCATATTTCAGCACTTTCAGAAGGTGGGCCAGGAATGTCACCTGAGTTCAAGAGTTCAAGAGCAACCTGGCCAACCAACATGGTGAAACTCTCTCTCTACAGAAAATACAAACAAAACAAAAAAAAAAACCTGGCCTGGTGGCACACACCTGTAATCCCAGATACTTGGGAGGCTGAAATGGGAAAATTCCTTGAACCCAAAAGATAAAGGTCACAGTGAACTGAGGTTGCACAACTCCCTTCCAGTATGGGTGACAAAGCAAGGCACCTTCTCAGAAAAAAAAAAAAAAAAAGAAGACAGAAAGAAAAGGAACTAGAGAGGCAAGAACAAACAAATTCAAACAGTGACACAAAAAAGAAATAACAGATCAGATAATTGAAGGTGATAGAGTCAGGAAAATCCTTCAAAAATCCATGAATCCAGGAGCTTTTTTATTTTTATTTTTGTAAAGTTTAACAAAATAGAGTTGTAGCCAGAACAATAAAGAAAAAAAGAGAGAAGAATCAATTAGACATGGTAAAGAAAGATAGTGGGGATGTAACAACTGATCCCACAGAAATAAAAACTACCATCAGAGAATACTGTAAACACTCTACGCAAATAAATTTTAAAAATCTAGAAGAAATAAATAACTTCCTGGACACATACACCTTACCAAGACTAAACCAAGAAAAAGTAGAATCCCTGAAGAGACCAACAAATTCTAAAATTGAGGCAGTAATTGGTAGCCTACCAAACAAGAATGCCCAGACCAGACGGATTCACAGCTGAATTCTACCAGATGTACAGAGAAAACCTGGTTCCATTTCCTTCTGAAACTGTTCCAAACAATACAAAAAGAAGGACTCCTACTGAACTTCTTTTATGAGGCCAGCATCATGTTAATACCAAAGCCTGTCAGAGACCACCACCCAAAAAAATTAGGCCAATATCCCTGATTAATATCGATGTGAATGTCCACAACAAAGTACTGGCAAACTGAATGTAGCAACCCATCAAAAAGCTTATCCATCAAAATCAAGTCAGCTCCATCCTTGGGTTCCAAGGCTGGTTTCAACATATGCAAATCAATAAATGTAATCCATCACATAAAGAGAACCAATGGCAAAAAACACATAATTATCTCTATCGATGCAGAAAAGGACTTTGATAAAATTTAACATCCCTTCCTACTAAAAACCCTCAATAAACTAGGTATTGATGAGATGTATCAGAAACTAATGAGAACTATTTGTGACAAACCCATAGGCAATATTATACTGAATGGGCAAAAGCTGGAAACATTCCCTTTGAAAACACAAAACACAAGGCACAAGTCAAGGAAGGCCTCTCTCACCACTCCTATTCAACATAGTATTGAAAGTTCTGCCCAGGACAATAAGGCAAGAGAAAGAAATAAAAGGTATTCAAATAAAAATAAAGGAAATCAAATTTTCCCTGTTTGCAGATGACATAGTTGTATATTTTGAATACCCCATTGTCTCAGCTCTAAAACTCCTTAAAAATAGAGAAGCAACTTCTCTTTTTTGTAAGTTTGCTTAAGCTTATAAGCAACTCCAGCAGTCTCAGGCTACAAAATCATTGTGCAAAAATTACAAGCATTTCTATAGACAAATAATAGATGAACAGATAGCCAAATCATGAGTGAATTCAAATTCACAATTGTTCCAAAGAAAGTAAAATAACTAAGAATAAAACTTACAAGGCATGTGAAGAACTTCTTTATGGAGAACTACAAATCACTGCTGAAGGAAATAAAAGAGGACACAAAAATGTGGAAAAAATTCATGTTCATGGATAAGAAGTGTCAATAGCATGAAAATGACCATACTGCTTAAAGTAATTCACAAATCTACAATGATCTGATCTTCAACAAGCCTGACAGAAACAAGCAATTGGGGAAAGATTCCTTGGTACTGAGAAAACTGGCTACCCATATGCAGAAATCTGAAACTGAATCCCTTTCTTACAACACATACAAAAATTAACTCAAGATGAATTAAAAGACTTAAACATAAAACCTAAAATCATAAAAACCGTAGAAGAAAACCTAGACAATACCATTCAGGATATAGACATGGGAAAGACATAATGACAAAAACACCAGAAACAATTGGAACAAAATCCAAAATTGACATTTGGGACCTAATTAATCTAAAGAACTTCTCCACAGCAAAAGAAAATATCATCAGGGTGAACAGGTGACATACAGAATGTGAGAAAATTTTTTCAACCTATCTATCTGACAAAGGTCTAATATCCAAAATCTGCAAGTAACATAAAAACATTTACAAGAAAATGAAATACCCCATCAAAAAGTGGGCAAAGGATATGAACAGACACTTCTCAAAAGGAGACATTAGATCAGCCAAAAAACATATGTAAAAAAAGATCAGCATCACTGGTCATTAGAGAAATGCACATCAAAACCACAATGAGATATCGTCTCACATGGTATCTGCGTGTCAGAATGGTGACCGTTAAAAAGTCAGGAAACAACAGATGCTGGCAATGATGTGGAGAAATAGGAATGCTCTATACTGCCGGTGGGAGTGTAAATTAGTTCAATCATTGTGGAAGAAAGTATGGTGATTCCCCAAGGATCTATAACCAGAAACACCATTTACCAGGAATCACATTATGTGGTATATACCCAGAGGATTATAAATCATTCTACTATAAGGAAACATCACATGTACATTTATTACAGCACTATTCACATACAAAAAAGACATGGAACAAACCCAAATTCCCATCAATGATAGAGTGGATAAGAAAATATGGCACATATACACCATGGAATACTATGCAGCCTTTAAAAAGAAGAAGTTGTAATACACATACACATGCACGTGACCTTGTGATAGAATGACTTATTTTTTTGGGGGGTGCTATATACACAGTTATGAAATTGCTGGGTCCAAAGGTATTTCTCACTCTAGATACTTGATGAAACGCCACACATTTTTCCACATTGTCTATACTGATTTATATTTTGAACAACAATGTAAAAACAATTTTATTACTGCACTACTTCACTACCATTTGTTATTTCATGGGTTTTTAGTAATCACCATTTCCACTGGCCTAAGACGGTATCTCCTTGCCATTTAGATTTCTTTTTCCTTCACCATTAGTGATGTTGAGCTTTTTGACATGAAGACAGAAGACCAGTAACTCTTTTCTTACCCCAGTTTGGCCTTTTTATATCAGCTCTTCAACACCCATTTCACCTATTTTTTAAACACTATCCTGCAAAAGGAAAAGTATTATGTGTTTAACTTATATGATAAAGATAGTCATCAAATTCATTTCCACAAGACAGAAACATATTTGGGTATTGCTTCCATGGAAAAAGGAGTTTACAATTGCACTTAATGTAAGAGGCCAGAAATTCTGCTCATCAACATACAATGCACAAGGAAAGCTCCTCACAAAAAGAAATTATATGAGTACAAAATGTCAAAATCCAGGGATCAGAAATTCTGCTCCATTAGTAAGCTTCGTAATCTATTGGGAAAATATTAACCTTAAGCCCAATGCCATGAATTAGAGAAGTACATTCTCACAGAATATATGTCTGTGTAAGCAAGTGGGATAGGGTGGTACAATGTAAATACCAACTTTTCAACTTTAAGTTCTAAAAGATTTTGAAACAAAATAATTTTCAAATAAGGTTTAAAAATTCCAAATGTGGGAGACTGAATTTTAAGTATTTCAAGATCCAATAGAAGTAACACATTTAAACACAACTAGCTATGCTCCTTTTTTCATGGGATTTTGGGAGAGTCACCTTGACAGTTGAAAACCTCTGTGGCCAGTGGTGCTTTTGCCTGAGTTCTGCTCAGGCCTGCTAAGCTTGCTCTACCCACTCTGCCTGACAGGCGGCACTCAGCTTGCATTATGGGTCAGGATTTCATACCTGCCAAGGGCAAACATGAGGTAGAGTGGCAAGTGGTGTATGAGCAAGTGTGGGGTCTAGCCGCTATACACAGCCAGGCCTGCCGGCAGTGGCAAAGCAGGAAATTTTAGGTGCCAACAGAAGTGCCATCTCACTGAGACACAGCAGCTGGACCAGGCATACTGCAAGCAGCTTCCACAGCTGATACTGGGGAATGTAGTGGTGCCCAGAAGTTTCGGGATGCCAAAAACAGCAAAGCCCTAAAGAGGGTGTCATAGCCCTGTCTTCGAGAGACCCTAGGTCTGTGCACCCTGAAGGGCCACAGCTGTCCTCTTATTTTTGTCTTTCAGAATGTGATGATCAAGAGACATCTTTTTATCCCAATTTTTGTTACAGTTCTTTCAGCTCCACCATTCAGTGATTCTCAAATAGTTGTTCTGCAACCAGGAAGAATGAGGTAGACGGACACGTAGAGAGTGAGAAATGTATAGATAAGATTTACTCAGGAACAGAACTCAAAACAGATCCCCATTGGGTAACTCCTCTCCACAGGCTGGATGTTCTGATGAGTGTCCAGCTCTCAGCAAAGAGATGGCTTTAGAGCGGGCAGCTCTTTCCACAGGCAAGGTGTCAAGGATTAGTATCCAGCTCTCAGCAGGAAAGAAACCCTGGACTTGGTAGCTTCTCCATCCAGCTGATCATCTTATGAGGTGTTAAGTTCTCCACAGAGAGAAGATCTTGGAGTGGGTAGGTCCTCTTCACACCTTGTGGTCCTAACATTGGCTAAGCCTTCAGTCAAGAGAAGACCTTCAAGTGGGTATCTCCCTTCTCTAGCTGATCATCCCATTATCTCCCCAGCAGAGACTGTGGCAGGTAGCTCTAGCCCACCACTGACAGTCCTGAAGTCTCCTCAGCTCACAGCAAAGAGATGGCCCTTGAGTGGGTAGCGCCTCTCCACAGTAGGTAGTCTGAAAAGTCCTCAAATCTTGTTGAGTCCAGGAATATTATGTGCTTCAAAGGAAACAAAGTGCTTGCTGATTGGATTATTTGGCAAAAATGCGTGCATTTCAAAAAGCACCATTGGTTCCCATTCTTGTCCATCAGCCTGAGATCCAGACTTCAGGCCATCACTGGCTTGAAGGTGGAGATTCAGTGGGACCTCTTTGGGAGCCAGCAAGTTTATTGCCATGAACCTGTGATGGCTAATACTGAATGTCAACTTAACTGGATTGAGATATACAGAGTATTAGTTTGGCATGAGTCTGTGTGAGTGTTGCCTAAAAGAGATTAACACTTGGGTCAGTGGGCTGGAGAAGGCAGAACAGCCCTTAATCTGGTGGGCACAATTCATTAACTTCCAATGAATATAAAACAGGCAGAAGAACGTGAATAGATGAGACGGGCTTAGCCTCGCAGCCTACATCTTTGCCCTGTGCTGCATGCTCTCTCCTCTCACATGTTGGACTCCAAGTTGTTCAGTTTTGGGACTCAGACTGGCTCCTGTTGCTCCTCAGCTTGGCGACAGGCTATTATGTGACACTGCAATGGTGTAAGTTAGTATTTAATAAACTCTTCTAAAGTACTGTCCCTTAGAGAATCCTGAGTAATACAGATTTTGGTACCAGAAGTGGTTCTAGGAAAACAGAATATTGAAAAGGAAGTTCTTTCATTGGTTTTGGAGTTTCTGGTGTTGCCTGCTATATATAATTTGATGTGAAAATGCTAAGGATTCTACTTCTAATTATATGGAGAACACTGATAATCCTTGGTGGAAACCGTTCATAGAGTTATGCAAAGTAAATGCATTTGACACTTCTGATTCACCAATTGTGAGAGGCAATGAGTTTTGTTTACTCTCTGCATAATAATTTTGACATATATGGAGAACCAAGGATCACAATGAAGCAGGTTGGTAGCTCTTAAGTTCAGTGGACACAATGATCAGAGGTAATGATGCACTCAGAAATTCTGTCTCCCAGCTTCAGAAGCCCCAAATCTGTTAATTTTGTCCTGAGTGAGAGTCTTATCACCTGTAGAGAAAGAGCCAAAATTACAGGCTTTTATCATGTAAGTGACTGACCTTCAATGAAAGTTGCATGCACATTCTCAAAAGGTGTCTACTGTTAGAGTGAGGCATTGATTGAGTAGAATGGGACCCTGCAACTCTGAAAGGATGAGTCAGAGGACCCTGATGAAGCAGGGGATACTGAGTGTGTAAACTCTGATGAAGCTTTTTGCCAAAAGAAAAGCTTTCTCATTTCCAGAAGGGGCAATGTCATCTTTCTGATCCGTGCTGATATCAGTCTTTCCAACTCAGTCTGAGGTAAACAAACCCTGCACTGGTTGATGCAACAGTTATGGCCTTCCCTAGGACAGTTGCCAGGAAAGATAATGTTGATTCTTCTCAGAAGCCATCCCGAACACCTCTGTTTTTTTCTAAACCGGGCTAGAATGCTGTGGTGGGCTCCTAGAGGTGAGGTAGAGAGTGTGACACATCAGGTAGTGTGCCACACACACACACACACACACACACACAAACACACATACACAAATAAACTGTTCAAGTTATCTCATTTATATGAACATCAATCTGGAGAACAGGCATGGGGATGGATATTAATTGTATGAGATTATGGTGTAAGGAACATAGAGTTGTATCAGGCTGAATTTACTGATTAGGACCATCAAGGTAGTGACTTTGTGTTTAATATGGCAGCTTGGCGAGTTAAAAAGAAAAAAAAACTTCCAATAGTTTACACACTTAGTTAGCTGAAATGTGGATTAAAAGATGACCTGCTGTGAGTTAGCTGGAAATGCCTGGCCTACACTGGTTTAATGGAGAGGAGAAGATCCAAAAGCTTTGGAAGATTGGGATGGTGAAGTAGACTCATCCTTTCGACTTACTCATCCAGACTGGTAGGGTCCAGAACACATATCCTTGACCAATGCCTTGTGAAATAGATTGGGTGGTCAGCACCTGCATTTTTGAATAGCCCTGTAATTGCTCTTCTCTTTTGTCAGATCTAATGGTGGAAACCACAATCACTCAACTACAAAATTTAAATACAATGAGAAAAATTGGATCCTGATGTGACAGGGGCCAAGCAGCAGCACTCAACCATCAAAGGCAATGTGGGCACAGCTAAGGGATAGTGGCAGTCAGAATAATGTGAATCCTGTAGAGCTCTATCATTGGTTAATTAATCATGGTGTTCATGGAACTGATATTGATGGAAAACTACTGCGTTCATACTTAGGTTACACCTACAAAAATCTTTTGGCCAAAAGGACAAAAGACTATTTTGAATGATGAAAACAGAGAAGTACAGTCTCTCCATGAATTTCCAGATGAGAGCCAGTTTAAAGACCTAGAACCCATTGAATGAAGGGGAAGCTGGGTTCCCTGGACCAAGAAACCCACTACATAAGTATTTATGCAGTGAATTTTTACACCATCTTTCCCCAAGGAGATTTTCAGGCTTTTATCAAGGTGACTGTGCATTAGGGAAAGGGAAATAATCAGACTTTTCAGAAACTACTGGACACTAGCTCTGTGCTGATGTGGGTTCCAAGGACCCAAAACATTATTATGGTCTTACAGTTGAAGTAGGAGCTCAGGGAGGTCAGGTAGTTAATAGAGCTTTAGCTTATTAGGTCAGATTTACACAGTGTTCAGTAAGTCCCCAGAGTCATTCCGTGGTCATTTTCCCAGTGCCAAAATGTACAACTGGCATAGACATACTTGGCACCTGGCAAAATCCCACATCTCTCTGACGTGTAGGGTGAGGGCTACTCCAATACGAAAGGTCAAATGGAAGCCACCAGGGCTGTCCCTACTTAGAAAAATGGTAAATAAGAAAAAATACCAAAACCCTGAGAAGATTGCGAAGATGGGTGCCATCATAAGATATTTCAAAGTTGCTGGGGTGATAATTACCAGCACATCCTCATTCAACTTTCTTATTTGGCCTGTGCAGAAGACAGGTGGATCTTGGAGAATTACATTGGAGTATCATAACTTAACCGAGTTGTCAGTCAACTTGCAGCTGATGTACTAGATGTGGTTTATTGTTTGAGCAAATTAATACATCTCCTGGTATGTGGTATGCAGCCATTCACTTAGCAAATGCCCTTTTCTTTATTCCTGTCTATATGGACCACCAGAGGCAATTTGCCTTCAACTGGCAAGTCCACCAATTCACATTCATTATCCTCCCTCAGGAATATACTAATTCTCTGGCTTCCTGTCATAATCTTATTCAGAGATCTTGATTTCTTTTCACTTATGTAAGATGGAATATTGGTCCATCACATTGATGATATTAGGCTGATTTAATGGGTGAGCAAGAAGTAGCAAGCACACTTGAATTATTGGTGAGACATTTATGTACCAGAGGATAGAAAATTAATCTCACCAAAATTCAGAGAACTTCTACTTCCATAATATTCATAGGGGTCCAGTATTGTGAAGCCTGTCAAAATATCTTTTGTAGGGTAAAGAACAAGTTTTTGTATGACCCTCTTATATCCAAGAAAGAGGCACAATACCAGCTAAACCTATTTGGATTTTTGAGACAACATATTTTTCATTTGAATATGTCACCCAGGCCCATTATTGAGTGACCTGAAGGGCTGCCAGCTTTCAGGGGCATCCAGAATAGGAAAAGACTTTGCAGCTACTGTAGGCTGCAGTGCAAACCCCTCTACCACTTGGGCCATATGTATTTTAAGTATTTATCTTAAGTATTTCCTCCTTCTTTTGTTAAAAAAAGTTTGTGCAGATAAACGCATGTACTAAGAAATTATCTTCCTTTTTTATTTTCCTTTATCATATTACATAAGATTTACTGAGTTCTTATCAACATTGGCGTATTGTAAACTTTATGAAATATGGTTTGATTTGGGGATTGCTGCATTCCTGGTTGTAAGAGGATAATTGTATTATGTTAGGTATGATTATGACCTCATTTTTGTCTGCATTTGAAGATTATGTATTATAGCAGGAGATGTGTATTGATTCAAGTTGACAAGGGGTGGACTTTGATGGTTAATACTGAGTATCTAATTCATTGGATTGAGTGATATAGAGTATTAATCCTGGGGGTGTTTCTTGGGTGTTTCCCAAAAAAAGATTAACATTTGAGTCAATGGGAAGATCTATATTAATCTGTTGGGCACAATCTAATAAGCTTCTAGCAAATATCAAGCAGACAGAAACACATCCAAAAGTAAGATGGGCATAGCTTCCAAAGCTTGTATCTGTCTCTCATGCTGGATACTTCTTGCTCTTGGACACCGGACTCCAAGTTCTTCAGTTTTGGGACTCCAACTTACTCTCCTTGTTCCACAGCTTGCAGGCAGCCTATTGTGATCATGTACGTAATTACATATTTTTATATACATATGTACACACACATACACACACACATACATATATATGTGTATATATATAAATATATAAAGGGATGCCAAATTAAATAGTTTGTAAGTATTCTCAAAAAGCATTATTTGAATAAATACTGTAACTGTAAACCTTCTTTTATTAAGTCAGCTTATTTGATGGTGATATCATAAACTAATACCATACAAAAAATCTTGACATATATATATATATGTGTGAGTGTGTGTTTCTGTGGCCCATACAGATCTCTGTAAAACAAACAGTTTTAAAGTATTTATTTTTCTATTTACTTACTGCCAAGGCTATAAAACCTACATCAGGTTAGTTACTTAATAAATGGTTACAATTTAGTAAATACTCTATTTCTTTGAAAATAAAAGTGTATTATGTCTCCTTAGAAAATGACAATTTAAACTTTCACAAGGATTTAGTAAATACTGGCTCTATATTGTAAAATGTAGCCATTAAAATCAGGTTTAAATTTAAATAATCTATAAAGCCTAACTACCTCAGTGAAAAAGCTTTCACAAGTAATGATAATAGTAATAATATGAAGCAGTGCCAGCACTTTGAAAAATCAGAAGGTCAATCACAGACTTCCATAAATATTCCTCTTTCACTACAAGATTGGCCTGAACAACTTGGTTTCTACAAATAATGCCAGCTTCTGTACACCACTTAATGTCTGCCAATGCCTTGACTTGAACTCTGCATTGTTCCAAGAATGTGTCTAAACAGCAGAGCTCTCTCTCAGCATATTAAGTAAAAAAACAAAACAACAACAAAAAAAACTTGCCTTTTCATTTTAGGTATTGAATGGCATTGTATTAATCTTGGAAAAAATGCAAGCCCTATATGGGTAGGAGTTCTGCCTTGTAGACTAGGCTCTAGCATCGATAACAGAGCTTACAGGTTAGGCGCTAAGTGGGAACAAAGTATGCTCTGTAAGTGTGGATAACTAACATGTTGTTACTTGCTAAAGTCCTGAAACAAATTTTTTATTCAAACTAAAAGGATTTTACGTCGTCGAAATTCAACTGCTTTTGGATTTATCTTAACATTTTCAAATATTGTTCCCTATTACATCAATTTCTTCATTCATTGATCTTTATTTTCTCTTATTGTCTAATATGTATTTTTGTGAATGCATTTTTATTACGTTGGAATAAGGCAGAGCACAAATAATTCTGATCAAAGATGCCCACTATGAAAAGTTCTATCAAATAATTTTTTAAGAGGTGAATATATTTGAGCATTAGTTTTACTCAACAACTTTAGCAAAAGTGAAAATCCTCTAAACCCAGCTATAGTCCTTGAAAACTTGGTTTTCATTTAGCTTGCTTATTGTAATATCCTAGGAACTTTCATGTCATAACACATACTGAAAGCACAATGTGTATCCATAAACAATGCACATGTGTGCATATGTATTATTTATGACTTTTCAACTGCAGCCAAGATTAGCTCTATCCCAAATGCCAGGGATTGAGTTTTCTCCCTTGGTACCTCCAAAGTTGAGGCTGACTAGGGCTTTATTTTTTTGATATTAATGTTTTACAAAAGATTGAAAAACTAATAGGAAGGAAAAGCAGAAAAATAGAAAATATATGGCTTAGTTTCTAATCATTGATTAACTGAACTGACCTTACTTTACTAATGCTTACCCTAAGTTGAATCAATTGAACTTTACATAGGCTTTTTCAAATCCTTCTGCTTTATGGAAAACAAAGTAGGAGTTAAGAAATCTTCAAAATACAATACCAAAGAATTCTAAATGTGTATTTTTAAAAATAATTTTCTCCAGAAATGGTTCAACACTGTTACTTTCTCAAAAGCACCTGAGACTCAAGATTTTAGGATATTTAGCAGCATTTCTAACCTCTCAGCAATAGATACTAGTAATGTACCAGCCTCAAAACTTCAACTTCCAATCATGAACCAGGCTTAGGATGAAATTTAAAGTAAAATCTACAAACGTATAAAAACCCTAGCCAATCACATGGACTGTTGGTTACTTCTATGAACTCATCCACTGTAATTGTTTCCCTTATACTGTCTGTGGCAGCCACAGTTAGCTGGCTTTTTAAAAACAATTTAAACAGGCTTCCACCAGGGATCATCGTACTTGCTGACTTTGCTGCATGCTTACATAATTTTTTTTATTATTTTATTTAGATATTTACTTGAAAGTTACTTTTTAAGCCACTTAATTCATATTTGTTTTACATAAAACCAAAATGAAGTTTATAACAGAGAACCTTGCCTCATATATTTTATATGAAATTAATCATTTCAATTAATTTAAAAAACCAAAAACTGCATAACATAAAAACTAAAACAAAAGCCTAACATCTTGGATTCTAAATTGGAAGTGTAACATTCAATTTAAGTATTTTAAACAAGAGAGAAAACATAAAACTCTTAAATAAAAATAATCTCAGAAATTAGAAAACACTCAGTGCTTCATAGATAAAAATAAAAGCAAAACTGCAGGGTTGGTAGTTTCAAACTATTTCAAAAAAAAAAAAATCAAAAACAGCCTGGACCTGAAAATCCATAGTTTATATCAACCAAGTAAACATTTAATCAAGAAAAACAATTATAAAAGGGTAAAGATTTTAGTTTTTTTTTCTCTTTGTGGATTGCCATATCACCTTCAAGTCATGGATGAAGCCTTCAGAATTGATAACCACATTGTCAAAGTGAGGACCTGATTCCTGCTTCTGGAAAAAGCAAAGAAACTCTTATGTGCTAAATTATTGTGTTGTTTTTTTCCAGGATTTCTAGAGGATAAATGAAATTTCATAAAATAATTCTGTATTTCTCTTTTGCCTAACTCAAAAGTCACTCTCTGTTGGAAATGACAGGAATAGGTCACAAATATTTAAGTTTTGGAGAATAAAAAATATAGTTATTTTATACAATAGGTAAACTATAAACAGGAAGAAACATTGGAGAGATTTGTATTTGCAAATATCTGAATATTCAGAAGAAGTTTAATACACTGAAGCACTTAGAAAATCATGCATATGCTCACTATGGAAACATCCTAAAAATTAACGTAAAACAATTTGCATTAACCCCCAAGTTTATCTACAGCTCAAAGTGAGAAGAAACTGAAGGTTAAGACAGAATTAGCAAAAACCCCCATGAGGGTTACAAGAGAGTGTTAATACATACCCAGTATTTAAAAGTGATAGGTTTTATATTGCTCTTATTCATTTTAGTAACGAATAAAACACTTTTCATTTCAGAAATAAAGAAAAGCATTCAGAGTTAGCATGTTATGACATTTCTAATACAGAGTTAGCATTCGGTGTTAGCACAGTATAACATTTGAAATATAGTTTTCTGAAAAGCAAAAACACAAAAACCAAGAGAAAATTATGACCAATGTAAACTAAATGAAGGAATTAAATGTGTCCCAAATTTTACAGACAAATAACTTAAAACAATTTTAAGTAAGGCTAAATAGAAATGACTGACAAATGATGAAAGAACAACATGAGCGCATCACTGAGACAAATTATAAAAGAAACCACAAAAAGGGGAGATAATGACTGAAATAAAGTCGACCATAAAGGTATTTAAAAGCAGATTTGAGCAGGTAAATATTCAGTCAGTCTGAAGGAATAAAAACTGAAATAACCCACTTTGAGAAGTAAAATAAACAAAATTATGTGAAAAAAAACTAAAGAGTAAACAGAACACTGCGAGGTATACTGGTGCATGCAATATGAGCATCTGATAAATGAAGAAAAACAGAGGCCAAAAAGTTTAAGGCAAAAATGGCTGTACATTTCCTGAACTTGAAAATCTGTGTCTAAAATTTGAAAGAGAACAAAAATCTTTAACCACAATATAGTTAATGATAGCCACATCAGAAAACATTACAGGCCATCAAGAGCCAATGCACAGAAAAGAGTAAAAACAGAAGGGGAACAGCATCTTACTATGTGCAAGAAGGTCTTGATTAAAATTAACAGATGACAGTTCAACAGAAACCTCAGAAGTCAGAAGGTGGTGGGATATACAAATTTTAGCAGAAAAAAAAAATGCTATCAAGCATGAAATATATAGCTGGTAAAATGACATTCAAGCAAAAATATCTAGATAAAGAAAAGCTAAAGGAAATTGTGACTAATGCTTCTCTAAAAGAAAATGATATTACTATTAAAACCCTGGCAAACATAACTATTAATGAACACTCAGTGTGCACAGATATAATCAGAGACAATAATATAAATTGAGAAGGATGGAAAACTACAAGAGCAGCATATTTTTATATTGTTGACCTTAAACATTAGATTATTCACACAAGTTAGTATTGTTCATAGTAGGTTATTTTAAGTTTTCAATAATAATTGAAGTCCCATATATACCTAATTGTAATATAAAAAATACAACAAAGTTTTTAAAAAATTAACCAAATTTTTTTAAATTAGCCAAAAAAATAAGGATCAAATAAGAGAAAGAACACATGGAAAACAAGAAAGTCAATGTCAGAGTATGTAATATTTTACTTGTAACAACTTTAAATGTGAGCTCTTGCTTAAAAAGTCACACACTGGTGCCAGTGTACCCTTAAACAAAGGAGTCACTCGGTGACTGCTATGCAAGGCATACTTTAGGTGCAAAGACAAATAGGCCAAAGTAAAATGATAGTAGATTCTGGGAAAGTGTTGCAATGTACTACAGAGCACTCTACTTCCATCTCTTCAACTATACAATAGGTGCAGTGGCAGGATTAATATGATGCAGTTACTGTAGAATTTGAGAGTCTACCTGAAGCTTACAGCTTCCAAAAAATTTTGTATAGTAAAAAAATTAAATTTTATCAATTTTATAGCACAGATCAGCAGCAGCTACTTATTTTTATTAATGAAGGGATGCTGCCTTGCAAATATTTCTGGAGCAGCTTACAAGAGCCATGGTAAACAAAAAGGACACTGTCCTCCAAATTGCAGGAGGACTCATTCACCAATTGCTGTTTCTGCTTATGGATGTCCCAACAGAGGTGAACAGCCATTGTTTTATACCCCAAACATTATTCAGTCTCTTTGTCCCTCTGCACAACAAACTTTCAGAAGATTAAGAAGTCAGAACATGTTTTCCTAATTGTTCTTCTTTTTCTCTTAAGAGGTTAGACATTTGTGGACAAAAACATTCAAAACTAAACACACACACTCACACAAACACACACACATATATATGTATGTCTGTGTGTGTATATATATATATATATATATATATATATATATATATACACACACACATATATATATAATGAATTGTGGCTTTAATGATATGTGCCCCAAAACAATGAGGCTCAAAAAAGACCCAAGAAGAAGCTCAGTAAGGCTGACTTACAGGAGAGAAAAAGCCTATATAATAAACAAAACCTTACCAAACCATAGAAGAAGAAAATGGTATTTTCAGTGTTACAGCACTTTAAAATTTAAATGCTCTTTTTCAGCGCAAGCAAAATCACAAATTACAGAATGAAATAGACAAGTATGGCTTATTTTAAGAACATAAAAAAATTACGAAGGAGGTTTTTTTAGACAGCCCAAATGGCAGTCTTACTAAAACATTTTAGTTAACAATTAAGCTTCATGTTAAGATAATATAATAAACAAAAGAAGCTCAAAAAATATGAACAAAACTTATTAATAAAAAGAGTAAAGTTATTTTATAACCTAAAAAGTCTAGAGATAAAAGTAAGAAAAATTTGCTACAGATATTTAAAAGCAGATATGAGCAGGGGAAGAACAAAATATCAGCATAGTAAAGAAAGGGTAGTTGACATTATTTATTACATTATGAAAGGAAAGAAAAAAATAAGGAAATGAGAACACAGCCTAGAATGCTGTGGGACACTATCAAGCAGCCATATTTACACATAATGGAAGTGGAAAGGGTGAGACAAAGAATCAGGGAGACTATTTAGAAACAACAGTGGCAAAGAATACCAAGATCAAAAAACTCCAAGTTAGAGAAACTCAAAGCAACAAACTCAAATTCTATGATAACTAAACTCTGTAAAAGAAAGAGAGAGAAAATCTTGAAAGCAGCAAAAGAAGTGACTAATCATGTTCAAAGAAACCTCAACAATAATCAGCAGATTTCTTATCTGAAAACTCAGAAGACAGAAAGCAATAGACTAACAAATACCAAATGATGTAAGAAAAAACTTTTGAACGGAAATCTTATGTTCAAAAAATTGTCATTCATAAGTGAAGGAGAAATTATGACATTTCCAGATAAAAGCTGGGACTTTTACCAGTAGACTACTTTTTAAAAAATGCCTTATGGGGTCCTTCATGGTAAAATGAACAGACATTCAACAGTAGCAAAAATGAGTATATATAAAGCAAAGATAAATACCTTAACAATTACAAAACATAAAAAATTAGCAATGTGCACCTCCACAGTTTGTTTCCCATATAATTTAAAACACTAATATATTTAAGAAAAATACTATCATCCAGTTGTGTTTTTGACATACAATACATAAAGGTATGATTTTGAGAACTCAATAAGTGAAATAATTGGGGTGAAGCTATACAGAGGTAAGAGATTTGTATGTTATTGAAGGTAAGCCAGCATAACTTTAAAAGTGGAATAACTTTAAAATATTGAATGTAGTCATATTATCAATGACAATTAAAAAAGTAAAAGGGTAAAAGGCAGGTAGAAAGCGTTCTGTACTACATCAGAGAGTAGGAGCTGTGGATTTAGCTCCTCTCACCTGAGGCTACTGAGCCACCTATCATGGCACCATGACACAGAGCCCAAGCTGTCACATCAGGGAGTGAGTGTGGAGACTTTCAGGCAGAGAGCACAGCTCCTATTTTACACAACTTTCACTAAACCAGTGGCGACAAAGTGGAAGGGGCTCATCCATACACAGAAACTGGTGAAGCACTGGAGGCAGAAACAAGTGGCTATGTGGAGACAACTGAAAGAAAGTTGGCACAGCAACTGCTCCAATCCTGTGTCTTTCTTCATGGCTTCCCAGGTGTTTGAGGTTGAACCTCTTGTTGACACAAAACAAGACAAAAATGGGAATACAGAGAACTGGAAATGTCCAAGCTATGTATTTAAATTATCAAAACATTTTTAAGCACTGTAACTTTAAAATAAGTAATAAAACAGCTTCATTGCCTAAATGTGATTATTTCATGCATACACAAGCCCAAATATAAAAGCAGACTGGTGAGCACTAAACTGTTCTTGCAAGATCTAAATTTTATCTATGTCTACTATGATATATAAGACCAGAATTGTGTTTTATTAGATTTGAATGGCAAAAATTTGTGTAATAATGTTTGTTTTTATTATTTATTTTTACCTTAGAATGCAGATGCTACTGGGGTATGAGGCAACCTCTACTCCCTCCCACAAAAACAAGACACAGAATTATCAGTAATTGTGTCTTTGACTTTACAGTGTCACACATAACTCAGAGAAACAACATTCTAAATTAAAAGACTTGTCTTTTAGGATAAATATTTCTGACACAAAATTCACTGATGATCATTCTGCCAAACTCAACATATGGTTAGAATTTATGTTGAGATATAACTTTTCTTTTATTTTATAAATGTCTAGTTCTTACTCAGTTAACATAAAGAAACCTTTATCTTTCTAAGTGTAAAACATATTGCACTCTATTAGTGAATTATGGAATCATTTTTGTGGAAATATCCATGTTTTAATGTTCATCCTGTGCAGACATAGATTAACTTAGAGTATGTTCTAGTTAACAAGTTAAAATTCTGGACACATTATTAAAAACAGAAACTTCTTTCAAAGTAAGGAAAAGACTCCTACACTCAGCATGACATTTAAAATTATTGGTGTCTGTTTTTACGTGCACACAATTTTATAGAATACTCTACCTGTTCAGCTACCAGAAGCTTTCTGAATCCTTTCCTGTTGGTTTCTATGGAAGTTCCATTATATAGGCATAATTGAATAATCCACTGGCCATTGTTGATGAATGACATTTGTCACAGGATCTCTAGGGTATGGCTTCACCAGCAAAGAAACTGTGGATGATGGCACATTTGCACAATGTCAGAGTGGGCACTGGGAGCTTGGAGAGGCCAGGCAATGGGAATAGGAACTACAGGGAATTTGTTGGAAGGATGGCTTCCCACACCTTGGAAAGTAGATGGGTGCTTGAGTCTGCAGCTGTGGTGGGGCAGCTGCCACTGTTCCTGAGTAGGTGGGGCTCCTTATAATTCCACTTGGATGTGAGTGTGGTTTCTGCCTTTTCTCTGTTTCCACCAGTTTCACAGAGTGTACAGCTCTGGCTTCACCTCCCTCATTGCACCTGAAATCTTTGCAGCAGCCTCTCTAAATGGGCTGCTGCTGCCATTACCTGCAGCATCTCTCCCATTTCAGAATGATGCAGAGTTCATCTGAGAGTTCCTACCATTAAATCATGCCTTGGATTTTCATTGAAAAGCCCCAGTGTGCAGATCTACATCAATATTATCATATTAACAGACAGCACTTTGGAGATTCCAAAGGTTTTAGGAGTTTTATAGCAGAAAGCAGACAAACATCAAACATGCTTTACAAACTTACAGCTACTAAAAAGAAAACCCCAGGACTAGAGTTTCAAATTTTGAATTCTAAGCATTAAAACAATGTACTCCTTTATTAAAAACATTTATTTTAAAAGAAGAAAGTACAAATTGAACATGGCTAACACAAAAATTTCAAATGTACTCTAATGTGAACTTTGATAGATTCCATGACAAAAGTAAAAAACTGCACAGAAAAGCCCTTAACACAAATGTTGTTTAATCTACAAAATATACAAAATTACCTTCATGAAAGTGTGAGAGAAAAAAGAAGTGAGGAAGCTAGAAGCAGTTTTTGGAAAAACTCTTTTACACAGGGGAACAGCCTGAAAACATAGGATGCAGACACTGATAAAAAAAAAATTTAAGATGATGATAGCCTTAAGATATATCCACAACTGCACTAATAAGGCAACAAGGCAGAATATAGAAATGACTTTGTCATTTTTGCCTAAAACATATTCATGGCTGTAAAGATAAAGGAATGAGGCCAAAAGAATAAATGCCTTTGCCATTCATATAATCAGCAGACTTCAAGAAAATACACACTCCTCCATTTGTGGGCATGACACACGGTAGGCTCCAGTGGGTTCTGATGTAATTTTTTCTCTATTTTGGACATATGAGCCAAGCATTTATGAATTATCTCTTCAGCTTCTGCTTTTCCTCAGCCCAATGTTCCAGACAAAGCTTTTACTTTAGCCTCTCATTTTTCCCAGACCAGGTACTGAAACTAGCTAAGTAGTGCTTTCTTCAAGACAGCTCAGAGACACCTCAGAAAATTTTGTTCTTTACAGTTCATAGAAAGCCCTGACCAAGCTTTACAGTTGGAAACTCTCTCAAATCCCTTCTTCACTGTCAGGAGTTTTCTTCTTTTGCTTGTTAACCTTTTGTTCCTAATTGAACTTTGCATCATGCAGACTCCTTAATTATTGTGGCCACGAGACATTACTTCAGCCTGTGATTGGTCCCAAGCCAAGGTCTCAGGCTGAGTTGTCACTTCCTTTTTTGTCCAGGGCCAAGTTCCAAGGCTGAGCTTAGTAGCTTCTATAAATCATAACTTCAGTTCCAGATGAATCCAAGAAAAATGTTCAGGGCCAAGCCAAATAACACTTACTCTAAGACCACTAAGCACATTATTTTACTTCCCTGCCTTTAGAAACCATAAATCCCAATCTCATAGTAGGTAAACCATTTGCATTCCACCTCCACTGTGAAGAGCTTTTTTACTTTCACTTATCAAAATTTTGCTTCAAATTGTTTGCATCCATTCTCCTTAATTTTCTTGGCCATGGGACAAATAGCTCTGTGTGATACCTCACAATTAGAGACTTTTATATTGTGGTGTATGAGTGAGACTGAAATGATTGAAGTATTGGAATTGAGCTCTGGGATGCATTAGCCTTGAAACACTGTAATACACAGACTTGGGGGCAGTCAACCATGTACTGGTCACCAGTACAGGTTGGAAAGGGTCAAGGTAGCTTCATGCAGCCTAGAAACCTGAGGGACACCATCAATCAGCCATACTTATGCAATTTGGAAATTCGAAAGAAGAGAGAAAGAATCAAGGACACTACTTAACAAAATAGGCATAAAGAAGGTAACAATTTAAGACAATAAATAAGCACCCAAGAATCTCAACAAACTCCAAGTAATAGAAACTCAACAAACAAACTCAAACTTACCTGATAATTGAACTGTCTAAAACAAATACAAAGAGAATCTTGAGGATTTTCAAGGGAAGCAAGGGAAGTGGCTAGTCATGTAAAAGGGACCCTCAAAAATAACCAGTGAATTTCTTATCTGAATAACCACTGAATAACTGGTGGATTTCTTATCTGACAACTAAGATGACAGAAAGCAGTAGACTAATATATTCCAAGTGATATCAGAAAAAACTGTCAAACCTAAAACTTATGGTCCAATAAATTGTCCATCAAATGTGTGGGACAAATTATAACACTCCCAGATAAAAGCTGGCACCCTTAACCAGTAAGCTACACTTCAAGAAAACACTCATATATTTAATAAAAAAAAAACTACCATTATTGGGGGAACCACCACTGATAATTCAATGTAATTTATTTTCTATTTTCCCTAAATGTCAGCCAGTATGAGAAATAAAGGGAAAGAGTACAAAAGAGAGAAATTTTAAAGCAGGGTGTCCAGGGGAGACTTCACATGTCGGCAGGTTCTGTAATGCTCCTCAATCAGCAAAACCAACAAGTTTTTATTAGCGATTTTCAAATGGGAGGGAGTGTAAAAATAGGGTGTGGGTCACAGAGATCACATGCTTCATAAGGCAATAACATATCACAAGGCAAATGGGGGCAGAGCACTAGGGCAAAATTAAAATTGCTAATGAAGTTTTGGGCACATATTGTCATTGAAAACATCTTATCAGGAGACAGGGTTTGAGAGCAGACAACCGTTATGACTAAAACTTGCTAGGCAGGATTTCCTCATCCTAATAGGCCTTCGAGCACTATGGGAGACTGAGGCTTATTTCTTCCCTTATCTGCAACCGTAAAAGACAGACATTCCCAGAGCAGCCATTTCAGAGTCCTTCTTTTAAGAACACATTGTGTTTCTCAGGGCTGTTCCTTGCTGAGAAAAAAAACAAAACAAAACAAAACAAAACAAAACAAAAAACCAACCAAACAAACAAAAAGTGATATTTCTCCTATTCACTTTTGTAAGAAGAGAAACGTGACTCTGTTCTGCCTGTCTCTCAGGCAGTCAGACCTGATGGTTATCTCCCCATTCCCTAAACATTGTTGTTATCCTGTTCTTTTTTCAAGGTGCCTAGATTTCATATTGTTTAAACACAAATGCTTTACAAACAATTTGTGCAGTTAACTCAATCTTCACAGGGTTTTGAGGCAATATAGATCCTCAGCTTAAAAAAGATGATGAGATTAAGAGATTAAAGTAAAGACAGGCATAGGAAATCACAAGAGTATTGATAAGGGAAGTGATAAATGTCCATGAGATCTTCACAATTCATGTTTGCAGGTTGCAGTAAAGACAGGTGTAAGAAATTATAAAAGTATTCATTTGGGGAACTAACAAATGTCCATGAAATCTTCACAATTTATGTTCCTCTGCCATGGCTTCAGCAGGTCCCGCCGCTCAGGGTCCCTGACTTCCTGCAACACTACCACTAATTTGTGTTTTTGACATACAATGCATCAAGGTACAATTTTGAGAACTCAATAACTGAAATAATGGAGTTAAGTTATACAGGAGTAAAGGTTTTGTATGTTACTAAAGGTAAGCTAGTGTAACTTTCAAAATGTTATAACATTCGAATGTTCAATTTAATCATCATAGCAACCACAACTAGTCAAAACAAACAAACAAACACAAAAGAGTAACAGGCAGAAAGAAGGCTTTCTGTATACCAGAGAATAGGGGCTGTGGATTTAGCTACTCTTATCTGAGGCTACTGAGCCAGGTATCATGCTCCATGAGATAAAGCCCAAGCTGTCCTACCAGGGAGAAAGTGTGAAGAGCCTAAGGCACATAGCATAGCTGCTATTTCACACAATTTTCACTGCACCAGTGGCAATGAAGTAGAAGAGGCTCATCCATACTCAGAACCTGGTGAAGGACTGGAGGCAGAAAGAAGTGGCTGTGTAGAGATGCAACTGAAATAAAGCTCACAGCAACTGCTCCAATCCTGTGTCTTTCTTCATGGATTCCCAGGAGTTTGAGGTTGAAACTATTGTTGACAAAAGACAAGGAAAAAATGTGAATATAGAGTATTTGGTTAAGTGGAAAGCTTATGACAAGCAGTATGACACTTGGGAACCAAAGCAGCACCTCATGAACTGTGAAAAATGTATGATTTTAACAGACGACAGACTGAAAAACAGAAAAAAAAATACATGGACCAGAGCAAGTAGAACTTTTTCAAACCATACTAGAGGAACTTCCAGATCTACCAACCCCAAGTTTTCTAAGAACTCTCCTAACATGCTAGTGACTGGCAAACACCACAAATCCAAAAACAGCCAGTTATTTGCTGCCAGCAAGAATGTTAGGAGAAAGGCAGCTTCACTTCTCTTTGACACAAGAATATGGAGCCAGTAAACTCAACTATGAAGACATTTGCACCTCACAGTCCCTTTAACAAGAAAACTGTGAGTGGCTTTCAGGAGCTTGAGAAACTGGACCCCTTTATGGTAGATCTGCAGGACACAGTGGTCTTCAAGGGGATAGAAGGGAAGCCCATCAGGACTTTATCAGGTTCTGGTGCAGAACAGGTTGGAATAGAGAACAGGACCCAGATACACCTGCTAATGTCTCAGATGTCTGGCTCACTTACTGCTTCCTTGGCCACAGGCTCAGCTACCAAAAAAAGGTATAGTGACATTAACAGACCCATTAGCAGCCAATAGAACAACAGACATGCATACATCAGTTCCAAGAGGGAAATGAGGGCAAATAAATGTCACTGATGATGGCAGAGACCAGCCTTTTATCAAGAAGATGTACTTCACTATAAGGCTAACAGAAAATTCCAGCACATACAGACACATTCTCGTGAAGAAAGAGGATGGATTCACCCAAATATCGCTATCAACTCAATCGACAGAAAAATATGCAGTGAATACAGAAGTACTTAAAGAAATGGTTAATGCTCTGAATAGGGATGTTGTGGATGACAGCAAGCTTGTGCTGTTCTGTGCAGCTGGAAATGTCTTTTGCTATGGTCTTGATTTTGGGTACTTTGTGAAGCACTTAAGGAATGACAGAGAGCAAGCCTTGAGATTGTGGACACCATCAAGAACTTTGTGAATACTTTTATTCAATTTAAAAAGCCTATTGTTGTATCAGTCAATGGCCCTGTCACTGGACTAGGTGAATCCATACTGCCTCTTCGTGATCTCGTGTGGGCTAATGAAAAGTCTTGGTTCCAAACCTCTTATGCAGCTTTTGGACACAGTCCAGATGGCTGTTCTACTGTTACATTTTCAAAAATGATGGGTGAAGCATCTGCCAATGAAATATTAATGCTGGGCAAAAGCTGACAGCATGGGAGGCATGTGCCAAACGCCTGGTCTCTCAAGCGTTTTTGACTGCAACTTTCACCCAAGGGGTTGTGATTCAAATTAAGGAGCTTGCCTCATGTAATCAAGATGCACTGGAAGAATGTATGGCTCTTGTTCACTGTAATATTAAGATGGAGTTGGAGGTGCTGAGGAAGATATGGGGTCAGCACAAGGGATAGAATCCATGTTGAAGTGGCCGGTCACGGTGACTCACGCCTGTAATCCCTGCACTTTGGGAGGCCAAGGTGGGTGGATCATGAGGTCAGGAGATCGAGACCATCCTGGCTAACATGGTGAAACCCGGTCTCTACAAAAAATATGCAAAAAAATTAGCCAGGTGTGGTAATGGGAGCCTGTACTCCCTGCTACTTGGGAGGCTGAGGCAGGAGAATGGCATGAACGCAGGAGGCAGAGCTTGCAGTGAGCCAAAATCGCACCACTGCACTAAAAAAAAAAAAAAAAAAGGAATCCTTGTTTAAGTATGTGTAGAATAAAACTGATGAGATTTAGTTGTCAGTCTGTCTGCTCAGGACACAAGAACTAAGCTGAAACAAATGCATAAGGATTTGCTGTCTTCATTGCCCAAAACAATTTCAATCACAGCTAAGGCTTGGAAAGAGAATTGGAAAGATCCAAGCTATGTATTTAAATTATCAAGGCATTTTTAAGCACTGCAACATTAAATGAGTAATAAAACAGCTTATTTGCCCAAATGTGATTATTTTATGCACATATAAGACCAAATACAAAAGCAGACTGATGGGTACTAGACTGCCCTAATTTGTGTCTATGGCTACTACTATATATATAACCAGAATTGTGTTTTATTAGATGTGGATGACAGATAATTCTGTAATAGTGTTTATTTTTCTCATTTTTATATCCTAGAATACAGAGTCTACTGGGGTATGAGGCAGCCTCAGCTTCCCTACCACAAAGAAAGGCACAGAACTATCAGAGATGGTGCCTTTGACTTTATAGTGGCACAAATACTTCAGAGACACAAAATTATAAATTAAAAATCTTATCTTTTAGAATAAATATTTCTGACACAAAATTCACTGATCATTCTCCTAAACTGAACATATGATTCAAATTTTTGTTGAGATATCACTTGATTTTCTTTTCTATTATAAATGTCTAATTGTTACCCAGTTGACAAAAGAATATTTATCTGTCTAAAGTAAAACTTGTTGCACCCTATTAGTGAATTATGGAATCATTTTTGTGGAAATATCCAAGTTCTAAACTTTATAATGTACAGATTTAGTTTTAGGTTAACTTGGAGTATGTTCTAGTTAATAAGTTAAAATTATGGACACATTACTAAAGGCAGAAACTTCCTTCAAAACAAATAAAAGCCCCCTACACTCTGTATGAAATTTGAAATTATCATTGTCTGTTGTTATGTGCACACAATTTTCTAGAACATTGTATGTGTTCAGCTACCCAGAAGCTCTCTGAATCCTGTTCTGTACGTTTTTATGGAGGCTCCATTGCATAGGCATAATTGAACAATCCAGTGGCCACTGGTGAGGAATTTCACCTTTGGCTCAGGAACTCTAGGGTGTCACTTCGACAGCCAAGAATCTCTGTGGATGATGGCACCTTTGCGCAAGTTTCTCTTGAGCCTGCTTTCTAATTGTGCAAACCCATCTTGCAGGCTGCACTCAGCTCAAACTATGGGCTTAGGTTTCATTTCACTATGGATGCGCCAGGCACAGAATGGAGGCAGATGTATGAGTAAGTGATGGTTGAGCCCATCCACTTCACACAGCTAGGCATATTATCTGGTATCAGACAAGCAGGTCAGGTGCTGGTACAGGTGACAGCTCCCTGCAAATTTTTAGGTGAATCAGCCATACCACAAGCTTTCTTTTCTGCAGGCACTGAAGAAGGCAGTGGAATCCAGATACATAGAAATGACAGAAACTGCAGAGATCCAAAGGTGTTGTCACAGCCCTGGCTTGGGAAAGGTTTGGATCTGGGCCCTTTTAAGGGCCAAAGCCCTGCTTTCTTTTTTCTTTCTTTCTTTATTTTTTTTAACTTATCTATGGAATCACTAGGGCTCAAATTAAGGCTTTCAAAGGGCTCTCTGTCTTGCTACTGGAAATTAGGATCTTATCTTTTCTTCACTCAGTCTCTCTTTCACTGCTTTGCATTTATTATGACATGCTATAGAACAAATGCTGTTTGCCACAGCATCTTTCTGTTGCCTGCAGGGCTGTCTATTTCACAGAAGCAGTAAGATTTTGGCTTAGGAATAACATAACATCTTCCTATGGAGGATGAGATAAAAAAGCTAGATATTAGAAAGTCTCTCTATATAAACTGAGGTATCAGAAAACTTCCCCACATCTTAATTTATTTGTTTAAGGTACTGTAATGAAAAAGAAACTTGCACTTTACAGACAACTCATTCATTGGGCATTTCCTATAGGGGTAGTAATGGACTTGGAGGGTTGGATGTTAAAATTGGAAGATCTGATGATGATGTGACTAAAAGGTTCTCTAGATCAAGAATATGAGAAAAAGTGGGGCAACAAAATTTGCTTTTGAGAGTTTCCAGGGTGAATGTTTCTCCGATGTTTGGTAGCTGCTTACTGTGGGCTTTTCTGATATAACTGCTAAGAAGGCATGAACAATTTTACAATAGTTACAAAGATTTGGGTTGCTTCACAGGGCAAAAATGCTTTGCACATAGGCAACTTCAAACAATTTGCCTTCCCACCCTCAGAAACTATCTAGGTCTTCAATAATATTGAGAATGAAAAGCTACATAATTATCGATTACTGGTAAAATTTTGACAAGCAGAGAAACAGCCTGAAAAATCAGGCTGCAGACACAAATTGAAGAATCCTGCACAATCCTGTGGCCCATGCAAATAAATAAAATATCCAACTTTGTGTGTGTGGGGGCTTAAGACATGCACACAGTTACTCAGATTAAAAAAACAAACAAAAAAAAAAACATGATCCTACATTAAAATGCTGTTTTTTGTATAACCAGAGGGCTTCCAGGAATTACTCTCTCTCTCTCTCTTTTTCTGGACATGTACACATTGGCCTCTAGTGTGTTACAAAGGGTACCTTACATTAGTAAACATGCTTTAGACTCTGAGCCAAGTTTCTTTAAATTATCAATTGAACCTCCGGTCCTACGCCAATGTCCCAGCCATGCTTTCACTTTACCTCTTGTGTGGCTCAGGGCCAAGTTCCTGACCCACGCTGATTCATTACTTCAGCTATTAATAGTTCCAGGCTCAAGGTCCCAGAAAAGAAGAGTAGTGCTTTCTTCAAGACTAGTTAGTGCATTTTCTTTCTTCCATAAAGATATCAGACTCTCCATCAAAGTGGGCAACTAAATCTACTCCTCCAGAAGTTAATGTATTAAACATTTCCTATAATCTCACCTTTTGCATTCATAATTTTTAATTTTCTTGGGGTTAAAAAAATTCTGTGTGACACCTCAAAATGAGAGAATGATACATTGTGGTGCATTAGGGGACTGCAAGGTTTGTTTTTGGTTCATGGACCTGGAAAGGGCTTAATTAAAAAAGTCAGTAGGGGATGGGCATGTGGACTCATGCCTGTAATCCCAGAACTTTGGGAGATCAAGGTGGGCAAATTAAGATTAGGTCAAGATCCAGATCATCCTTTCTAACATGGTGAAAACCCCTGTCTACTAATAATACAAAAAATTAGCCAGGTGTGGTGGTGGGCAACTGCAGTCCAAGATACTCTGTAGGCTAAGGCAAGAGAATGGCATAAACCCAGGAGGCAGAGCTTGCAGTTAGCCAAGATCACACCACTGCACACCAGCCTAAGTGACAGAGTGAGACTCTGTCAAAAAAAAATAAAATTAAATTAAAGTCAGTAGGAGTGCACTTCCAAACTATTTACATTCATATCTGCAGCTTGTCCTCATTTTTTTTTATTTTTAATTTTTGAAGAGCAAGAAAATTCTGGGCCAGTGTCAGGTAAAATCTGATATACTGCCTGCCATTCTTACAAAGCTTAGGAGAAAGCGATGCCGGGAGACACATTGGCAGTCTCCTTTCACCCTCCGCTGTTGAAAATATTGCCTCTTTTCTAACTGTTTTCTTTCACAGAGGATTTAAGTGTCACATGGGACTGAGAGGATATCTAAGGTAGCTGAAGATTTCTGGTTAAGACTGCACTATGGTGTTATGTGAAGTCCCAAAAGTAACTCCAGTTTCTGACAACCCATCAAAGTGGTGCCATTAAAACTCCAGACTTTTCTGTTGCATTTTTTTTTTGTCATTGTGTGGCTAGTGTGTCTCCTATTTCTTCTTTGTATGCAATATTGTGACCTGGAGATATAATCTTACTGGGAAAAGTAAGTGGATGTCATAGTAATTAGAAATGTAATTCAAACACTTGCAAAACAAGAAGAATCCAAAATTGTAGTTTAAAAATTTTTATTTGGTAAGAGTCTTTTTGTTCCCTGACGATAGATATTCATGCACTGTATGGAATGGCAAACATTTAAATAAAATTTCTCTTTTTGGATGCTTATTTGTCTTTAAAAAGCTCAGCACTGCCATATATATCTAAACAGTTTCTTTTTGAGACACATGATTTTTTCTGCACAGACATACTGTGGGACAGGTGATAGAGTGTTAACTTTCTTTTTCTAACTTTTGACTATATAAACCTAGGATTCATCACTTTCATGTGACGTTTTAGATCTTAAAATGCCACCTACTGAGATGAGATTTTTCTCTGTGGGAAGCCTTGTCAGTACTTTGCACAAAACTTTTGGTTTTTTAACTCCTCCCTTTCCTGTGTCTTTCTAACAGTAATAAGACTCTCTGCCCTATCTGAAAACAGAAAATTTCCACTTTCACTAATCGGAAAGAAGGTGCCTTTTAGAGACATATTCTAGCTAAGTGCTGTCTTATGAAAGCCAGCCATGCTAGCTTTACATGTTTTGAGTCACACATTCTTCTTCCAGCAGCACTGACGTTTAAACTAAAAGAGAATTTTATGTTTCAAAGTCAGTTGATCTTATTTCCTGGAATTTCAATGTTTTTCTAGGGCCATATCAAAAGAAGCCAGAAATAGTACTAAAAGTCTTACTCTATATAATGGTCTTGCTCGAATCCAATAACTATATAATCTTTTTTTAGGTTCCCAAGTTACTTTGAGAATCTTCTGGGTTGAATAGGCTTAGGAAACCAACAAAGAGTCACCAGTGGAGAGCTAAAGCCCCGCAGGTAAACATTACTTGTCCTGCTGTCTAGCTTCTCTGGAACTGTGGGTGAAGGTTTGGCTTGCCTCCATGGGGGACACCTATGTCAGTCACCAGACTCAGGAAAGACAAGACGAACACAAAAACAAGGAACATCCTATCTATCTTTTTATTCAGTGAGAGCTACTTCAAAAGGGGGAAAAGGAGTATGGGATGCTTTCTCTATATATTTCTTTAGAAAGTTCACAAACAATCTGCAATGTGCAACTCTCTAGATTACATTTTGAAATACAGACATTTAATTGACTATGAGACTCTGAAAAAGAAAGTGGCTTATGTATTTCTTTGTTTATTTATTGCTGAAGGGCACGACAATCTTACCAGCTCCAGGACAGACAGGCCTAGCTTTCTGAAGGAAGTGTTCATTTTAGTACTATTCAACAGTTACATCTTTTCTTCAGATGGCAAAGAAAAGAGTTTGATTTTTTATTTTTTTTGTACATGCTTACTTCTACTTGGGAGAATCCACATCTTTAAGAGCATTGTAAAACTGACTCTGCCCTCTTGGCAGTCATATCAGGCAAGTTTCAAGGAGATAATTCATTAAAGTCAGAGACCAACCCATGAGGAACACTCAAATGTAACTTCCAAATACCCTAACTGCAACCCTTATTTAGAACCTCCAATAGCAATTTTATCAGCTTGTCTTATTTTTGCCACTAAAGAAACCCCCAACTTCACTGTTGCCCCTGCAGGAAATACTCCATAGAAGTGATACTAGTAGAGTACAAGTTTTCTACTCATTTCAGGGACTTAGAAAAATAATGGAAAACCTAAGCAAGTATCTCTGATGAACCTGATTGATATACAGAGGCATTTCAAAATCTAACTCAAGTGTTTAATCATAACTGAAGAGATGACACATTATTCCTAAACTAAACCATAACCATTGCCCTAAAGCAGACGTTTTTACAGAGAGTAGAATTATCCATGGATGAACCACATGTCTTTTATAAAATCTTGAAAAATGGAGGGTGTAAAGGAAAAAAAAATGTTGAACCGGTAACAGAATACTTATAAAACTCCTCTATTGTTTATTGTTTATATATATATACACTCCTGTATATATATATATATATATATATATATATATATATATATATACACTCCTGTATATATATATATATATATACACTCTTGTATATATATATATTCCTGTACATATATATGTATACTCTTGTATATATATATACTCCTGTATATACATATATATACACTCCTGTATATACATATATATACACTCCTGTATATACATATATATATACACTCCTGTATATATATATGTATACTCCTGTGTATATATATGTATATTCCTGTATATATATACTCCTGTATATATATATACTCCTGTATATATATGTACCCTGTATGTATATATATACTCCTGTATATATATGTACTCCTGTATATATATATACTCCTGTATATATATATACTCTTCTGTATATATATATACTCCTGTATATATATATATACTCCTGTATATATATATATATATATTCCTGTATATATGTATATATATATTCCTGTGTGTGTGTGTGTATATATATATATATATATAGAGAGAGAGAGAGAGAGAGAGAGAGAGAACATACATGAAGGCTTATGAAGAAACAGAACAAAACTTCTTAATTACTCTAAACTACTCATAATATGTTGAAACTACATAAAAATTACTTAGTCTTTTTTAACATCCCGAGAGATGCTTTAGTGAAACACATTTTTCTATCTCCCTATTGAGTTAAGAGAGAGTTAATCTTTAGAGAAAACTTTATTACTCAAGCAGACCCTGACATCAAAAGAAAGCTGCAAATCATGTCATAGGTTCAGATAATATTGTGGTTTTAGCAATGCATCAAGATATAACAGCCTTTCTTTCATTTGAGATAACACCATGAGTCTTTTATTTTACATTTAAAATTAATGACTGTAAACACGGGAAAATGTTGGGAGCAAAAGTTTAAATAAGTGGCAAAATAAGCTGTCAGCAGAGCTATAAGCTTGAATAAGTCATCCACTGGAGTGTAAGGTTTTTATGGCCTAAAAAATAAAGATATATGCTTAGTTTGCAAGTTGTCTTGGAGAATGTGTGACTTAGCTTTGCCCAGGCCCAGGACTTGTTAGCTTAGCCCAGGAACTCTGCCTGGGAGCTGTCTGAAGGAATAATTTGTAATCACTGCTTAGCTTGGCCCAGGACCTATCATGAGCTAAAGTAAGAACTTGTCCTGGGATGCTGGCTCAGGACCAATCAGGGACAGAAGTGATGATTCACATGGGTTGAGTAAACAGTCAAAAACAAAAAGAAAGAATCCAGCTGGTACCCACTAGATCCCACTGGATTTATGTCCACAGGAAAAAAAAAGAAACTTTATTTTTTGGAAGCTCTCTGAGTATACAGAGAACAGCATTTCTATGCCAGGCATTGTTTCCCCATCTGAGTGAGTCAGAGTTTTGTAAAAGCTTTTATCTGAATGGATGGCAGGTTCTATTATCTGTGTCACTGCAGCCATGTTATCAGGCATAACCTTCTGTGTTAGATCTCTTACTGGTGCCCACACCTTTTTTTTTTTTTTGGTCTGATTATAATGTTATATTGGAATCAGGCCCTTACCTATGGACTTGGGTCTTCCAGGGACCTTTTCCTTGCTCTTTACACAGGGAAAGCTAGCTAAGTTGTCTTTGTACTCCCACAGAAATGAAAACTTTAACTGCTCTTAGGAAATTGGGCATTGGTCTTTCCGGCTACTTGTTACTGGAGAAGAGTGTCATGTAGAAAACAATAGGTAGGATTCCACTGAGAGTTGGTTTAGGTATTTGTAGAAGAAAGGCATGCTAATGCATGGTTTTATTTGCATTACATATTAAAGCATGATAGACTTTAGGCAATAAAAAGATAGTTTGGATTATTAGAAAACACATCACAACTAGACAAGGAGAGTGAGAATACCTTAAATACCTCAAGGCTGCTGACGTGCTCAGATAACAGGCTGCTTTATTTATCCGTGTTAAGATTTGATTACATGAGACTTGGGTTTACTTACCTTTCTTGACTTTATTTTCCAAAATGAAAATACTGTGTTACAGGTACCCTATTTTTTAATTACCTGAAAATATTTGTGGAATGCTTTCATGCTTGCACAAAATTAGAATATTGTTATAGATTTATCTATTACTCATATTTTTTCTGTTTTCCAAGAACTGTAGCTGGACATCACCAGTTGGCTCAAAGAAACAAAAAGATTCATTAAAATTGAAAGATGAGATGAGAAGTTAGTGACAGAGGTGTAGTAGACTGTGAAACATATATATTTCTTATAGTCCTGATTTTTGTTAAAAATAAATCACGATAAAAGAAAGTTGTTTGCAAAACAGACTTGTCTACACTTAGCCAGACTATTTTTGTATAGTGCTGCAAGAAATAATTTTACATGTGCTTTCCTCATTGGCTTTTTATGAAACTCTATCTTACAGGGAATCTTAAATGAGACATTATAAAACTGAGCCCGGCCGTAGGTTTGTACCCTTAGATACATATCACCTGGGTAAGCTCCTCTATTTTGTGAGGCTCCAAGTGCATGAAGTTCCTGGGCCTGAAACAAAGTGGCAGTTTTGTTTGTTTGTTTGTTTGTTTTTACTTACAAAGTGGTTAGAAAACCTGTATTGGGATTGTGTAAACAAAGTATATGGCCAGTTTTCCCAAGGGGCTTTTATTGTTTCTAGAGGTCAAATTTAATTCATTTAAGAAGACACACTCTTCCAGTCAAACCCTGAGAAAATCAACCAGCTTTTTCTATTGGGTTATGCTGCAAATGAAAATACATTTTTTGTTGCACCGATTCAAACAATTATATTGTTGTAAGTTAAGAATAATCACACATAGTTTCCAAATTTTAGAGGAACCAGGCACAGAGGGAAAAAAAGTATTTTCCAAGTTTTATTAACAACAGTCTATCAATGACAGTGTTAAAAACTGTAGCTAGTTTAAAAGAAAGTGTTCCTGACTTTAAAACAAAAAACAAGAGTCAGAAATATTCCAAACAAAAGGTAAAGTGATTGCTTCATTATTCTGCCGCTTTAGTCTATTTTAACATTTGTCCTGCTTGACATTTATAAACATTTTAGCTATTCCTAAATTCTGTGCATTTTTCTGTTGTAAAAAACCTGCAGTTGAGACGACCTGGAAAACTTCTAGAGCTAATTATAAACCCTTATTCTTGAGGGAGATTAAATGTTTATAAATGACAACATATCTAGGGTGGTTAGAAACAGAATAGACAAAGACACTTGGTTATGTCTGTGGTTTACAAGAGCTTAACATAATAATTTTAATTAAAATTGATAGCACATATTCAGAGATTAAGAACATTAAGAACACTATATGGTTTTGATACTTGTGTTAATATGACTCACTGAAATATATTCTGAAAAAAATAAAATATTACCATCAAAATTACATGTATTTAAGTATGTTTTATAAATATGTTTAACTTTTTCTTTTATGCCCAGGGGCCCTCTGAAGCACCCAAAATATAGGTTTCGGAAGATTCATCCTTGAAATTAAAATTTTATGCCTGGAAGCCTGCCAAACATTTTAGAGGATTAAGACACTTAAGATTATGAAATACAATTCCAGATTTCCATAAGTCATTTGTTTTGCCAAAATACAAAAGGTAGAAATGTTTGAAAGGGCAGAAATGTTTTATCAGCCTTCACTATTATGTAATAATCTCTTTCAGAAAGACAAATTTTACCCTTGAATTAATCTCCTCCTAATATTAACCCTAAATTTAATGAAACCTTATGTAAAATTATGTTTAACCTTAGAAAGTTTGACCATGAAGTGAGATTTTCACAAGGTTACTACAACATTTTAATAACCTTTTACAAATTTGCTAAAGAAAGATTAGTGTTTCAAGAAATTTTTGTTGTGCTTTCATTTCAATGCTTAACTGAAGAAATAAACATAATACACTTATGAATCTAGTTACTAGGTTACAGAGGTTTTTTTGGCAATATCGAATTTTTGACAGTTATTTTTCACAGCTTGTGTAAACATTTAGATTTACTTTAGTTAATTAAAGAAAATCCTTTAACTCTAGCAAAATGCACATTTCCATGCCTTTCTATAATTTATTTTTACTACAAACACATTTTACTCTTCTACCACACCTGGTGATTAAATTTACATTCCATATTCTCAATTACGCATTATAATAATACCTTTTAACAATTAACTTGAATGTAAGACCTTATGAGTTTATAAAATGATGGGCTGGGTGCAGATAAATCTGATTTGTGACAACATTATTAAGGGAGTGTTTATTTTTATATGTCTTCGGGCCTTAGGTTGTTTTTGTTTTCCATAAGTTAAAATCACGTGAACTGAAAAGTACAAAAGCCTTTATTTTCTTGTTCAGCAAAATATTTACTTCAAGTACTTATTCTTCACTGAGTTAATGAGTCATATTTTTTAAAAAAAATACACATAACACATACATAACAATACAGAGAAACAGAAGTTCCAGGAGCTATAAAATTTTATTTTACCAGTTTTCCAATTGGATTATTGACCTCTGAGGCCCTTTAAGAAGTGCGCTATGAATAGTTTCCAGGGCCTAATAAAAAAGCCTCACTGAGGCTGGGCACGATGGCTCACACCTGTAATCCCAGCACTTTACGAAGCCCAGGTTGGGAGAGCAGAAGGTCAAGAGATTGAGACAAACCTGGCCAACGTGGTTAAACCCCGTCTCTACTAAAAACACAGAAATTAGCTGGGCATGATTGTGTACAATTTTTAGTCTCAGCTACTCGGGAGGCTGAGAGAGGAGAATCACTTGGAAACAGGAGAATCCCTTGATCCCAGGAGGCAGGGGTTGCAATGATACAAGGGTGTACAACTGCACTCCAGCCTGGTGACAGAGTGAGACTCCCAAAAAAAAAAAAAAAAAAAAAAAAAAACACACACACACACAAAGAAAAGAAAAGAAAAGAAAAAGCATAGCTTGCAAAAGAGATAGATAAGAGAGAGATTTTGAGAGGTATTATTCACTTCTAATTCCAAGGCCTACATAAGAAATACAGATTTCTCACAAAAGACAATTTGTGGTAGAGTGGATAAAGGTAATTTAGCTGACAGAGAGAAAAAACTTTTTCAAGAAAACAAGATTTATGAGGAGAAAAACATAAATGTCTTTTGAATATACCTATAGCATAAATCTCCACTTTTAATTAAGCTGATAGCTTTTTAACATTTTTTATTAATTTTACCTTACAGAGAATATAAACAGGGATGTGTATAATTTATTTGACCAGTTTACACCGCTACCTGTTCACAATCATGTTCATCTTCTCAAGTTTCCCCTGGTAGAAAGTCGCTGGGTTCAGGCAAGGACAGGCTTTCAAATGGGCTGCAGCTCTCTTTAGCATCAAAGCCTGACATTTGAGGAGGCGATTGTCAGTTCACAAGAGACTTTTTTAAGGAAACAGCAGTCCTGCTATGCTGTGTGGTGTGCCATCAGGCATGTTATTTTCATAGTGAAACTAATGACTTCTGACACCAACAATGTCACCGATGCAACTGCTGAGAAGTAGGCTGTCCATTTTATTAGAAACCAAGCTAAATTTCTTCCTTAAGTAAACCACTAGTTGTGGAGCTGGACCTCGAGCCTCATCTCAGGTTTCAAGGTCTATTTTCTCTCTTCCTGATACACAGAGATTAATGCCTTTACTATGGAAAAACCTAGGGCTTGTGCTTTAAGTAAGGTTTGTTTAGCTGGTTAAATTTTTGTGAGTACCAGGTTCTTAAGTTAAGCAGTGAGTTTTATCTGCTTTAGTTTCTACTATGACATGGTATAAAAGATTAGCTACTTCTCTGTACCGAAGTACCTGCCATCTGAAAAATCAGGTAATGCCCAAGAATCTTCTTAACTGTCAAAAAAAATGGGATTGATTCCTGACCTTGTGTGTTGGTCTCTTCTAATAAGACTAGACTCAGGTACCATACTGAAGTCTGAAAGAGTTGAGCATTAGATTTTGATAATCAATAGTTTTGTTTTGTTTTGCTTTGTTTTTTAATTTTTGCCAGATAGTTTAGCAGAGCATTAGTGCGTTCCCAGGAAGCCCATCACAATCTTGCTATTGTATTTCACCAGTGCACAAACACTAACAGTCTCTACTTATCTAAGTTAATACTGGATGTTTCTTTTCTATGTTTTAGAAGAATAAGAATCACAGACACATTTTAGAAGACTAAAGAGCACTAAGGTTGAAGAGAAAGTTTAAGAAGCAAAAGAAAACAGCTCAATGACGGCAGTGATGTGGTCAAAATGGGTTAAGCAATATGAAACTTGGGTTCAGCATTTTTGTGTTGTGAGTGGTAAGAAATGGACTTAGTCTGTAGGCTGTCTTAAAAAATGTGTGGCTTAGTTCTGCCTGGGTCCTTAGATCCTAGCCCAATCAGAAAGCTTAGCCTGAGACCTTGGCTCAGTACCTATTAGTTGCAAAAGTCAATATTCATAAAGGCTACTCAGCTTAGCGAACAACTCTTCAGAAGCTGAAGTGAAACCGTGGCCCAGGATTTTGTCCAGAACTAATCTGAGGCTGAAGTAATGATTCAGAGATGTGGGGCTCACAATCCAAGAAGAAACTAAAAGTGTTCCCTGGAAGGCACTTACTCCCACTCTCCCACTCTCTTTATGTTCACAAAATGAAAAGAAACATTTCTGGAAGCCCACTGATTATAAAATGGACAAAGCTATTTCTATTGCAGGCCTTGTCTTCCCATTTGAGTAAGCTTGAAGTTTCCAGAAGTTTCTGAGTGAGCTGGAGGTTCTTCTATCTGTGCAGCTGTGGGCATGTCTTCAGACACAACTCTCTGTTCTAGTTCATGTATTGGTGCCTTCAGCTGGAATGTTTTTTTCTAGGCTGCTTTTTATCTTATGTGGAAATGAGGCAGTGACCAGTGGGCTCAGAAGTTTCTGGAGATACTTGTCTTTCTGTCTGTATAAGGCAAGCTAGCTAACACACTTCACTATTGGAGGAGATCCCTGGATTGGAGAGAAGAAGAGAGAAACAGGCTCTAGAATTTAGAAAAATGTTGTTCTTTTTGTTGTTGTTGTTGTTTAATTTCCATTTTGCCTCAAGAATTACTTGAATCCTCTAGATCACAGTGACAGGTAGAGCTTGGTATCAATTATTCCTGCTGAACAATGTGGGATACACATGCTGGACATGGTGACCTATGTCTCTGGGGACATTTCTTCTTTCACTCATCTCCCTCACAGGCTGAACATTAGGGTATATTCTTTTACCGCCTGGGCAATTCCTTTTAAAGTGTCCTGGCTTGTCACACTAGTAGAAATCAGCAGGTGTATGTTGGGGATTCTAGATCTTGTAGGCCTGTGAAATGGTGAGTAATGCCTTTTTCAATCTCTTGTGTCTCCTCTCTACTTACTAGGTCTCCTCTTTCCAGTTCTTGTTTTAAAAGATCAGGAAGCCACTCCAGGAAGTTTTCCAAAGTGCTATCTGATCCCAAAGCTTACTTCTGTAGTTTTTTTTTTCTGATATTAGAAGATGGCTGAGAAATAAACTAGTATTTTAACATTGTCTAACTCCTGATTGAATTAGGACATAGAGAGATATGTTTTGCTAAAGCTTCTCTCAGCCTTTCCAAAGAAGCTGAGAGATATTTTTCTGGTTTGTGGTTCAACAAGGGCAGTTTAGAGTAATTAACAGGTTTTATTCTGGTTCTTTGGAAGTCTGTTAATATGCACAGTAGAAAGTGTTCTTTTTTCCATTCAGCTATGTGTTTACTAAGGCTTCAATTAGGATTGTAAAACAGCAGTATTTTTATTTCTGTTGGAAATAGTAATTCTGTCTTTTTTCACTCATTTTCATCTTCCAAATGTGTCTATTTTTGATTGACTATGGGATGTCAGTTGTTCATCTTCAAATTCCTTTGTTGCCTATAATGCTGCCTGTAGTGCTGCCTGTTTTTCAGCAGTAGTTAAAATGTGGCTTAATAGTTGCACTGCATTTCTGCAGATAAGATGAAAAATGTGGTTTAAATTTTGGAAAGCCTGTGTAGGTCTATCAGGGAACTGCCCTAAGTCTGGCTTTATGTGTACATTTACTGCAGTGAGAAGGAAATTTAAACCTTAGTAGCACCATGTTCATTGTGCGTTTGTTATATTGGCAACAGTAAAGTTGAAGGTTTCCTGGGAATGCACAACCATAGGGGTTATTATATGGCTATTCTGAGTCTCAGATAAAGGAGGCAGATTGGGCACTCAGAAAATGCATTTGGCCGTTCTCTAGAGATTTGACTCTTTAACTTTGGTAGACTCACCTTGCATGGTTCCCAAAGTGGCAGGTGAAATTTTACAATGTTTACAAAATCTTGGTTTTTTGGAGAGCAAAAAGACCTAGTTGTTAGATATTACTGAAATTATGCTTCTTTGGGAAGGCCAGGTCTTCTATCAGGAATATGGCCATCTTGTTGTCAATTGAATATTATTATTATTGTTTTTAAATTTAGAGACTCAGGGTCAATGGAGTCACAGTGCTTCCAAGTGCATTCAAGGGGAGTGCAGTCTACAGTTGCTTTGTTGCCATCTAGGAACAGAGAGGAAATAAGGCATCACTCAGATGCCTTCCTCCTTTTGTTGTTACCCAGAATAAATAGAAAGAGTTAAGGTATACTTTTTCATCTTTTTCCTCTGTCTCATTGGTGTCCCCAAATGGTCATAGGTGCTGCCCATAAATGGAAGTATAGCCTTTACTCATAAATCTGGAGGAGCTAGTCAGCAGCACTAGTGACACTCACCTGTGCAAATCCCTACTTTTCTGCCCTGCTTTTGCCCGAGACCCACTGAGCCCCAAAGGCTTGCAATTCACCCCAGAGGCCTTGGAGATGTTACATAGTAGTAAAATTTGTTCAAACCATTTTAATAGAGGAAGTGTCTTCCTACTAACTTTGGTTTTTCTAACTATGTTCTCAGTGAAACATCAGAATCTCAGAGAATGAGACAGACTGACTTTCAAGCATTTTAAATCCAAAATTAGTGCAGCATAGAAAAGGTGGCTCAAAGCTGTAGAAATGGAATGGCTGAATGGTCCTTCATGGGGAAAGCAAAGAAGCTAAAATATGTCCTGTAACATTGTCTTTCTCCTTTAATAGCGGAGTCTGCCTGTTTACAGATAGGACATGGGGCCTAACCAATGAGAGTGGAATGTAAATGGGAAAATAATTTGAAAAATCTAAGTTTTGGACAATGAATTGCCAAGGCTCCAGGTAGAAAAGAAATTTCATTTCACTAGGTGGTGATGTAAGGTTAGAAATGCTAGCTTAAGAATTCTGACTCAAAATTATTTTTATTCATAAGTTAGAAAGACAGATTTGGGTTTTGATATATTGTTTCCACCGCATGTCTCTCAACAGGCATAAATGAACTTGTCTCATGATGGAACTTTTATGTGGAGGAAAATAATATATTTGTAAAAATTCCTAATAAAGGAAAAGGTAATTACTTGGGGTCAAATCCTTCCCATACAGTGCCATGAATGTCTATTATTGAGGGACAAAAAGGCTTTTATAGGTAAAAATTTATACTGAAATCTTGAGTTCCACTTGTTTCAGGGAAATCACAAAAATAAACCTTTTTAAATTACATTCATAATTACTAACACACCAAGTGAGTGTATTAAGCAAGTCTGTATACACCTAGTCTGCAAAAGTACCTACAGCATTGCATACAATATGAAAGGCATTATAGCTGTGAAAATCAAAATTATAAATTCAATAGATAAAAATGGGAAATCCTTGAGCCAAAGGCCTGATGAGCCGTCACAGACCAGAATTAGTCTCAAGGCAATCAGGTAACACTGTGATGTAGCCTCAAGCTGAAACTTCAGTTTCCTTAGGATCTCCTTTAAATCTCATGTAATTGCCAGGCTCTTTATGAGAAAAAAATATTCTTGAAACAAAGAAGACATTTTTGAAATGAATACGAAAGTTTAAATTCTATTTTTAACCCTCTGAGTTATTTTCTTTTCAGTCCATGCATCAATATATGTTGTAGTCTCACCAATGCAACAAGATGTAAAGGTATCCCTTTGTCTGTGATTATATGCAAAGATCTTGGTCTTAGTTCAAAAAAAAAAAATTAAGAAGCTCAGAAACAAAGTTGAGATTAAAGAAAAAAAAAAGAAAAAAGTGCAAGAAGAAAGCTCTCTGCCAGTGAAAAGAAGGGTGCAAATGTGTTTCCCACTATGAGGTTGAGGTTCAGGGTTATTATGAACTAGCATGAGAAAGAAATGCTTTAAGTCAATGCACTCTTTTGAAGACCATGTGATTCAGCTGGGCCTGGGGTCTCGGCCTGAGAATAATTAGAAAGCTTAACCCAAGAAATTTCCCTAGAAATAATCAGGAGGTGTAGTCATAATTTATAGAAGCTGCTGAGCTCATCCCATGACCTATAAGGAGCTTCCTGGAATCCAAATGATTATACAAAAGGCAAGGATATTTTTGTGCCAGGGCTCATTTTCTTATCACAGTGAGGCCGAGTTTTGTGCAAGACTTTTATCTGAATTGACTTAAGGTTCTTCTGTCTGTGAAGATATGAATCTCAAGATGCAGCCACCTTTATTAGTTGTCTTATTGGTATCTGCAGCCTGATTTTTTTTCGGACTGCTTATGTGTTATGTATAAATGAGACACAAACATGTAGACTGGTGGTTTTCCAGGGACCCTTTCCTTGCTGTCTCCTTAAGTCAAGCTAGCTTTATCATCTCAATAACACCTTAAAGAATGTCCCGGATGTGTCTACTTCAGATTTTACAATAGGAAACATGAGGAGGCATAAAAAAGGAGAGTAAAAACAAGAAAAGAACAGAGAGTCTAGCTAACACAATAGAGTTTTCTAAAAATGCAGGCCCCAGGGTGGCACCTGCTATCTGCTATCAATGTGGTAAAACAGGACACTTTAGCAAGAAATGTGGAGACAACAATAGGAAGCCACCTCAACATTGTCCAACTTACGGTGGTGAGCACTGAAGTGTGTGCTAATTTAAGAGGCATACATCACTAAGCCCAGGACCAGTCTCACAAAGGGTCCAGCAGGACTGACAGTTCCCTGGAGATCAATTCCCCAGCCCTAACAGCTGCCATACTCTTCAGGTTCCATACTCTTCAAAATCCTTGGGTGATTCTGGAGGTGGAAGGGAGGAAAGTAGACTTCCTTCTGGAAACTGGAGCAGGTCTGTTTGTTCTGCTTTCCAATCAAGGCTTTCTCTCGTCCCACAATGTGACAATGATGGATGTGTCAGCAAAGTCCTTTATACAATATTTTCTCAGCCCATTAGTTATGGTTGAAACAGCCTTCTATTTAGTCATATCAATTTAATAATTCCTGAAATTTCCACTTTATTACTAGGTAGAGATATTTTAGCCCATAAAGAAGCATCCATCTGAATGGCTGCATGATAAATTCTTGCTCTCCCCTAAGGGGAAACCAATATTAAATAACAAGCATGGGATGTCGAGAAAAATGTTGCTGGGCTACAAGCACTGTATGCATCCATATTTACCTTAAGGATTTCACTATTTTTTCTAGCCAGAGGCAGTATTTCCCAAAGCCAGAAGGTGGAAAAGGGCTAGAAGTCATTATAAATAAGCTATAAATGAAAGGCATTTTTAGACCCTGCAACAGTCTTTAGAAAACTCCAAATATCAAAGAAGGTCACTTTTTAACATGCTCAGAAATCCCATTTTTTTTTTTTTTGGACCTCAATAGGTGAAAAGTTTACCCAACTCGTAGGTATTTGGAAGTAAAACCCATGGTTGTGCTTGGCTTTAAGAGGTCTTATCAGAAGTTCCTCATTAAAAAAGAGTTTCATCAAAGCCAATGTACAAAGGCTATTTGAGAATAATTATTTGGCCTGCATTTTATACCAATAATTAATTTAACTATTACTTTATGGAGTATTTTGCTATCAACTCAGGCCTATTATATTTGTTTTTTATAGAAATGAACAAGGAAAAGAGAAAAATTTATTTCAAATATTACATTGGCCATTATCTTCTACTCTCATTAGTTGTCTTTAGAATTTGCCTATATTTTATAATATCCCTGTTAATTCCTGTGATCCGCTCAGAAATCTCCTGCTACAGCTAAGTAGAAAACATAAAAAGATTAATATTGTGATGTATGTAATAATACCCTGTTGTAGGCAATTATTCTACAAATTTTGCCAGGTAAAGAGACTATATTGTGGACTCATAATCAAGGGGTGTTTATGTTTGTGGGGTTAAGACTAAGGAAGTTAAGCAAAGCAAAGCCCCATGAACTCACAACTTCTCTGGCGTACCTATAGCCCTCAGTTATCAGGGCATGTCCACAGCCTCAGAATTTTTAAGCTGTTTATTACCTCAGCTAATCTCATTTTAACACAGATATTTTGAGAAACCAAATTTTTTCATCTCATGTAGAGGAAATCAAACTCCAAATGGTACTGCAAATGAAACCACTTATGAAAACACTGTGTTTCTGGAAATATTATCCTGACCTCAGGTGGAGTTCCAGCTGTTGTATTTTGTTGTACAAACCCCCTCCCTAAGAGTAAGTAGCTGGAAAGATCAATTCTCCCTAACAGCAGTTAGTTAGGTATTCAGGGTGGGCCTCTCCCTAACAGTAGAGAATAGTTAGGTAGTTAGAAGGGGACCTTGGTATAACTTCTAGAAACAAAGATCCAGCTTGCAAAAAAGATCCTACAGACACATATTAGTAAACTTACACAAACCTTCAGCCCACTGATATGAAGAAACGCAGGCCGACATAGACATATCTTTGTTCTTTGTGCACAAAGATATGCTCACAAAGAAACTAACTGAAAAACAACAACATTGAAACACCCTTTTCTTTTGTATAAGCAATGGACTATCAAATATAGTCACTATTTTTTCAGCTGGAGGAAGTACACAGTGGGGGACAATAAGTTTTAGTGGGCCTTTTTTTTTCTGGACACCCTTTGGAATACAACAAGAACTGGTATAAATTATCACGTCAGTCTCTGATTAGTCATGGGTCAAGGTCGTGGACCAAGCTTTTACATTAGCACTTGTTAGTCATGGGTCAAGGACATGGGCCAACTTTTCATGTCAGAACTTGTTTGGTCCCAAACAAATTCCAAAGCCAAACTGATCTTTTTCCAAGATCAGTCATCATATTCTTCCATTTCCCAGTACATGAGGACCCCAAACACCAGTGTTACAGTGGGCAACTAATTTTGGTTGTCACGGTGGAGAGCTATTTTAATTTCCTTCTTACACTTTGTTTCTACTTTCAATTTTTGTGTGACTTCCTCAAGTTTTTGGCCATGAGAAAAATAACTTTTTGTGATATGTCACAATGAGAATTTTCTACACGTGTACACATGGTTCATGGTGAGAATACAAAAAATGAAGCCTGAATTGAGACCTGGGATGCATAAGTCTTACTGGACCTTCTAAAATCTGGCCCTGGAAAGCAACCTATGTCCCTGCACACATTCCATCTTCCAGTTGTCGCCACCACTGGCTGGATAGGTTTGAGGTGGCATCCTTTTGTTTTTTCTGCAGTTCTTCCTGAACAGTCCTGGATGGCCAAACTTGCAGAAGTTCGAAGGTCCAGCTCAAAACTCCTGGATTTTGTAGACCTATAATTCAGTCACTTGTGCTTTGTCTGACTCTTGTTTTTTCCTCCCTTCCTGGGCCTCTTTATGGTCCCTATTGTAAAAGACCAGGAATGCCACCCCACAACAGTTTTTCTACAGTGGTATCCCATAGCATAGCCTGCTTTTGAAGTTACCTTCTGATTTAAAAATTGAGTAATAAACTGGTCTTTTAAGATTATCTGTATTTTATTTAAATCAGGAGATAGGATTTTTTCTCAAAATCCACAGAATCCATTCTCACCCTTTCACCCTTTTCATAAAGTCTGAAATATTTTGATTTGGTTTTTATTTCACTATGGCCAGTTTAGGTCAATTGAGAGATTTGATTCCAGTTTCTTGAAAGCTTTTTAATATTCACATTGGAAAGTCTTTGTTTCCACTCTCCCATTAAATCAGTAGGCCTTTAGTTAGGGTTTTTAAGGGCAATGTCTCCCTTCTTATTGGAAATGGGGCTTATACTTTTCCACTTTTTTTTTCTTTTTTGGACAGGTTTTCTTCTTTGGGTGGCTATATGAAATATTCCATTTGTCCTTGAAACTCTCTGTTGCCTGTAGGTCTTCCTGTTCCTCAGAAATACTTCAGATTTGGCTTAGGAATGACAACATTTTGCCATGCAAAATCAAAAACTTGGACAGCATTTTGGAAAGCCTGTCTGTATTCATCCAGGTTATCAAAATACTTTTCTGTGTCCCAATCTATGTGTTTAAAGTCTTGTAACTAAAAGAGAACCAGGAATTTAGAAGCACCATGTTTATTGAGCATTTTCTTTAGGGGTAGCAGTTTAATGGAGGATTGATTGGGATAATTGAAGAAGCTGAGGATGATAAAGTGACTAGAGGAGTCTCTGGATAGGGGATAGAAGAAAAGCTGGAACATCTGGAAGTTTCTTCTGAGGCTTTCCTGGGCAGTTGTTTCTCTGACTTTTGAGAAATGTTCACTATAGACAAGTCCAATGTGCTAAGAGGGCATGGTCAACATTACAATGCTTACAAATATCTGGATTGTTTGCAGGACAAAGAAAGCACCTCAGACAATTTGCCTTATCACTTGAAGAAAATATCTAGGTGTTAGATAGTATTGAGAGAAAAAGGTTATGCAGATAGGATGAATTCTTGCTAAAACTACTTTAAACAAAGAAACAGACTCAAATACCAGGCTGCAGGCAGATGTCTTAAAACCCTGCACAAAACTGCAGTCCACTCATATAAAGGAACAAAGCCTAACAAGTAACCCTTTTGTATTTTTTTTTTGCCTAAAATGTACCAAAAATAATCTGATAAAAGAAGAAGAGTCTGCATAAAAACATTTTTCTTCTTTAAAGAAAGCACATACTTCCAGAAAATAGTCTCTATTCCTTTTACCCAGGGGGCTTCAGTGTGCTCTGATGAACACTTTTATTTTCTTCTTCTTTTTTTTTTCTGGATATGCTTTCCACTGTGAGCTGAGCCTCTATAAATTTTTATTTCAGCTACCTTTCAGTCTTGGGTCCAGGTTCTGAGCCAAGCCAACTAGTACTTTTTCAAGACTAGTAAGCATACTCTTTTCTTAATTCATAAAAACATCAGAACCTGCCTCATAGTGACAAACCCATCCTGTCTCCTATCTGTGCTGTGAATAAGTTTTGCTTAAGTTGTCAATCAGACTTCACTCTTAGCATGTACAGTCATTATTATTATTATTATTATTATTATTATTTGCAGTCAGAGAAAAAACTCTGATGATACCTCACAAGAGCAGACTGATATATATAGTGGTGAATCCACATGGCTGCAAAAGTGTTCATAAGAACACACGGAAGCACACTGGGTAGAAGAAATAGAGATTTTTTTGTGGAAGAGAAATGATTTTATGCAGAATCTTCTTTGTCTTTTATCAGAATACCTGTAGGAATGTTTTAGGCCAAAAAAATACAAAAGGATTTCTTTGACAGGCTTTGTTCCTTTATATGAGTGGACAGCAGGTTTGTGCAAGTTTTTTTAAAAATCTGCCTGCAGCCTGGTATTTCAGTCTGTTTCTTTGCTTAAAGTAGTTTTAGCAAGAATCCGTCTTATCTACATAACTTCTCTCTCAATATTATCCAACATCTAGATATTTTCTGCAAGTGAGAAGGCAAATTGTCTGAGGTACCATGTGTGCCAGGTTTCTTTGTCCTGCAAACTGTTGTAACTGAGCAAGTTAGAGAGAAATCACCACACTTTGAGGTGGATTCAAGAGTCCTTTATTAGCCAGTGATCAAGAGAAAGATAACGCACAAAATTCTCTCGGCCTCAAAGAAGGGGCTAGATTTTCTTTTATACTTTGGTTTAGAGAGAGGAGGGGGAATTCTAGTTGCAACAATCTTACAGAAGACAAAACAGACAAGAAAGTTAAAAAGACAAATTGTTACAGGAAAACAAACAGTTCCAGGTGCAGGGGCTTTAAATTCATCACAAGGTGACAGGTGAGGGGGCCCTTGGCATTATCTACCAGAAAAACATGGGGGCATTATGGTACCATCTCAGAGCAAATTGCTGGGAACTGTGGACATCACTTGCCTCAGCATGTTATCAGTTAATTGTAGTCTTTGATATGTTGAGAATCTTGCACAAGTTAAAGTCCTTGAGGAAAAGGGGTGGGTAAGGAGCCCTTGATGTCTTGTAAATGAAGGAGCCAAATGGCATTAGTCTGCTTTTCTCAGCTAAGGGTGAGTCTATTCATATTAAAAACAATGTTAGGTATTACATTCCCCATTTGTGTTTTTGGGGAGTCAAATCATTGATTCCTCATTTAGAACAAGGGGGTCGTATAGGGTTTTAAGATACATAAGTTTGACAGAAGGTATGCATTGCTTTACAAAGTTATGAAACCAGTTTAATATACATGGCCCAAAGATTAAGCCTAACAGCAGGAGGAGAATGGGTGGTTCAGCTAACCCAGTGACTAGAGTAGTTAGCCATGGATTCCAGTTACACATGCTTTGATACCAGGGAGTGTTATTTTCTCATTCTTGTTGGCATCTATCTAGATTTTCTTGAACCTTTTGGAGAGTATCCTTTATGACCCCAGACTGATTGGTTCAGAAGAAACAACTTTCTCTGAGAGCTGTGAATAAACCTTCTTGGGAGAGGAATGGCAGATCTAAGCCTCACCAGTTTTGAAGAGCTACTTCAGCCAGAGACTGTACCTGGTGTGCAGTATATCTATGGCTGACCGGAGGTTGCTTAAACCTACCTGTTGAGACAGGGACACCTGTCCAGTTTCTCCCTTAACCAGGGCAGCCGTGGCGATGGCTGCTGATCCGGCTATGCTAAGGCTGGCCAGGAGGGGTACTAGGAGCGGAAGGCCTCGGCAAATCCTGGGATGTAATTCAAGGGGAGTGATGAGAAGTTGTTCTTCTGGCCCACTGTACACATATATCTGGGGAACCACATGAACTAACACACACAGGAGAGGTCCTGGTTCAGTCCCATTGATGCAGTGAGTGAGACCTGAAGTGCAGGCTAACTAGGTATTATTAGGTGCCTGGTAGGAGACTGAGGTACTTAAGGAAGTAAGCAGGGACTGATTACAAGCAGCCTGAAATGGAGAAGCAGATAAGTTATATCCAGCACTAATTAGGCAAGAAATGTTCCCAGACACGTCTCCTAGTGTGAGGGCATAGGGTCGTGCATGACAAGAAAGAGGGCCACTTTTAAGCATAGCTTCTACTCCTAATCCCACATAATAAAGGGGTTTGGCATTTAGACATAGCCAACAAACTTGAGCTAGTTTAGGCCAGGTGAGATTAGGAGGTGATATACCCTGCCTAGAATGGACATCAGGCTGGGTTGGAGATGTTGTCATTGCAGCTGGGGTTTAGGAACTAGGAATGGTGGCAGAACAGTTAAATCGACCTTGTCTGGGTGTTTTTGGAACATAGGGTCACCTAGATCAGTTAAAGGCCCCATTGTCTTAGGAGGGCTCCATGAGATCAGGATTTTCTTTTGGATGGTGAACACAGTTACAACATCAAATCCCAGGATATAAAGCCTTAATCCCCATGACATGCCATAATACCATTGAGCTGAATTAGGTTTATGGGTGGTTATGGTTTGAGTATTACTATTTTTTCTGGTACATAGTCTAGGATGGGAAACATGAGCTATGGAAAGAGTTGAAGATCAGGTTGATCCCCCAGAGTAAGTGGCTAAAGTTACACATGTCCAGTTAGGGCAGAAAAACTCATAAGTATCTCTACAACTAGAGTCAGGATGATTTCCAGGAGAGAAGTAAAAGCGCACCTTTGGAGCTCCCACATCCGGTCTGGCTCCTGGAGTGTCCAAATCCTGCAGCAAGGTCGACGTTCCCTGCTCCCATGACTGGCAGGTTGCATCTTTCCTTGTGGGTACGAGCAGGTTCTGGGAACAAAACACATAAATTGAATGCAAGAGAGACTTCCTTGGAGGTTCCTGCCTTCCAAGTAGTGTTTGCAAATACATGTCCTGTCATGAAAGAAGTGAGGAGTAAGGAACAGGAAGGTGCGGAGGGCATAACAGGTGGAAACCAACAAGAAAGGTAAAAATAATAATAATAATAATAATAATTAATCTAATGGCTTCACTCGACTTAGACACAGTTTTAAGGGGCCTGGCCCAGGCTTGGGGACCCATGTTTCCTGCCAGGCTTTGTTGGTCTTTTTGAAGCTGGAGTGATGAATCCAAGCAGGAATGCTGTCCACCTTCAGAGCATTGGCATGGTGAGGACAGTATGAGGTCCTTTCCAAGCAGAAGTGAGTCCTTCTTTCTGGAACTTTTTAACACCAGGTCATCTGGCTGAAACAAGTGGTAGGGCCCCATCTGGTTAGGAACTGGATTGGGATGAGCTCCCTGGACAAGTGGCTGGATGATATCTCGTATCCATTGGAGAGACTGCAGGAGTAATAAATTAGCTTGTGATAATTCTGCTAAATGGGTATCCCTTAGCTTTAGGCAAGACAGGCGGCGCCCAGCCATACATGATTTCAAAAGGTGAAAAACCAGCCCAGTAAGGAGTGCATCTTACTCTAAGAAGGGCTAAAGGAAGGAGTCTTACCCAATTCTCACCAGTCTCTAAGATCAATTTCATAAGAGTACTTTTTGGGATGTGGTTCATGTGTTCTACCTGCCCAGAGCTCTGGGGTCAATAGGCACAGTGGAGTTTCCAGTGAATGTTTAATGCATTACTGAATGATCAATGGAGGAGGTGAAGGCCAGTCTATTATCAGACCCTACGGCAGCAGGCAGCCCATGTCAAGGGATGATTTCATTGAGTAAAAACCTAACTACCATGGTGGCAGTCTCGTTTTCAGTGGCAAATGCCTCAGTCCCTCCGGAGAAAATGTCTGCTAGTATCAGAAGGTATTTCTACCCAGCCCGGTGTGGTTTTATTTCTGTAAAGTCGATTTCCCACTTTTCTCCTGATGAGTTTCTCCAGTGGCAGTGGCCTGAGCTGGGTTTAGGACTTTGCCTGGTGTTTACCTAAGCACAAGCCGCACACCAGAGAGCTGCTTGATCTGTAAGTTCTGAAGGCAAGGGATCTTGAAATGGCTACTTAGGAGCTGGGCCAGTTTTGCATCTCTCAAATGAGTGGTAGAATGCAGACGACTGATTAAACTTTCCTGAGAGCTCAGGGTACAAAGATTCTGGAGTCAGGAAGAAGCCACCAACCTTCCTGATTTTTAGTGGCCTGGAGATCTGAAGCCAGTTTTACTTCTTCTGCTGAGCATGCGGTATGATTGCATAAGTCAGGCTGTGGAAAGAACACTGCAGGCAGTAATGTTAAAGGCATGACTGGAAGCCATGCAGCCTCCAGGGCCAAAAAGTCCACTCTCTGATTACCATGGGCAATGGCCGTGTCTTCTCTTTGATGTCCTTTGCAATGAATTACAGCCACTTGCTGAGGGAGCCATAGGGCTCCAAGCAGGGCTAGAATTTCTTCTGTGTTTTTGATCATCTTTCCTGCTGTGGTGACTAGCCTGCACTCTTGATAGATGACTCCATGCACATGCACAGTAGCGAATTCATACCTACTGTTAGTGTAAATGTTAATACATTTGTCCTTACCCAATCGGAGAGCCTGTGTCAGGGCAACCAACTCAGCTCTCTGAGCTGAGGTGCCAGCCGGCAGAACTTGGGCCCACAGGATATCCATCTCCATGGTGATGGCTGCACCAGTCTTTTGAACTCCCCACTCAAGGAGGCTGCTACTCTCTGTATCCACAGTGGTGTCTGCCTCCTTTAAGGGCACATCTTGGAGATCATGTCGGCCAATTTCTCTGGTCTCTAACAGTTGTTGGCAGTCATGGACATGTGTGTTGAAGTCTGGATATGGGAGTAAAGTTACTGGATTTAAACACTGTGGGAGAGAAAGTTAAACAAGGCTGATCTAATAGTAAACTCTGATATTGTAAAATGTGAGCATTTGACAATCATTTGCCAGAAGCACTTCACAGCAAAGTCTCTATGGCATGAGGAGCTGTAAGGGTTAAGTTTTGACTTAAAGTCAGTTTATCAGACTCCTGAACTAGGCTTGCTGTGGCTGCTATGTCTCCCAGGCAACTGGACCCCCTGGAGGCCATGGGGTCTATTCTCTTAGACAAATAGGTAACTTGGCATCACCTTGGCCCCAAGATCTGAGTGAGTATCCCTTTAGCAACTCCCTAGTTTTCATGGACAAAAAGGTGAAATGGCTTTGAGATATTTGGAAAGGCTAGAGCAGGGGCCTCAGTTAATGCCTTTTTCAGGTTTTGGAAAGCCTGTTCCTCTGTGTCAGTCCAAATTAGTGAGCCATTCCCTCCTGTAGCACTGTACAGGTGCTTGGCAATCCTCATAAACCCTAAAATCCATAGGCAACAGTATCCCATGGCCCCCAGGAACTCATGTACCTGTCTCTTGGTGGTGGGAGAGGGGATTCATAGGATAGTTTCCTTCTGGGCACTGGTGAGTGCCCTTTCCCCTTGGTTTGTCTCATACCCCAGGTAGGACAATCTAGGAGGACAAAGCTGGACCTTCTCTGCAGACCCATTATCTGAGTTCCTGAAGGAGGTAAAGTAGGTCCCTAGTATGTTGCAGGCAGCTGTCAGTAGGTTCTGTAGCTAATAAAAGATCATCTATGTACTGAAGAAGAGTATGATTGGGTGACTGGCTTGGAATGGTATAAGATCCTGCTGGAAAGCTTCAAAAAGATTGGGAGAATTTTTAAAACCTTGAGGCAATTGAGTCCAGGTCAATTGGGGGGTGTCTCCCAAGCCAGGATCTGTCCATTCAAAAACAAAGATTGGTAGGCTCTTGGGGCCAGAGGAATAGCAAAGAAGTCATCCTTTAAGTCAAGGACAGTGTATCCTGTATGTTCTGGCAGCAGCAGGCTGAGTAGACTATAAGGATTAGGGACCGTTGGATGGATGGTAACTGAATATTTTTTAACTTCCCTTAAGTCAAGTACTGGCCAGTAATCATTTTTTCCAGGTTTCTGGACTGGCAAAAATGGAGTATTCCAGGCCGACTGACATGGTGTGAGTGTGCCAGCTGGTAACAGTCACTGAATATTGGGATTGATCCCCTGTCTAGCCACTGACTCACAGGATATTGCTTTTTCTAGATCAGAGAGGTGGTGGTCAGGAGTTCTACAACCACTGGCAGATGGTGCTTAGCCAGTCCTGGGGGGGTTGACTCAGCCCAGACTCAGGGAAAGAGTGTCTGTAAGTCCAACAGGAGAGGATTGGTGTTATTCTCCAGTGGTTGTGATGGTGAAATTAAAAGATATTCCTCTTAAAGAGGGATACTTAGCTGGAGTGGGGCAGTCGGGGGCTTGGTGTTTCCAGCATAAGGTAAGCCTGCTGGGCTGAGAAGGAGATAGAGGCCTGTAACTTATGAAGTAGGTCTCATCCAAGGAGGAGAAAAGGGCACACTGGGACCACAAGAAATGAGTGAGTTACTCTTTTCTGTCCCAAACTCACTTCTCCTGAGTGTGTGACAGGATATTCTTGAATAGCTCCAGTAACCCATTGTACAGCCACTCTTATTACAGACACTGCCCAAGGGTGTCTGCAGTACTCAGTGCTCTGGTATCTATTAGGAAGCATACAGGTTGGCCTCCCACTGTAGCAGTCACCATGGGTTTCCAGGGGCCAAGACAGATGGAGCCCTGGTCCTGTCAGTCATCAGACTCCTCTGCTGCAGGGAGGGTGAGAACTTTTTTCTTTTCTGATTTTCCCTCTGTTAGTAATGGGCATTCCGTTTTCCAGTGCCCAGTTTGCTTACAATAAGCATATTGTTTTTTCTCCAGGGAACCTGTTCACCTTTCTTGCCTTTCCAGTGGGGACCTGGGATTCCCTGGTCACTCTTCTGTGATGGGGGCCTTCCCTTCTTTGCTTCCTGGATGGCTGCCACAAGATTTTTGCTTGTCTTTTGGATGCTCTATCAGTGGCCTGTTCAACTGCCTGAGTTGCCTGTTTTTGCTTTTCAAACTCTGGATTGTCAAAAACTTTTTGGACTATTTCTAAAGGTTGACTGATATTCATCCCAGCAAATCCTTCCAGTTTTTGTACATTTCTTTTAATATCAGGGACTACCTGAGCCACAAACCCCAAATTAAGAGCACAGCTATTTTCAGGACCTGTCTGTCAGGTCAAAAGGGGTATAAGTCTGATAGACCCCCTGGAGGCTTTCTAAAAACACTCCTGCTGACTCATCAGTCCCCTGGACAACTTCAGTCCAGACTACCTCCTCCTGCCATGGCCACAAAAGAGAGGCAATAGGTGGAAACACTCAGGGGGCATAGTCAAGGAGAAAAGGGAAGATTCTACAGGAGCAGGAGGGTTATAAGGTGGTGGAACTGGGTGAGGGAGAGTTTCCTCTTCTTCAGAAGGAGGAAGTACAGGAGGAGTGGAGCCAGCTGAGGGTTGAGGAGAAAATGAGGTTGGGCTCAACAGGACCTTGGAAGTAGAATTATGAATGGCACATGAATGGAGGCATGGAAGAGGGCTCCTGACCAAACTTAGCCACTGATCAATGTATGGAAACTGATTGAGGTGACCAAGAGTTCCCACAACACGCCACACAGCCTGAACAATTGCAAGGCTCAGTGACCCTTCCGGGGGCCACCTGGCTCCAAAACTTGGCCATTCTACTTCGCAGAGTGTTCAGAGTTTGCCTGTTTTAAGGCAGACCCCATAATCCTCTGAGGAGCCAAGAGAGAAATTTTGTAACATACATTGTTATATCTCCTGCATGTTCTCACACCTATTGTCTTTCAATTGTGGCCATGGCAGGAGGAGGTAGCCCCCCTCCTACCACTGAGAGAGGCACCAGTCCCTTCAGGTGATGAGCGCTCAGCCCCATTCTTGGTTTACAGGTCAGGTTTTTCTACTTCTGACCTGTATAACTGGAAAGCTCAAAATTTCCTCTTTTTAAAAAAAAAGCCCCAGGTCTTGACCTCATTGATGGAGTCTGTGCTCCAGACCCAATGACCCACCTGGGATGACTGTCAACAGCTCCTTTTAAGCCTTTTCACCTCTGAAGAGAAGGAATGTATCTGGAGAGAGGCCAGAAAGCATTTCCTCACATAAGCCAATAGGCCAGAACAGGAAGCTAGAGACCCCCTTGAGGAGTTTTTTCCCTCTACCTGACCTAATTGTGACCCAAACTCCTCAGGTGGGAGGAGAGCTTTGAACAATTTTCACCGGTATCTCCTTGTGGGTATCAAGGGAGCTGCCTGGAAACCCGTAAGCTTGTCCATTCTCTATGAGGTGGGGAACAAGAGTTTCCTATTCTGGAGGCAGTTAAACAAAGTTTGAGCAGAGATATTAAACCCAGCACGGACAGAGAAATTCATGACCTGGGGGATTGTAGCTCCAAAAGAACGGAAATGGTATGGCCAACAGAAGCAGGAAAACAGCTATTGTCAGCACTTCCTGCCACATGATTTCTGTCCTTTTAAGTTTTGAGATTTAGGGAGAGGACAAGAGGTGGGTCTGAGGCTGGTAGAACCCACATGATTTCCCTCTCCCTTTTGACTTACAGCCTCAATATATTTGGTGTCTCCATGACTCAAAGGCAAATAGTTCAAACTAGGCCTTTTCTTTTAAGGGTTTGAGGAGGCAGAGCAGAGCCAAGTCTTGGAGACACTGGACTTGCTGCGACACAGGAAAATGAGACGTATGGGGTAAAGAGTGGGGATGAGGAGGAAAGGGGCCACTTGGATCTTTCCTAAGGTAGGAGAGTAGCCACAGGGGAATAGAATAAGATTCCAGATGGAGTAAAGCAGTACGGGGCTAGGTTTCTCTGCCTAGTTCCCTTCTTAAGGGCACAGGAAAAGTTATGGGATGATAGAAGATGTCAGCAAAGAGGTCTGCAGGGTAGCTATTTTGAATCCACCACTGGTCTAATCTGAAGGTGGTCCAGTCACTTGTTTGTGGGGTGTGAAAATCTAAAAGCCAGCAACCTTTATGGTGCCAGAAATCCCAAACAGGAAAATGTTTCCCACCCTCATTCCCGTAACAACACCTAATTGGTTTCTGATTGAAAAGGCAGGAATGAGATGGCCAGCTGAAATGACTGATGAGAAATTTGACCTCCTGTGATAAAACATCAGCACTGAGGACCTTGAAGAAGTCCTTGCACAGACTTCTTGGGCAGTGTTGATGACTTGACATAAGAAACTTTGACAAGCACTAAATAGGACAATAAATGCCAATAGGACAATAGACAAAAAAAAAACAGGCAATTGACCCCAGGGTATATAAACAATTATGGCAACTTTTATAGACAAACAAGGGGAGGGGTCCCATGATGGGATCTGTCAGAGGCCAACCTAGCCACTCCCTCTAAGGGAACGTAGGCTCCTCTTAGCATTGGCAGGCCAATATAAACCACCCGCTCAGATTGAGTTATGCCTGATGCTGCCTAAAGCCTTATGAGGTAGCCACGAAACTGCAGGTGAGGGCCCACTTGAAACCCATAGCTTTCACTGTGGAGCTACAAACTGGAATTTCAAGTGCAAGCCCTTGATTTCCACAATCATGCACACATTCACACAGAGTTTATAATATTTTTTCTTATTCCCATTCTAAACAGAGGTCTCTAGGAGACCTGAATGAGAGAAGGAGGAGATAGGGAAAGGGAGGTGGGAGAGAGAGAGAGAGAGAGAGAGAGAAAGTGAGGGGGAGAGAAGTGAGAGACTAGTCTTAATGGAGAGGCCAGCCTGCCAGAAACCAAGACTCTGTCCTCCAGCATCCTGGTGTATGAATAGAGTTGGACAGAGATGCCCTCATCAGGAACGGATCCCTCTCACCAAACCAGAACAAAAGGTACCTAAAGGAAAAGCTTTGCTCGAACTGGGAAAAAATAAGGCTCATATTGTACTGCACAAAAGTATGGAAATTACACCAGCTCAAAGACAAAAACACCTGGCCTTCTGAGATAAAAGTTTATTTGAAAGTATCTAATTATCAGATGTTTTCTTCAGATGAAAGATCCGTTAGTATGAGTTTCTGATGTACAAGCTTTCTTTACCTTGGGAGACAACCCAGACCTTTGTAAGCATTGTAAAATTGATTCTGGCCTTTTTGTAGTCATGTCAAGCAAGGCTACAGAAGATAATTTCCCAAAATTAGAGAGACAAACCTTTGCGTACCCCTTAAATACAACTTCTAAATGCCATACCTGCCCTTCTTTCACATGCTTTCCAACCACCTTATCATCAGTTTCTCTCCCTGTGCCACCCAATAAACCCCTACATTCCCTGTAGGCCCTGCAGAAAATGTCAAATAAATGTGGTACTACTAAACTTCAGGTTTAATTTTTATTGCAGAATTTTAAAAAAACAAATTTATATCTAGTCAAGTTCTCTGATTACTCTGATAGATATATAAAGGCATTCCAAAATCTTACAGAGGTGTTTCGTTTTATGTGGAAAGATGCTACATTACTCCTAAACTCGATTCTATATATGTCAGAAAATGTGGCAGCTTTTCAGGCAACAGAACGATTTGAAGATGAACAATGTATTTACTACAGCCAGTCTAAAAGTATGAAGGGAAAAAAATCTAGAAAAAGGGAGGGCAAAAGACAAAAGTAAGGTGAACGGATAGTAGAATCTTTATTCCCAACAGGAAGAAAGACATTGCTCTTTGAAAACTTAGTTGGAATACACACACATAAATACTTAATTTAAAAGATTAAGTAGTGGGAACACAAGTGTAAAGTTTCAGCAAAAGTTTAGTATATAGAGAAGAGATAGTTTTCCCAGCAAATCACTACATGATTTGAGTTACTAATGCACAGATTAAATAAATGGGTGCATTAGAGCAAGGTCTGCCATTCCTGGCAGCCATTCCAAGGGACTGGCCTCTCGTAGCGGTAGATCTTACAAATTCTTTCCTGACTATATTCTTACATGAGATGGATAAGTCTTGATTTGTTTTCTCTGTGCCTTCTAGCAATCAAAAAGAGCCTGTCTCTCATTACCAGTGGAAAGTTTTACCCGAAAGCATGCTCACCATTCCCATGCTATGTCAGCATTTTGTAGCACAGTCATTAAAGGAGCCTCAGAATATATTTCCTACTGCCTTCATCATTCATTATGTGGATGACATTCTTTTGATTGCTCCTACGGAACAATTAACACCAATTGTTCAGAGAAACAAAACAGGCTTTGCCTAAATGGAATCTCAAAATAGCTCAAGAAAAGGTAGAAACAATCTCCCAATACCAATACTTAGGTGCTACTGTTACTGAAATAAATGTTTGACCTCAGAAATTAGTCCTCCATAGGGTGAGATTACAAACCTTGAATGATTTCCAAAAATTATTAGGGGATATAAATTGGCTGTGTCCAATGCGAGGTGTTAATTGAAACTTATCAACTCAAACACTCAGACACTCCATGGAGATTATTCATTATATTCTCCTTGGCAACTTACTAACTTACAGCTTGTAGAGCAAATGCTTCAGCAAACACCCACCTCTCCACTACAGCCACAAAACCTTTGGTTCTCTTTATTCTTTCTACCCCCAATTCTCCAGCAGAACTTTTAGACCAGTTCATAGAAAAATCTGTAATTGTAATAGAATGGCTTTTTTAAAAAAATTCAATCAGACTGTAAAGTATCTGCAAGTTTATCTTTCTTTAATTACTCAACTTATAACAATGGGTAGGCATACATGCAAAATGTTTAAGAGATATGATCCAGAAAAAAAATATTGTTCTCCTTTTAGAGCAAGTCTAAAAGTATGAAGGGAAAAAAATTGGATTCCCAACAACAGGCTGCAGCATGGGACATGTTGACTGTGTGGCAAATTGCTCTTGCAGATTTTGTAGGAATAATAGATAAATATTATCCATCAGAAAAAAATTAGCAATTTTAAAAGTTCAACCTTTCATCTTCCCTGTGATTACTCATCAAAAACACATTTCAGGCAGCCAGACCTATTTTACTGATGGCTCTTTCAAAGGTCGCACCGCTACTTATGGGCCTAATCCTATTCAAAGAATAAAAATCCCTGGAGTTTCAGCTCAACGCTCAAAACTAATGGCAGTTATTCAGGTTTTACAACTCACTGCTTCATCTCCTATTAACACTGTCTATGATTCAGCCTATGTTGTAATGTAGCCAGTCACATTGAGATTGCCACTATTTAAGGCATCCTAGAACCAGAGCTGTTTAACTTGTTTCTAAGACTTCAACAAGCCCTTTGCTCTTGTGCTGCTCCTTTTTATATTTCTCATATTTGCTTTCCCACACAACTCTCTACACTATTTCTAGGTAATGATAGAGCAGATAGATTGATTTGTTCTGCATTTCAACAAGCTCAAGCTTCTCATACATTACTGCTTCAAAACCCCTCGGCCTTTATTTGTGTGTTTGATTTGCCTCACAGCCAGGCTGCAGCCTGCGTAAGCCTGTCCTATCTTCCAGCATGTACCTGGAGTCGCATCTATAGAAGGCTATAACCCATGAGGCTTAGCTCCAAACGAAATCTGACAGATGGATGCTACTCATGAGGCTGCCATTGGCAAGCTCTCCTTTGTTCATGTGATTGTAGACACTTATTCTCATTTGCTGAATGCTACATGCAAAACAGATCAGAGAGCTGGTCATGTACAATGGCATTGTCTGTCATTTGCTCATATGGGGTCCCCAAACAAATAAAAAACTGATAATGGACTCGCTTATGTTAGTTATCATTTAAAAAAAAAAAAACTATAGCTACGTTCAATCACTCATGAATCAGGAATTCCTTACAACCCTCAAGGACAAGGAATTATACAGTGGGCAAATCAAACATTACAACATGTGCTGGAAAAACAGAAAGCAAAAATAAGAGACCAGATACCACCTCAAACAAAATTATGTTTACTTTTACTTATTTACTTTAATTTTTTCAAATTTATTTGCTTTAAATTTTTTGACTTTTGTCACAGATAGTAAGACTGTAGCAGAAGGACATTGGTAAATGTTAGAGGGAAAAAGGAGAGTATACTGAAAGGTAGTATGAAATACCCAGAAGAAGGATGATGGACAGGCTCAGTAGATTTACTAATGTAAGGAGGAGGGAATGCTTGTGTTTTTGCAGGAGATGGATAAAATGTGTGGGTGCCCTCAAGGTGTTTGTGACCATGGAAAGGGAGACTGGAGAGAGCCATTTATCCCAACTATGGATGCGGCTCCTCCATTACAAGCCATGAGCCAGCTGAAAGTGCTGGAGTGCCAAGTTCAGGTAAAAACCCCTGACTTCACGTTTATGGCCATGCTACCTGTAACACCCTGTGCAGTTTGTTTTCCCTGTGCAGAGACAAAAACATATTGGACGTATGTTTCCAATCCCTGAGTATTATGGACTGTAATTTGGATTGACAGTCCCCCTGTGATCTATCATGATCATGGAGTGTGGGAACAAGGATACCAAACTCCCCTGACACAGAACAATTAGACTCTCAGAACAATGATTATCAATTATACTGCTCCATTGCAGGGACTTCTTTTATGTGTCACCCAGAGTACATCACTCAACTGCAGTTGTCTTGCAATTTAATCCCAAGCATGGTTGAGTTACTATGGAAAAATTATGTACTTATTAGGCCTTAGCTCTATTAACATTACTGTTATAGCTAATAACCACTCCCAGCCCCATCACCCAAGTTGTATTAATTATACAGAATGGGCTTCCTTTGATAATTCTTACCCCCATCATTGGACCCAGTGTCTTGGCACCCTAGCTAGACTAACAGTCCATGCTAGTGGGAGACATTATTGACTGGGGACCCTGTGGTCATTTAGATGGGAGAGATGAGAATCCGACCTCGTTGTGAGAACTTCGATGACACTGGTGAAGAAACTTTAGCAACTCTTCACTACATTGCACTGGAATTCAATCCCAATCTGCAGCATAGCTTGCTTGGCATGGAAGAGGCTTGAGCCCATCTTTGCCTCAATGGCATTATCAAGGAAAGAGAAGTCCAATTCAGGAGTCAATAGGGAAGGCAGCACTCCCTTTATGAATGGCAGCATTTGTGTCAGAACACTATTTAATTTTAGGAATTGTGCTCAACACAGTTTTAATGTTACTTTGGTAGAAAATATTACCAATTTACAATTTGTGTTTTTAAAACTTTTGTTTTTCTAGCAGAAAAAAAAAAAAAAGTCCAGGTAAATGATGCCCAATTGACTTATGATTCCTGTCAACTGTATCATTCCGTTAATCATAGCACAATACAAACATACAGCATATCCCCCTTAATAATGCTAGGTCACAATCCAAGATTATGGATTCCTGTAAATCTGTCTGAGATTTGGGTGGCCACCTCTGGTTTACATTTTGTAAACCTTTTTCTTACTCAGCTTATGCATTGTGCTTGTAGAGCCTTAGGCATGATAATTTCTGTGAAAGTCTCCTTAGGTATATTAATAACATTTGTTGTGGGGTCCTTAGTAGCAATGCACAGCTCCATCCAAACAGCTCAATATGTAGAAAATTGGATGTGTACAGCTGACTGGGCATAGGTGTTTAAAATTAAACTTAACACCGAGATACAATGGAAGTACCAATGTTAAAGACCACAGTTCTGTGGCTCCGAAAACAAGTACAAAGCTTGTAGTTGCATCAGCAATTGCAGTGTAATTTTAACCAAAATCATATTTGTGTAACCAATTTGGAATAAAACCAAAAGAAATATCCATGGAAACTTGTAAAGGCCCATTTACAGGGGGTTTTCACATCCAATGTTACTTTTGATTTTAATGATTTACAAAGTAAAATCCTTAACTTGAATAAGCATGCTGAAGCATTTCAGCCATCTTTAAAAATTTGGGCAGAATTTCAGCAAGGTTTACAGAGCCTTAACCTTTGGACCTCCTTGAAACAACACCTCAATATCTTTTTTGTGGTTATCAGAGTAATGTTATTATGTCTCTATTTTATGTTGTTTGTCTTTAAAATCAGCTGGACCACCAAACAGCAATTGAGAGCTGCATAGCCTGCAATTGCCTTTACTCAACTAATGCAAAAACAAAAAGGAAAAGATGTTGGAGGCCAAAAGAATGAGGGTCATGACCAACTCAGTAATGACTGGAGGGGCTATAAGCAGACTGTTTTCATGAAAGCAAGACATTGGCAAACTGACACACCACGTCTGGTACCAGAAGGAATGCTGAGGGCAGTCATTCCTTAAGTGCAATATTCCTTGTTGTTACATGTAGGAACATTTGAAGGCCGTAGTACAAAGAAAGCAATTATGTCAGCCTGTGATAAATCAAGCAGCTGAACAACAATTGCCTTTCCTCCCTGCTGATTCTGACTAATAAATACAAAGTCCTGTAGAAGCTCAGGGCCTTTGCTCACTAGAAGCAATAAGCCCTCTAACCCATGTTTTAGAACAGATCTTTTTGGTCTTTGTCTTCATTTCTGAATTCACCCCCATTCGTTTCATCCGATAGTAACTGATTATCACACTGTCACTACTAAAAATACAAAAAAAAAAAAAAAAAAAAAAACGTGGGCTTGTTGGTAGGCTCATGTAATCCAAGCTATTCAGGAAGCTGAGGCAGAAGACTCCCTTGAACCCAGGAGACATAGGTTGCACTGGGTTAAAATCACACCTTTGCACCACAGCCTAGTTGACATTGAGACTTCATCTCAAAAAAAGAAAAAAAAAAAAAAAAGAAAAAATGAAACAAAAAATATGATCAGGCTAAGGAAACAAAAATACAAGCCGCAGGCAGAGAAAAATTTAGGAAACACATCTGAAAAGTCACTTTTATGCAAAATATACAAAGAAGTAAGATGACCCAATTAATTGATAAAGACCTGAATACATACCTCACCAAAGAAGACATGGAGATGGAAAACAGGCACCCAAAATACTGCTCACTGAGCCCCTGTTATTTCTGCTGAAGCCTGAGGCTCCAAGTCATTTCCTGAGGAGCCAAAGTGGCTGCCAGAGTGGCAGTGCCTCCAAAGACCACTTACCCCAGCCCTACCTTTCCTCCAGGGTCCAAGGGTTCCCCAGACATTGGGCATGCTCTCCAGGAAACAGCCAGAAGCTGGATGTTTTATTTCTCAGCTTTTCTTAAAATTCTGGATGCCAATAAGTATACTTTGGTTGGAAGTTTTATTTTTAACGTAACAATTTTGAGGCACTGATAAGTATTAGAAAAGACAGTTTTCAACCTACACTTGTCTCCCTAAAGAGATAAAATAATTGAGTTGGCCAGGCATGGTGGCTCACACCTGTAATCCCAGCACTTTGGGAGGCTGAGCCACGTGGGTGTACTTAGGTCAGGTGTTTGAGACCAACCTGGTCAACATGGTGAAAAAAGCTCTCTAATAAAAATATGAAAAATTAAACAGGAGTGGTGGTGGGCTCCTGTAATCCCAGATACTCAGGAGGCTGAGACAGGATAATTGTGTGAACCTGGGAAGCTGAGGTTACCAGAGCTGAGATCATACCACTCCAGCCAAGCAGTGGGAACAGAGTGAGACTCCACCAAAAAAAAAAAAAAAAAAAAAAAAAAAAAAGGATTCAATTGTTTTTTTTTTTGCAGTTATTTTGGAATACTTATTACAATGCATTATTATTTTGATGTTCTCAAGACAGATAACACAGTAAGAGTAGTAAGAAAAACCAAATAGCAAGTTATTATAAATTCATGGAATTAATTTCATCTGTCATTCTTTCTGTCTTTTATTATTTAAAATGTGTACTGCTGAAATTATCAGACATTTTACTTGTGATTTCTAGGTGCAAAAAAGAATAACAGTAAACTATTATTGAATGAATCTCAGTCTTCCAATTGATTCTGATGTAGTGGACTGTTTTGTGAAGGATGAAAAGCTAACAGACCAAACAAATGTGATTTCAAATTTTGGCTTACTTTGCAGAAGCAGATTTAAGAACCAGAAACTTCATAGTTCTAACCTTTGTCAATGATTCAGCATTGCAAAATATGTACTGAAATTGAAATGGAGCTTTTTGTGAATTCCAACAGAAACAGTTTGTACTCTAGAAATTCCTGTTGCTCCGTTGACATCCATGAAAAAATCACTTGATTGAAAGTGATCTCTAAACAGCAAAGCGTCAAACTAATACACCACAATGTCTTATTAGCTACAGTTCACTATTTTATTTAGTAACTATAAGATTAGAAAAAAATAGCAGGATAAATGACTCTTGAGTACTCGCATAATTTTCTTAGTTTTTACCAAGTAGAGCTTACAGTACGTTTTTTACAATTGGTTTTCTGTGGCACAATACATAGATGCTTTTTGGCAGCAATCATAGATTAATGAACAAACAATTACAAAATAATACTCAACAACAATTGTCATCCAGGGAAGGCAAATTAAACTAAGAGTGAGAGCACTAACAGCTATAGTATGTCTGAATTTCTTTTTAAATATAATCAAAACTGCAGCAGAAAAACTCATTCATTACTGATGGAATGCATATTTGTATAGCAACATTAAAATATGATTGTTTTCTTCTGCCAGTTTGGCAGTTTTTTTCCAACGGTAAACATGGTCTCATCATATAGGCTAACAATTGCACACTAGGTATTTAGACAACTGATTTGGAAACTCGTCCCTAAACAATAACCACAGGCATTTATGTGTAACTGCTCTCTTGACAATGGCCAAATACTTTAAGGAATCAGGATGCCCTTCAATATTAACCAGGCCAGGTAAATTCATAAAAGGAAATACTATTCATCAAAAGAAAGGAATGATTTATGAAGCCATGCAAAGCCATGGATGTATCAGGCATACATAAAGCTAAGTGATAAAAGCTGGTCTGAAGCGATGACATACTGTATGATTTCATTTCTATTACATAACAGAGAAGAAATGTCTACAGAGACAGTAAACAGACCTGTAATTTACAGTGGTTTGTAGCGGGTAGATAGTGAGTTGATTAGCAGAATGGAATGATGGAAAAAAGCACAAATGGGCCAGGTGAGAAGGGACTCATTATGCTTCATGAGATCATGCTGTTCGTGTAGAAGAGCTAGGAGTGTGTATACCAGCATGAATAAATAAATAGGATTCTACTCATGATAACAGAGAATTGTCTTCTTTCATCACACATGGAACTATTAGGAGGACTTCTGAGGAAGCTTTTGTTGTATGTGGAAAAACATACATAAAAAATTTACCACTCCAAACATTATTGAGTGTATAGTTCAGTGGCATTAACTATGCTCACATTGTGCAACCATCACCACCATTTCACAATCTCTTCAGCAGTGGATAAGGGTTCCAATTTATCCACAGTCTCAAACTTTTCCTTAAAAAAAAATAGACATTCTAATGGAGATAAAGTGGTTATCTCATTGTGGTTTAGGTATTCATGTATTAAGTGGCTAGTGATTTTGAACATCTTTTCTTGTGCTTATTGGCTGTGGATTTGTAAATGATTTCATAGCTATATTGAAGAATGAACACAAAATAAAAAATAGATCAATTGAACTTCATCAACACTAAACACTTTTGTGCATCAAAGGACACAGTATAGTGGAAAGAAATCTAACAGCATGGGACAAAATATTTGCAAGTCATATATATATAGTATATATTCAAGTCACCCATTTGGATCTTTTCCAAGTGCACTTTCCATTTTTTCTAACTCTAAAAATTTTAAGTAAGCATCCATGTTTGCTGTGAAACTTTTCTCAGCCTCTTTTGCTACTTTATTCCCCTCAGTCAAATTCTTTCTTGTGAGGAGGCAAGAGTTGAGGTTAGTGCAGACCATGATAGATTTGATGCCAGTAACTAAGATACCTTCTACTAGTAACAAGTCAAGGAGCTGGTGGACAGTGTGACTGGAGTACGTGCTTAGTATGTGGCTGTACTGGCCGAGACAGTTCTGGACTGTGGAGGGACCAGAACCCCATGCTAAGAGCACTCTGTGGAAAGAGAGCTCAGATTGCTGAGAGAATGCTGAGGAAGAAATTTTGTCTTTTTAGTGAGGTGAAATTCCTTCACATAATATAAAATTAACTGTTTCTTAATGAATTCTTTAGTAATCCTTAGTACATGCACATTTGTGTGCAACTATCACCTTTTAGTTCCAAATTATTTTCATTATCCTAAAAAGAATTACCCTACCTATTAAGGAGCTAATATCCAATCTCTCCTCTTTCTGATACCTAGCAACCAGTAATCTGCTTTTTAGCTCTATAGATTTATTTATTCTAAATATTTATATAAATAAAATCATGCAGTATGTGAGTTTTGTGTTCAGCTTCTTAAACCAAAATGATTTTGAATTTTCTTCACATTGTAGCATTAATATTGTAATCCTTTTTACAGCTGAGTATTATGCCATTGTATGGACATACGATATTTCACCGCTAATTTTTTGTTGGTGGACATTTATTTGGTTTGTTTCCAGATTTTAGTTACTGTGCATGCTGCTATGAACATATGTATGCACGTTTTTGTTTGAATATCTGTTTTACATTTTGTGTGTATAGCTTGGAGTGGATTTTGTTGGTTCTATGGTAATTACATATTTAGCCTTTGATGAACTACCAAACTATTTTCCACAGCAGCTGTAGCATTTTACTTTCATATTTTCCCTTCCATTTCAACCATTTCAATTGTTACCTTTTTGTTTGTTTGTTTTTTGCAATTATAATGGATGTGAAGTGGTATCTTCCTGTGGTTTTGACTTGCATTTCACCGAAGTTAAAATGGGCAGGAGGCATAAGAGTTGGAGGAGTAAGAAAAAGGGTCAGGACAGCCATGTGGAGAGGATAGGTCAGTGCCAGGGGACATACTGGCTGTTGCAGCCTTTGCCCGGTCTCAGCTCCAGTGGTGAAAGGAAAAGTGAGCCCATTTATGTAGTGTAAATTTTCTCACAGTCTATGTGTTTCAGGAAGGAGAGCTGATTAGTGATTTGGGGGACTGAGCCCTCTCTTGTCATAGGTCCTCTATCATTCAGTCCTCACTGGGCACCTCCCTGGAGACAACCTGGTCTCAGCTCCCAGACACAGGAGAACCTCATGGCCTGGGAGCCTGCCCCCTAATGGACAGAGGCCTGGAGGGAGGAGCACAGCTGATATGTGTTACAACAAAGAATGTAAAGTACAGAAGTGGACACAACATTTAGTGCAGTCATCCCAGGCCACAGGAACCAGGATCACCACTCATGGGACTCAGTCTCCCTCTTTGAGAAAGGAACTGCCACAACCATCAATCTCAACAGCCCTTCCAAGATTTAATAGACCAAACAAGTTGGAATTCAGCTGATTTTAAATTCTGCTGTCATTCCAGATCTCACACAACCCCTGCACCAGAGACTGGAGTCAGAGTCTGCAAGTTGCTTTCTTCTGCTGGTGCAGGAGAATGTGCCAAGTTAGTCTCCACTTGTGGCTGGTACACAGAGTGCTTGGCCACCAGCATTTAATTATTTCCACTATTACCTCTAAGGTTTACCAAAATGTTTGTGTGGTGTAAGCTGTCACTAAGTTCCCTTCCTTTGGGCCTTCCAGAGACTACTTTGAAACATTTGTCACTCTCAAAAACAAGCTACTGTGGATTTGGTCGGCTCTTGATTGACATTTAGAAAAGCTGTGGCCTCAGAAGGCAGCTTCCTTCCTGCTCCAAGTCCACTAGGCTGTACAATGAGCAATTAAGATGTCCCTGATCTCAGATCCAATAAGTTCTGGGTGCAATGTTCAGTCCTCCCTTCTGCAAACCACAGTGATGACATAATACAGTACCCAGCTGCCCAGTGCCTTTTCTAACCCTGTAATTAATCATCACATTAACTTTGACCCACCCCTCTCCCTAATCATAACCCAGAATCCCTAACACTAACAGCAGCCCTAAGCCACAAACTTGATGCCAACATCAACCCTATGCCTAACTACTCACTAAAACCAAAACCCCAAGTGAAATCCCAACTCAAAATCCCACTCTAACTGCTAAACCTGAATTTGACCCTGACCTTGATAATAACCCTAACACAAAGGTACCCCAACCATTACATAAACCTGAACTTAAACACTGTCTAAAACCCTAATCCCAAAACCCTAACCCTAAGACAAAAACACTTACCATAAACAAAAAACCATATCTCCAAACTTTAAAAGCCCCTAACAACTAACCACAACCCCTATCACATAATCCTGACTTCTACCTCTGAAACCTGCCTTCTGAACATGAACATAACACTCACATTAAGTCTGATACTAATTTCTAACCTAAAACCTAAAATTCTTATTACAACCCTAAGCCTACATCTACCCCAAACCTAAACCTAGCTGTTACATAAAACCCAAACCCTAATCCTAACATTAATCTTTAGCCCAAACCTAACCCTACACCTAACCCTAACCCTTAACCCTAAGCCTAAGTACTAACATAAACTGTAGCCCTATTGTTTAACCCCAATCTGTACCCTAATGCCAACCCTAACACTAATTCTAACCAATAATTGTGATGCTGACTGTAATCATAATACTAAACATAACCTTAACTGCTTAATATAAATTTAAACACTAACCATAACTATAACCTAAAGCATAAACTATACCTACCCTAACCATAACAATAACATTAAACAATAATTCTAAACTTAATCCTAATTCAAACACTGTGCCCTATCTATAACACCAACAGACCCACAACCAAATGCCCAGTGAAAACACAAACACTAACACTAAACTCGAACTCTAACACTAACACTGACACTAACCCTTAATGCTAATTCTATATCCTGAAGCTAACCCTAACCCTGAATTTTAACCCATACCCTCTAATCCTAAACCTAAAACTTACTCTGATAATCTAAATTTAATCCTTAACCTAAATACTAACTCTAACACTTAACCCTAAAACTAACCTTGAAACCTTAACCCAAAGCCAATCTCTTATTTTTATAAGTAATCCTAGTGCTAACAATGAAACACTGAAGAAGTGAACCTAACCATAAGCTCAATACATAACCCTACTAATAACACCAATCCTAACTGTAAAGCATAAAACTCAAACTTTAACACTAAAACTAACCTAACACTAAACCTATCACTAAAAATAAGTCTAAATGATAACTGTAAACCTAAAGCCTAAAACCTAAACATAATCCTAATCCTAAACTATAAACTCTAATCATAACCCATAAACCTAACCATAAACCAAGAGCCTAATCCTAAATGCTAAACTAAACCTTAGACCCTAACTGTAACACTAACACTGATGCTAATCCCTAACATTAATCCTAAATCCTAACACTAACTGAAACCCTATTCCTAATCCTTACCCCAAATTCTAACCCTAACTTCAACCCTAACACCAAAACCAAATGTATGCCCTACCAGTAAGCCTAACCCTAACCCTAACACTAAACATAACCCTTACCACTAATCCTAACCATTTTACCCTTAACTTAACTCTGCCCCTACATGAACACCAACACCAAACGTAAACATAAACCTTACCTTACACTAAGGAGATAATTCTAAGCCCAAATCCTAACCCTAATTATAACACTAACCCTAAACAATATCCCAAACATTAGCCAAACCGTAAACCCTAACTCTAACACTAACACCTAATCCCAAGCCCTACTCTAACCCTAACACTAACCCTAATCCTAATCTTTAAATGAACAATTTAACCATCATCTTAACCCTAACTGAACCACAAGCAGGTACCCAGTGTTAAACCATAAATGAACACTAAACCCTAACCCTAAATTTTAACTCTAAACCAAACCTTTTAATCATAACCCTAACACTGAACATAACACTTACCCTAGTTTTCATCCTCATCCTGAATCCTAAACCTTACCTTAAACCAAACCCTAATGCAAACCCTTACACTACCACCTACAACTAAACCTAATTCTAACTATAAAACCCTAAATCCCAAAAACACTGAAGGTAATTTTAACTACATTCCATAACTCTAACACTCACACTAAACACTACACCTAATGCCCTTATCCTAACAGTAAAGCTAACATAATTCTAATATAATCTTAACCTTGGCACTAAACCTAAAAATAACTCTTACACTAAACACTGAACCTAATCATAACCTTAACCCTAAGTCATAAACCCTAAATCTTAACAGTAGCCCCAGCCCTAAACAAAGCCTTGTAACTCTAATTAAACCTAAACCCTAAACCTAAACCTAATCTTTGCCCCTAACTCTTGAAAAATCTTAATACTAATACTAACAACCTTAATCGTGACCACCAACCTCAACCTCAATACAAACCCAGCCCTAACAGTCATGCTAAACCTAAATACAAAGCCCTAACTGTATGCCCAACACTAACACTAACATCTAACCATAAATGTTGAACACTAACCTTAACAGTAACCCTAAACCCTAACCCTGAATCCTGAATCCTAACCCTAAACATAACCCTAGCCCTATCCTAATGCTAAACACTAACCCAAACACGGAAACCCAACACTAATGCTCTAAACTTTACCCTCAAGCTAACCCTTAAAACTAACCCTAACCCTGGTCAAGACCATAATTCCTAACTTTTAAATGTAAGCCTATTTTTTTTACCCTAAACCTAAGCATAACACAACCCCAAACCTAAACTCTAACCCTGATTATGAACCCTAACCCTAAACTCAACCGTAAACCTAACCCATAAACCTAATGGTAACTGTAACTCCAACCCTAATCCTCCGGTAGCACTAAATCTTATCTCAGGTCCAGCCCTAACTCTTAATCTAATCCTGAACTTTTCTGCAATTGTAAACCGTATCATAATCCTCCATTTCTATCCTATCCTTAAGGTTACCCCATTATGCTTAAAAAACTGTAAATACGTCCTCTATGACACTAATCTCTAACCCTTAATACCCATAAGAGTACAAGAAGTTATCATACCCCTTTCTAACCCTAAATCAGTATTGAATTAAACTTACGATATCACTAGGAGAAAAAACTAAATGTTACTAAATCTGATAATTATAGACATCATAATGTTTAATCAAATAACAGTACATGGAATTTGTTACATTGAGAAGACATTATACACCACAATGTTTAAGATCTTTTCTCAGAAAAGCAATTGTTTTTTTACCATTCTAATGCCATCCCTTTTCAATATATTATGTAAATCAAATGATGGAATACACCACGTTTGTCTCAACTTTTACCAAAAGTACTTAAAGACAGTCAACATATTTAACATATTTAACAATTAAAACATATTTAACAATTAAAAATCCAATAAAATGTGGTTCACATTTTTTTCACATGATAAAATGTCTTTATGAAAAACTCATAACAATCATCATCTAAATTTTTGGGAACCAAAGCTTTCAGATGAGGAACACATCACTGATGCTCAACCGTATTAAACCCTGTACTAGAAGTTTCAGTGGAACAAGTATATATATGTACACACACACACACACACACACACACACACACAGCTATTCATATGTAAAAGAGAAAAGTAAAACTACTGACAGATCTCATACACAGAAAACCGTGAGGAACCAACCAGAAATTATGAAATCTAGCAAACAAATTAAGCAAAATAACAGCACAAAATATCAACACAAAAAATATTTTCTTTTTGATGGCGTTTTGCTCTCATTACCTACGCTGGAGTCCAAGAGCACTATCTCGCTCACCACGAATTCCATCTCCTGGGTTCTAGCGGTTCTCTCACATCAGCCTCCTGAGTATCTGGGATTCAGACAGGCCCTACCAAGCCCGGCTAATTTTGTATTTCTACTAGAGACTGGATTTCTCCATGCTGTCAGGCTGGTCTCCAACTCCTGACCTCAGGTGATGTGCCCACCTTGGCTTCCTTAAGTGCTGAGATTACAGGCATAAGCCATTGCACCTGGCCACAAAATCTATTTCTATTCACTAGCATTAAACCACATAAAAGTGAAATTAAGACAACAATTTCATTTCTCAAAAAAACAGAAAGGTGAAACCTTTCCCACTGCCCTGGAAGCCACAGATGCAGGCAGCTGGGGGAGGGACAGCCTTGGAGTTGAGGCTGTGCTGCTACATTGGGACCTGGCTGCAGTGGCTGTGGGTCTAACAAGAAACTGTTCAAGTTTCTGAGAAATCAAAGTAGAATTACTTTAAAACGTAACAGATGAAGAAGAGAAAACTTCCAGTGCTTTTCAAAGCCCTAACCCCATGATGTCATATAAATATCTTTTGAGTCATAATTTTTTTATAAAAGAACATGCACAAATATCAGCAATAATGAAACCCTTGTTGAGTGGCCCAAGTAATTTTGCTGAGAAGAAAATCATTGAGGTCAATGTGAGAGACATCCCTTCAAAAGTACTGCAAGGAGAGTGCACATATTTTACCTACACATATTAGTACATCCACAGCTCCACAGGGATTTTTAAATTCCCATTTCACCTGAAACTACACTAGAACTTCTGATGGCTTTGAACTTTCTTGATTGTATGTAAATACAATTGATTGTTTATAAATACAATAGACTGATATAATAAAATAAATTATAATCAACTGGTAACTCTTTTAAGTGTTTAAGACCTGTAGTTGAGTTTGTATTTTTTAGCAGATAGCACATTCCCTGTATGCAATGTAACTATAAAATTAATTGCTAACAAGGTTGTCTTCTGTACTTTTCATAACAGAGTTGAAATTTGTTTGCAATGTCAACAAATTAAGGACATTTTCACAAACTGAGAAATAAACATGGTAGTTCATAGGTGGTTTTCTTTACCTATGGATAAGACTTTTAAAATTAACAATGATCTAGAAAATGCTGAAAACTAGAAAAAATAAACATGTCCTACAGTTAAACAATTGGGCTAAGTGTTTTTATGTATTTAGTTGTTTGTTAATGAAACTATTTTGATGTTGTAGCTGTCAATAGCATTACTGGAGTTATGCAAATAATTGCATTATATGTATGTTCAAAACTTTGCCAAAACATTGGCTTACTCTTACTGACCCTAACATAATAAATGTTTTATTAATGCCTATAAGTCAAGGCAGGCACATGACTTGAGCCCAGAGGTTTGAGGTGAACCCAGGCAACATGGCAAAACATTGTCTCCAAAAAAAAAAAAAAAAATTAGCCAGGTATTCTGGTTGAGGCTAAGGCAGAAAGATCAAAGGAGCCCAGGATTGAGAGGCTGCAGACTGCAGTGAGCCATGATGGAACAATTGCAGTCCATCTTTGACAAAAAAATGAGACACTGTCAAGAAAGAAAGAAAGGAAGAAAGAGAGAAAGAGAGAAAGAGAAAGAGTGAAAGAGAGAAAGAAAGAAAGAAAGAAAGAAAGAAAGAAAGAAAGAAAGAAAGAAAGAAAGAAAAAATATGCGTTGAAATTTCTTAAGCCCTTTGATAAACTTCAGTATTGTTTAAATGTGTCCTGCCATTATTTTATTGTTACAATTTAAGAAGTTTATTTAAAGACGATTTTGGAAGATTACCAGGTACACTTTCTTAAGAAGTAATTAAACTTTACCAAGATGGTCAATAAGTCAACTATGCAACTTAGAGTTCTTGTGCATTAGGCCTTCTGGGAAACTCAAAGTACTATATTTTCACTGATTATAAAGCAAATCATCTTTTTCAACTTTCAAAACATAAAGAAAAACAACAACAACAAAAAAAAAAACAACAGGCTGAGAGTGGTGGCTTACAACTGTAATTCCAGTACTTTGGGAGGCCAAGGTGGGGTGATTGCTCAAGCCAAACTGTTTGAAGCTGCAGTGAGCTATGACTGCACAACCACCTTGCCACCTGGGCAACAGGAAAGCAACAACAAAAAATCAATGATCATATTGTTTTCAAGACTAAATTTAACCAAGGTGGAAAAATTAGATATGAAAAATTACAAAATACTGCTGAAATAAATTCCAGAAACCCTAAATAAATGTAAAGATGCTCAATGTTTCTGGATTAGAAGATGATTTTTTATGTGACAATACTGCACAAAGCAATCTATAAATTTACTGGGATTCCTGTGAAAACACCAAAATCCTTTTGGTAGAAATGGGCAAGACAATTGTAACATTCATATAAATTTCAAGGGATCCTGAATAGCCAAATTGTTCTTGAAAACAAAAACCAACTTGGAGGCTCACATTTCTCAATTTCAAATACTACCAATAAGCAGCAGTAATCAAAACAGCATAATAGTGGCATAAGTACACACACAGAGATCAATGGAACGGAATTTTAAATCCAACAATACCTCTATGGTCAATTGATTTTTGACATGTAGCCAAAATCAGTAAATAGAACAAATTGTGTGATACAACTGACTACCGCAAACAAAGAAATTGTTCTATTTTCTCACAATACAAATAAAATTAACTCAAAATAGTTCAAAGCCTATATATTAGAGGTAAAAACATAAACTGTAGAAGAAAACATAGGGATTAATCTTCATAACCTTGGATTTAGCAGTGGGTTCTTAGATCTGATACCAAAAGCACAGGCAACTAAAGAATTTTCTGAAAATTAACATTTTTGTGCATCAAAAGATACTATCAAGAAAGTGAAAAGACATGTTACAGAAAGGAAGATTTGTATGTTATGTATGTGACAACAGACTGTTATCCACAATATATGAAGAACTCACATACTTACACAACACAAATGACAAACAATCCAATTACAAAATTGAGAAATAGTTGAACACACACTTCAGCAGAAAGACATGCCTATGGAAAACAAGCACATAAAAAGATGAACAGTAAAATATATAAGTTTTATTCCATCAAGTGTTTCATAGATTAGCTTTTCTCATAGCCATGTGATTCTGTGTGGTAAAATTAGTCCTGTCCATCTCCACCTGAGGAGCAGCTAAGGTAACAATACTCCTGAAGTTTCCTTAGATGAGAAAAGAAACTATCTGCCAGGAAATAATATTCTGAAATGAAAACTTTCCTGCTGGACTAGAGTTTCCAATAAAGGTAACAGTTTGTCCTTCAGCCTCCATGGGCCCAAAAGTTATCATCCAGCAGGAAGTAATAAGGGAAGTCATTAAGTTAATGGGGTACATGGATAAACAAATGCCCCAAGTCCCATACCAAAACTGTGACATAATTACATACCTTCACAGCATTTCAATATTTAAATATTAATAAATCATCTGCTTAAATATCTAAGCTTACTTTATTTCCTTTACACTGTACCGCTAAGGAGATTTACAAATATTTATATGAATTGTCATGATGTGTGCTAGCATTTTTTTGTCATTTAAAAAATTGACAGATAGTCGTTTTTAATGTCATTTAAAAAATGATAGTCCATATACTGACGGACTACATAACATGTAAGTATTTAAACCTAACAAAACCTGGAACTAATAACACACAGTTAGGGAAGATATCAAAGTAATAGTCTGTCTAATAAATTCTTCTGTAATTTCAAAAATTAATTGTGTCATTTGTCTTCAGGACTGAGATTTTTTCTTTCCTTATGATTGCAAACACAGGCTTTCATTTCATTAACTATTATTTCCTTGATGTATCAATTGAGAGTGATCTCATCAATTATCTAACAAATAATGAATTTCTTTTTATCTTTAGAAACATCACATTATTAACTTTTCTACAGTTAGATAGCACAAGCTCTGACTTTAAAGTCTTAGCTGGACAAAGCCTTGGAAAATTAGATAAGGATGGGCACTGGGTGAACAGACTGAGAGATTACACATAAAATTCCTGAGACACCCAAGAGTCTGTGTCCCCACAATTGAAAGCAGACAAAAGTGCATCAGTTATTCTTTTACTTTATGATGATAGCCATTCCGACAGGTATGAGATGGTATCTCATTTTTCTTTCGATTTGCATTTCCTTAATTATCAATAATATTGAGTTTTTAAAAATAAGTTTGTTGGCCACCTGTGTGTCTTTCAAAAAGTGTCTGTTCACACTTCTCAAAATAAGTCATTTGTGCAGCCCACAGACATATGAATAAATGCTCATCATCACTGATCACTAGAGAAATGCAAACAACCAAGGCATGGTGGTTTGCCGCACCCATCAACTCATCACCTAAATTTCCCCTAATGTTATCTCTACACTATCCCACCACCTGCCACCAGGTGATGTTTTTCTCCCTGTGTCCATATGTTCTCATTGTTCAACTCCCACTTAAAAATGAGAACACGTGGTGTTTGATTTTCTATGTCTGTGATAGTTTGCTGAGAATGATGGTTTCCAGCTTCATTCATGTCCCTGCAAAAGACATGAACTCATCCATTTTTATGGCTGCATACTATTCCATGGTGTATATGTGCCACATTTTCTTTATCCAGTCTATCACTGATGCACATTTGGGTTGGTCCCAAGTCCTTGCTTCTGTGAATAGAGCTGTGATAAACATATGTGTGTGTGTGCCTTTATAGTAGAATGATTTATAGTACTTTGGTTATATGCCCAGCAATGGCACTGCTGGGTCCAGTGGTTTTTCTAGTCCTAGCTCCTTGAAAAATCGCCACACTGTCTTCTACAACAGTTAAATAATTAACATTCCCACCCACACTGTGAAAGCATTCTATTTCTCTACGTCCTCTTCAGCATCTGCTGTTTTCTGAATTTGTACTGATCGCCATTCTAACTGGTATGAGGTGGTATCTCACTTTGGTTTTGATTTATATTTCTCTAATAATGAGGGATGATGAGCATTTGTTCATATGTTTGTTGCCTGCATCAAAGTCTTCTTTTGAGAAGTGTCTGTTCATATCCTTTGCCCACTGTTTGATGAGGTTTTTTGCTTTTTTCTTGTAAACTTGTTTAATTTCCTTATAGATTCTGAATGTTAGCCTTTTTTCAGATAGACAGATTACAAGACTTTTCACCCATTCTGTAGGTTGTCTGTTCACACTGATGATAGTTTATTTTGCTGTGCAGAAGCTCTTTTGTTTAATTAGGTCCTATTAGTCAATTTTGGCTTTTATTGCCATGGCTTTTGGTGTTTAAACATGAAGACTTTGCACATGCCTGTGTCCTGAATGGTATTGCCTGGGTTTTCTTCTAGGAATTTTATGATTTTAATTCTTACATTTAAGTCTTTATTCCATCTTTAGTTGACTTTGCATAAGGTGAAAGGATGGGGTCCAGTTTCTGTTATCTGCATATGGCTAGCCTGTTTTCCCAACACCATTTATTAAAGGGAAAATCTTTTCCCCATTGCCTGCTTGTTTCAAGATTGTCAAATATCACATGGTAGTAGATGTCACATGGTAGTAGATGTGTGGTATTATTTCTGAGGCCACTGTTCTGTTCTATTGGTCTATATATCTGTTTCGGTACAAGTACCATGCTGTTTTGCTTACTGTGGCCTTGTAATGTAGTTTGAAGTCAGGTAGCGTGATGCCTCCAGATTCATTCTTTTTGCTTAAGATTGTCTTGTCTATGCAGGCTCTTTTTTGGTTTCATTTGAACTTCAAAGTAGCTTTCTTTTTCCAATTATGTGAAGAAAATTAATGATAGCTTGATGATGATAGCATTGAATCTATAAATTACTTTGGGCAGTATGGCCATTTTTCCAATATTGATTCTTCTATCCATGAGCATGGAAGCTTTTTATTTTTCATCTCTTTTTATCTCTCTTATTTCCTTCAGCTGTGGTTTGAAGTTCTCCTTGAATAGGTTCTTCACATCCCTTGTTAGTTGTATTCCGAGGTATTTTATTCTCTTAGTAGCAATTGTGAATGGGAGTTTACTCATGATTTGTCTTTCTGTTCTCTCTTATTGTGTGTAGGAAAGCTTGTGATTTTTGCACATTGATTTTGAATCCTGAGGCTTAGCTGAAGTTGCTTACCAGCTTAAGGAGATTTTATGCTGAGATGATGGGTTTTCTAAGTGTACAATCATGTCATCTGCAAACAGAGACAATTTGACTTCCTCGCTTGTGATTTGAATGTCCCTTATTTCTTTTTCTTCCCTGATTACCCTGGCCAGAAGCTTCAAATACTAGGTTGAATAAGAGTGGAGAGAGAGTGCATCCTTGTCTTGTACCAGTTTTCAAAGGGAATTCTTCCAGTTTTTGCCCATCAGTATATTGGCAGTGGGTTTGGCATAAGTAGCTCTTATTGTTTTGAGATATATTCTGTACATTTCTACTTTATTGAGAGTTTTTATCAAAAGCGGTGTTGAATTTTGATGAATGCCTTTTCTGCATCTATTGACATAATCATGTGGTTTTTGTCACTGGTTCTGTTTATTTGGTGCATTAGGTTTATTGATTTGCATATGTTGAACCATCTTTGCATTTCAGGGATAAAGCTGACATGATCGTGGTGGATAAGCTTTATGATGTGCTGATGGATTCAGTTTGTCAGTATTTTATTGAGGATTTTCACATCAATGTTCATCAGGGATACTGGCCTGAAATTTTCTTTTTTGGTGTGTCTCTGCAGGGTTTTAGTATCAGGATGATGCTGGCCTCATAAAATGATTTATGGAGGATTTCCTCTTTTTGTATGGTTTGTAAAAATATCAGAAGGAATGCTACCTCTTTGTATCTCTGGTAGAATTCAGCTGTGAATCTGTCTGGTCCTGGATTTTCCTTGTTGGTAGGCTATCAGTTACTGCCTCAATTTCAGAACTTGTTAATGGTCTATTCATGGATTTAACTTCTTCTTGGTTTACACTTGGGAGGGTGTATGTGTCCAGGAATTTATCCATTTCTTTTTGATGTTCAAGTTTATTTGCATAGAGCTGTTTATAGTATTATCTGACAGTAGTTTGTATTTCTATGGGATCATTGGTGATATTCCCTATATCTTCTTTACTATTCTGGCTGGTGGTATATGTATTTTGTTGATATTTTCAAAACACCAGCTCATGGATTTATTGATTGTTGAAAGGATTTTCCGTCTCTGTCTCCTTCAGTTCTCCTCTGATCTTAGTTATTTCTTGTTTTCTGCTAGGTTTTGAATTCATTTACTGTTGCTTCATTTGTTCTTTTAAATTTGACGTTAAGGAGTCAGTTTTAGATCTTTCCTGCTTTCTCTTGTGGGCATTTAGTGCTATCAATTTTTCTCTACACACTGCTTTAAATGTGTGCCAGTGATTGTGATATGTTGTGTCTTCATTCTCATTGGTTTCAAAGAACATCTTTATTTCTGCCTATTTCGTTATTTATCCAGTAGGGATTTAGCAGCAGGCTGTTCAATTTATATGTAGTTTTGTGATTTTGAATGAGTTTCTTAATCCTGGGTTCTAATTTGATTGCACTGTGGTCTAGGAGGCTCTTTTTTATAATTTCCTTTTTTTTTGTATTTGCTAAGGAGTGTTTTAATTCTAATTATGTGGTCATATTTTGAATACATGTTATGTGGCCCCTAGAAGAATGTAGATTCTGTTTATTTTTGGTGGATAGTTCTGTAGATATCTATCAGGTTTACTCAGTCCACAGCTGAGTTCAAGTCCTGAATATCCTTGTTAATTTTCTGTCTCATTATTTGCTGCTTGTTCTTTTCTCTGGAAGCTTCATCGCCAAGGGGCCCCTGTAAGATGCCAGCCAGTGCTCTGCTGTATGAGGTGTCTGTCAGCCCTTACTGGGAGGTGTCTCCAAGTCATAATACACAGAGGTCAGTGATCCACTTGAGAAGACAGTCTGACCATTAGCAGAGCTGGAACGCTGTGATGGGAGGTCTGCTGCTTTCTTCAGAGTCATCAGACAGGGATGTTGAAGTCTGCTGAAGCTGCATCCATAGCTACCCCTTCCCCCAGATGCTCTGTCCCAGGGAGAGGGGGGATTTATTTATAAGCCCCTGACTGGGGCTACTGCCATTTTTACAAAAATGCCCTAGCCAGAGAGGAAAAATCTGGCAATCTGAACACATGAGCCTTGCTGGGCTGCAGTTGGCTTCACTAGTTCAAACTTCCCTGCAGCTTTGTTTACACTATGAGGGTATAAGGGCCTACTCAAGTCTCAGCAATAGCGGATGCCCCTCCCCCACCAAGTTGGAGTATCCCAGGTTGATCTCAGACTGTTGCTTTGCTCACAGTGAGAATTTCAAGCCGGTGAACCTTAGTTTGCTTGCCTTCGTTGCGGGTGGCACCTAGTGAGCCAGACCACTTGGTTGCTTGGCCTCAGCACCCCTTTCCAGGGGAGTGAACAGTTCAGTATCCTTAGCATTCCAGGCACCACTGCGGTATGGAAAACAAACAAGGAAACCAAAAGACAAAAACAAACAAACAAAAAAAAACACTCCTGCATCTAGCTCAGTGTTTGTTCTAACAGCCTCCCCATTTTGTGCTTGAAACGCACAGCCCTTATGGAGTAGGCACCAAAGGGAGTCTCCTGTCTGCAGGTTGTGAAGACCATAAGAGAGGCACATATGTGGAACGGGGCACGTGGCTAAGTCCCTCACAGCTTCCCTTGGGTAAATCAGAAAATTTCCCAACCCCTTTAGCTTCCCGGGTAAGGTGATGCCCCACCCTGCTTCAGCTCATGCTGCATGGGCTGCACCCACTGTCCAACCAGTCCCAATAAGAGGAACAGTGTACCTCAGCTGGTAGTGCAGGAATCACTCAACTTCTGCATCGATCTCTCTGGGAGCTGAAGTCTTGAGCTCTTTTTATTCAGCCATCTTGCCAGCAATCCCCCCCATTTTTTTAAAATTTTAATGGTGAAGGAGGCATTAACTGGAAATGTAAAACTATGCAAATTCTAGAAGAAAGCACAAAAAGAAATTTATGTGATCTTGGGTTTGGTCAAAAGTTTTAACAAATGATACCAAAGCCGACCAGTAATGGTAAAAAATAATTAATAATTTGTTTTCTTATATTAAATGTTTATACTCTGAGCAAGATCTTGTTCAGGAAATAGAAAGATAAGCAACAGACTGAAAAAAAAATCTGCAAAATACAGATCTAAGCGAGAATTTGCACTGAAAATACACAAATCTTGAAACTTAAAAATAAGATTGATTACCCAATTAATAAGGTGTAAAGAGCTGAACTCACCAATGAAAATACACAGATGGCAAGCAAACAATAAGATGCTCAAACTCATATATCTATAAGGGACTGAAAATTACAACAATGAGTTAGCATGGCCCAACTGTATTTGCTGGAACTGATAAACCATTTTTAAAACATGACAAATGATTTGCTGGAGGAAAAACAGGAATTCATTCATTGCTTGTGGAATGTATGATGGTATCGAAAAAAATAACTCTTTCTAATTCTCAAATTAATCTGAAAGCCTGTTTCTCTCTTTTACCATGCACAGAAGGAGTTATCTGGTCTACCTTTTGATGACAGACCCAAGATCTAATATAATCTGTGCATCTGGCAGCAGCCACTGGGATCCAGGCAGAAAGAAGATGGGCCCCACAGTCAAAATCATCTAAGATCTTTTTAATAGAGAGTGACTTATGCAGGTTACCCACAAAGGATGGCAGAGTTCCCGGGGATAGTAACAGGAACACACTCTCAGCAGTCCTTGGGAATGGAGACATTAACTCAACCTGAAATTTAAAAGGAAAATTTACATTTGAATGTTGACTTTATAGTGCTGCAAAAGTAAAATATGGCAGGCTCCTTTAAGTATAGTGCCACAATTTAACTAAGGTCACCAAACAGATGTCTGAACCTCTGCAAAAAGACCCAAACTACAGTAGCAGAAATTGCCTTCTGCACTACAGTTGGGACAGAGGAAGTTTTATGGACCACATCTCATGAAGCAAGTGCTTCTAAGATTATCACCCCATTTTTGAGAGGCAACGAAGGACCTAACAACAAGCTCTCATCATAGCAATATAAATTTGATTCAAATATGAAAAGGTAAGGTAAAACTGGCCAGTCATGGTAGCTCCTGCCTGTAACTCCAGCAATTTGGGAGGCAAAGATAATAGGAATATTTGATTTCAGAAGTTCCAGACCACCTTGGGCAACATGGAAAAACCCCATCTCTACTAAAAATACAGCAGGGCACTGTGGCTCAGGCCTGTAATCCCAGAACACTGGAAAATCATTATGGGCAAATCGCTTGAGGTCAAAAATTCGAGACCAGCCCAGCCAACATGGTGAAACCACACCTCTACTAAAACTACAAATATTAGCTGGGCATGGTACTGGGGTGTCTGTATTCCCAGCTACCCAGGAGGTTGAAGCAGGAGAATCATTTGAACTCGAGCACAGTGGTTGCAGTGAGCCCAGTTCGCGTCATTACACTCAATCCTGGACAACAGAATGAGACTCCATCTTAAAAAATAAAAAAGAAAGAGAGTAAAAAAAAAAGAAATAGATAATTTGCTTCATGTGGTGGGGCATGGCTATTATCCCAGGTTCTTGGGAGGTGGAAACACAAGAATTGCTTGAACCTAGGAGGTGATGATTATAGTGAGCCGAGAGCACACTAGTGCACTCCAGGCTGAATGACAGAATGAGATTCAGTCTCAAAAAAAAAAAAAAAACCACAAACAAAACATAACGTTTTGTGTAGTGCTTTTCTAGTATATCTCATATTTGAGTATGAAGGCAGAGAAAGTTCTCACATTAAGTTAAACTTGCAAAAATAAACTTTATATTTAAAATATTTTAAGTGCCTCAAGTTCCAGCATCATCTTCAGATAGCAAGCACAAGAATAAACAGAAAAATAGAGAAGCAATGGCATGTGATAAGTGCAACTCATTTTGTTTTAATCTGTGAGATAACACTGTAATGACAGAAATTTTTAGCTGCTGCTGATGCAAGAGAGAACAGGTTTATGTAGAAATAAACTAATAATATTGGTCACCTGCTATGATCTAGGCACATAAGTTAGCTCACTGAATTCCCTCATCAACCATATACTGTGGAAAATATCCTAGAGTTTATTACTGAGGAATATGGAGTCAAAGGGCCTGCCCAAAGGCACACAAGCCATTGGACAAACAGATAGGATTCAAGAAGGACTCTAAGACTCAAAGCACTATCTACACTTTCCTATATGATGTTGATTGAAATTAAGAACTATTGAGTTAACTTTAGTCATCCCCCTCTTTGCCATAGAAATGGCAGTTTATACATCTATAGAGGAAGATTTTGGATAAATTATGTATGACTAAAATTTTATATATTGCTTAAAATCTATTTCAAAAAATACGCTAAATTATTATATCAACTTATTACAGAAAAATTACAGATTGATTGAGTTCCTCCTTTTTTGGATTAATAACTATGAGCTCCTCTTGCAAGTAAACAGCTTTTCCTGAAAGAAAGAGCCTTTTAAACACTATAATGTTTTCCTAGTGAATACAAAAGCTATTTAGTATTTATGGCCAGTATGTCAGACTTAATGACCATTATTTTATAATATGAAATAGCCTGTGTAGGGGACAAAACTTTCACAGGCACGTAAGAAATAAGCCCTGCTACCTAACAGGTGATGTGAAGCTATAACTGTCATCTATGTGGTGAAATTCCACCATCTACACCTGCTAACCAGAGAGGTTTTAACTTCCTTGAAGAAGATCTCTCTGTTACTATATTGTAAAAGACAACATTGTTATTTTATTGTAGGTATTACTTTGTTATTTTCATTTTATTTAACTTGAATCTATGTAGATATATTATTAAAGCATAATTTGTTATATAGATGATGGTAGTAATTTATAAAAGAAGGGTTAGTCTCCACAAGATAGTAGTAAAAGGGGAAGCCACACACTGGGTGTCTGGACAACATCAAATAACCACTCTTGGTGTACTCCCAATAGTCTAATTGAAAATTCCAACAAAACGTCACCTCTCCTTACAGGCAATTTCCTAGAAATATATTGAAATGTAAATTATCTGAAGATTGGGAAATTACTCACCTTCCAGTCTCAAGGGCAATATATACAAGAATTCGGAAGGTTATATATAAAGTAAAAATATTATAAATAAAAAATATATTAGAAGCCAATGAAATAAGAAGCTATGTCACAGGAGACAGAGAAGTTAGAAAATTTTTCATAAGTGAAATACAAGGTATCTCATGGTGAAAAGTAATATGTGCCAGAGGCAATAAGTTACTGCCAAATTCTTGATAATTACTGATTTATCAAAATATATTGAAATAAACTTTAGGAAAATATACAGAAAAAATAACTGGCCTTTCTGATTATATAAAATATTAAAAATAATGGTTTGTCGAAAGGCAGTGAAGACAATTTTTTTTAATTTTACATAATTAAAATTAAAAAAAGTGAACTATCAAAGAGACAATTAAGCATAAGCTATGTTTTTTAAAATATAAAACAGACTCAAATTGGGAAGATAATAACCTGTATCAAAACTGAAAACTACGGCTTCTTACCCCACCCAAACCTCACCTTTATTCTTCCTTTGCTCTTCAATCAGTCAGTTAGTTCTAATGATGTAGTCATCCATTAATTCAAGTTGATACCTGAGAATAAGAACAATTAAATACAAGTTTCACAGTTACCTTTCCAAAAAGACGTTTATCAATGCAGAAGCTTATCTATGGTACAGGTGCACCTGAGGGCACTGAACACGACATTGTGTGAACTTCAAAGTCCCTAAGTACTAAAGCCTGGGATATGACTTTCAAACATAAAATGTACAGTAAAACCCTGCCTTCATGTTATAAATCACAATCATACAAAATGGAGGGCTATGTTGTCATAAGGCTACTGAAACCATCGTTTTCCTCTTGGTCTCAACTGACCCAAAGAGCATGGAAGAAAATTAAATTTACACAGCACACAACAGACTCAATATCAAATGATAATTAGACAGTCACTTTCAACCCACCTGTACTATCTGCCCAGCACAAACAAATGTAAGGACTTCTGTGCCCAGGGACCAAGCATGGTCCGGGGAAGCAGGTGCTAAGAGTATTATATCTGAATTAGTGATACCCAAAGGTACATTTTCACGGTTTTACTTTTCTATCCCAGACTTTAGAAGCTGCCTTTTGATTCCAAAAGTATAAAGAAACACTCCTGTGGTGAACAGTCCCCAAACTCCAACACTTGCCAAAGTCATACGAGAACTCCCAAAGCCAGAAAGACACCATGCAGGCCATGGAAGCTGTCACAATGATACCAAATAGTTGACTAGCTCCATAACTATATAAAATTAACAAACATATTTTAATACATGTTTTCCTAAAAATTCAGTAACTACAAAAACTTCATATTAGCTACTTTAATATAGAAACTGACAAAAAATTGGGTGAAATGCATCAATTTCATAAGTAAAAAATAATGTTTGTCATGGTTAGGAGTAATATGTACCAGAGGCAATAAGCTGCTGCCAACTTCTTGACAACTACAGATAAATCAAAATGTATTGAGAAGATATTGGAAATTCAGAATCTATTAAAAACACTTTTTTAAAATAGACTTTTTATATAGAATAATCTCAAGAAATCTTTGCAAGTTCTGTGTAATGGAATATTGATGATAAATTATGAAGTAGGCAATAAAAAGAGGCCAAATAAATGACCAGAGCACCTGAGTTGAGTCATTTCCTCCTGATACATTAACAGCAAATATTAACTGTGTACCTTTTATGTGTCAGATGCTTTCGAACCCATTGAAAAGTTATGACATGGGCATAATGTCTTAGCACTGAGGTATTACTCACTGATACGCAAGATCAGAGAAAAGAAAAGCCAAGGTAACCATAGTTGTCCATATTTTCCTTTTCCTATATCAATATTTGCCTCACATAGTTAATTTTAGCTCTTTTCCTTTGATTATGGCTTTGCAGAATCATGAAGCAATACAAGGCACATGTTCACTGACAAACAATCTGACCACTAAGTGTAATTTATACATTGTTAGATAGCCCCATCTTTGTGGCAGTATGAGGGGGGTAGGGGAAAAGTTAACTGAAAGTGATTACAATTCAAACTTTACAACTTATCAACTATGCAACCTCAGCAAGTCACAACGTGCCATTAAATTTAAAGCAAATCACCACCGTCGATAAATATTTGAGAAGCCATGAGTAAGAAGAACAGAGGATGTGCTTTTCCATACCTTATCTTTTAAAAGCTACCCTAACTCAAACGCAGGAAAGTATTGGTTATTAATAAACATATGCATTTTTTAAACACTAAAGTTTCCATAAAATGTTAATCATAGACTACTTCCTTAGTGTTTATTGTGTTTCTACCAATGTAATTTAAACCTTTTACTTCTTTAAATGTGCCAAACAATTACTTTAGAAGTTTGTTTTTTAGCTTTCGGTCATAGGTCTCATCAAGACACTTTGTATTCTGCTCCCATCTCCTAAGTCCTCAGTCATGCTTTTAGGTTTTTCTTGCTGGAGTTTCTGGGTTCTGAAATTAGCGAGAAACATAAAGTAAATAAACTATAATAGCTGAGTTAACAAATTTAGGAAAAACATCACGTGACATGGTTTTAGTTCAACAGACTAAAACTGCTACATGACAATTACTACTGGGAAGTAGAAGAAAAGAGCCAGAAGTCCTCAGTGTATTTTATGAACTGACCTAATTACAGTGTGTTGAAACTAGCAGAAGCAGTGGGCTGCGGCATATAACTGAGAAGAGTGAGAGGATCTCTGACTGAGGGGAGTCGGAGAGTCTCAAGAAAGAAGTGGTTTCTCATAGACCATAATTAATACTTAAACAATAGTTAAAGGTGATAAATTGTCCAAATCAATTCTGAGATGAAAGAATAATACTATTAGTTACAAAGTAATAAAAGTGCACTTACGGCCTGGGAGCTGTGGCTTATGCCTGTAATCCCAGCACTTCAGGAGGCCAAGGCATGTGGATCACCTCAGGATGAGTTCAAGACCAGCCTGGCCAAAATGGAGAAAGCCTATCTCTACTAAAAATACAAAATTAGCCAGGCATAGTGTCACATGCCTGTAATCCCAGCTAGTCAAGAGGCTGAGGAAGAAGAATCCCTTGAATCCAAGAGGCAGATTTCACAGTGAACTGAGATTGCACCATTGTACTCCAGCCTGGGCAACAAGAGCAAAACTCCACCTCTAAAAAAAAAAAAAAAAAGTGTACCTATGTATTTGAATCGTCTATAACGCTGTCTGTAACTCTGGAATTTAATTAATTATCTCATAGATATTTAAGGTACAATGTTTGTTTTTCTCACTTAATAGTCTATCAGCTTTAGTCAAGTGTGGTGGCCTTCCACTATAATCCCAGTTTTGCAGAATGCTGAGGCAGGAGAATCACATGAACCCAAGAATTTCAGACGAGCCTGGACAACATAGAACATCGTGTCTCTTAAAACCAAAACATCACCAACAAAAAAACCCTACAAAACAAAAAACTGTTGATGGAATACTGATCAAGTGCCAAAAGAGACAGAAACAGAAAGACGGGTCACTCAGGGCTTCCAAATACTGAAGAATAAAATGATCTTCATAGTAAGACTTCAAATCACCCATTGCAGCAATTCCCAAACCCAGGGAGATGGATTCACAAATGATGAGATCCAGCCATCCTGAGAAGTACTGCAAAATACTGACTAGTCTGAGATTTGACCCCGCCATCCCATTACTGGGTATATACCCAAAGGACTATAAATCATGCTGCTATAAAGACACATGCACATGTATGTTTATTGCGGCATTATTCACAATAGCAAAGACTTGCAACCAACCCAAATGTCCAACAATGATAGACTGGATTAAGAAAATGTGGCACATATACACCATGGAATACTATGTAGCCATAAAAAATGATGAGTTCATGTCCTTTGTAGGGACATGGATGAAACTGGAAATCATCATTCTCAGTAAACTATCAGAAGAACAAAAAACCAAACACCGCATATTCTCACTCATAGGTGGGAATTGAACAATGAGAACACATGGACACAGGAAAGGGAACATCACACTCTGGGAACAGTTTTGGGGTGGGGGGAGGGGGGAGGCATAGCACTGGGAGATATACCTAATGCTAGATGACGAGTTAGTGGGTGCAGCGCACCAGCATGGCACATTAATACATATGTAACTAACCTGCACATTGTGCACATGTACCCTAAAACTTAAAGTATAATAATAATAAAGAAAAAGAAAAAAAAAAAGAAAAAAAAAAGGATCCAGGTATTAGCTCCCTCTGCTGGTAATGTGGAAAGCAATGGAGAGGTAAACTACATTGATTTAATATATATGCTGAGAGAAGGGAAATGGAGTAGAGAAAATGTGGGTTAAAAAAAGTGATGTACTCTCTCTGCCCAAATGTTGATTCTCTTTTTTTCTCTCTCTCGATTAATTTACCTTTTCATTATTGCCAAAAAGAGAGTAAAGTACACAGTGAGTTGAAATAAAAAAAATCAAACCTATAGAAGTGAGAAAACAACATTAAATAAGATGGAGACAAATTTTTTAATGAGTTAAAATCCCTAAAGTATCTATCAGTGTCAATTAACAGCACATTCCCAGTGGAAAAGAAGGCTTCTTGTGCAAACTATAGACAGGTGAGCCTACTGTCAATCCCAGGTAATATACAGATGAAACATTTCTGGGCACTTAGAAAAAGTGAATAGCATTGAGAAATAGTTTCAGCAGTACAAGTCAAGTCAAACCACAATACTTCCTTTTTTTGAGCACAGAGCTGGTAAAAACCACAGGCCTGGATATTTGAAATTCAGTTACAATAAATAAACACACAAAACTATCAGACCTGAAGGAATGAAGTTAACTTTAAAATATATGATCTGTTGAAGTACTAACAGCGTCTCCAAATTTTCTGTATGATGTTACTGTGGCCTGGTGATAGCATCTCATTCTGCCTTTCATCTTAATGTTTAATATTTCAAAAGCACAGCCCTAGTGTTTGTTTCCTTAACATGTAACTTCTAATGCTGGGTGATATCACCTTTATAAAAAGGAATTCTATTTGTCAACAAATGTTATAATATTGAGACATATATTGAGTAATTATTTTTAATCTCATCATTCTGAATATCCAGAATAAACATGCATACCTACAGTTCAAAATCTTCAACTCTCTGCTTCAGCTCTGCTTTTCTTTCTCTTAACAAATCCATATCTTTTAGTAAAAGAAGCCTTGAGCATCAATTTTCTTGTTTCAATCTCTAAAAAAGCATTTATTTTTGCTGGTTTGTAGTGGCTCATGCTTGTGATCCTAGCCTTTTGGGAGGCCGAGGCAGGTAGGTCACGAGGTCAGGAGTTCAAGATCAGCCCAGCCAAGATGGTAAAACCTCATTTCTACTAAAATACAAAAGTTAACTGGCCTAGTGGCAGGAACCTGTAATCTCAGCTACTCAGGAGGTTGAGGCATGGAACTGCTTGAACTTGACAGGTGGAATTTGCAGTGAGCCAAGATCATGCCACTGCACTCCAGCCTGGGTAACAACACAAGACTCTGTCTCAAAAAAAAGGCATTAAGTTTTAGCAAGCAAGTTAATGAAAGCATAACAAATTTAAATGAATATGCTGCTTCGTAAATTCCAAAAACCGAAGTACAGAAATTGAGAATAACTATTTCACCTTCAAATAATTCCAACTCAGCTGGACATGGTGATCCACTCATGTAATCCTAGCCCTTTGGGAGGCCAGAACAGGCTGATAACTTGAGGTTAAAAGTTTGAGACCAGCCAGGCCAATATCATGAAACCACATCTCTACAAAAATTACAAAAATTAACTGGGCATGGTGGTGGGCAGGCATCTCTAATCCCAGCTACTTGGGAGGCTGAGGCAGGAGAATCACTTGAACCTGGGAGACAGAGGTTGCAGTGAGCTGAAGTAGTGCCATTGCACTCTAGCCTGGCAAAAGATTAAAACTGCATCTCAAAAAAAAATTCACTTCAATGTATTCCTCAACTACCTATTCCAGCTGCATAAGTATTTACTCTCTCAGTTTCTGTTAAACTGTGTTTCCATATATTTTTAACATGCCTTGTGTAATTTATACTACATAATTAACATCTCTCAGTCCCTTATGTATTTTTTTGAGACTGGGATCTGCTCTGTTGCCCAGCCTTGAGTGCAGTGTTTTGATTTTGGATAACTGCAACCTGTGCCCCCCAGACTCAAGTGATTCTCCTACCTCAGCTTTCTGAGTAGCTGAGACTACAAACACGCACCACCAAGTTCAGCTAATATTTTTGTAGAGATGGGGTTGTGCCGCTGCCCAGGCTGGTGTTGAATCTCTGGGCTCAAATGAGATCACCATGTCAGCTTCTCAATGTGCTAAAACTACAGGCATGAGCCACCACACCTGGTCCCCTTAACTATAATTTTGTAAGTTCTTCAGGAAAAAAAAAAATAAATGTACATTCAGAAATAAAACTCCAAAAGAATAAAATCTCCTTGGTTTTTAATGGTGGTGCTGTCTGAATGTTTCAGTTCATGAGTCATTGAGTTCATGGGTTATGAGTCATAATTCAGAGTTAGAAAGCTCATATGAACTTGTAAATGAAGGAGCCAACCTTCCACTTATGTCCTCACAGAGCAATAAATTACTAACTACCTATCAAGAAGCACGCTGGGACTGGATACAAAAGTGTAATCAGGTATAGTCCTTATCTCTGAAGATCTCACAGTATAGTCAGGGAGAACCAATCACACTAAGACAGGATAATTTTATAACTCAGGTAAATAAAGACCACATTCAGGAATGAGCCCTCAAATGAGTTTCTAAGTGGGAATCATGGAAGGCATTGCAGGGGTGACATCCAAGCTGGGCCTTGAATGACACTGTGGTTTAATCCGGGAGAGAAGGGGATTGATATTCCAGGTGACGAAATACAGGCATGGTGGTTTTTATGGGAATGACAATCTTCCTCAAAGACTTCAGATACTCACAGTTGAATAAACAGAAATCTAGTTAGTCACCTATCCTGAAGATGAAGTTATTAGTCTAAACACAATAGAATCATCTCAAAGATCTGTGCACCCAACATTCAATTTTATAGCTGAGGTAAGCCCTATTTCCAGAAATGAGATAGAAAATTTTAGAGCATGTGCCCTTAGCATTAAACAACCTATGTCTCATTGAGAAGCTCCAAGCAAGGGGGAAGACTTCCTACTTTTAACATCCGGCAGCAGCAGTTTTAGATGTATGTTTGAAATACTGCTGTATTTCTTAGACTGTTTGGTCTAAGACACACACTTGGAAAAGAAATAAGATTTCTTAAAGGAATAGTTAGATTCCCACTTACCAACACAAACTCCCTGTCACTCCTCATCCTCTTCATATCCTTCCCAATTGCTTTACCAGTAATGAGATCAAATGGCCACATGGATGACCCTAGGGTCCCTAGTGACTCCTTCACCCCAGGGATATTTACTCTTGCTCATTTCCATGGCTCCATCCAATGGCAGCACACTGCCTTTGATTTCCAGTCTCCACTTGAAATCTCATCCTGTAGTTCTGCACTCCTGGACCATCTTTATTCTTCCACATGCCAGTCTCTCCAGATCTAGTTCTTGATCGCTGAGACTACCACTCAACACTCCCTTTCCACCTAGGTCACCCGCCCCCTGCCCTCTCCTCTGCTTACCTTCACTACACAGGAGAACCACAGATTCTTCAGTTAAATAGGCTGTCTTTCTCAAGGAAAATGAATTATGCTATGCAAAGCTCCACTTCCAGAGCATCTCCATATTTCCAACCTCAGTGAAAGGGGCAGCAGAGACAGACCCTTGCAATTCCTCCCCAGAGCTAGAACAGAAACACGTGGTTTTGTCTCTCTCAACTCCAGGTTACCCCAACCATAGCTGGGCCTTCAGTACAGGTAATCAGTCAGCTCTCCTTTAAAGAGCTGTTCTTACCTTACCCACAGGAACTACTCTGCACCTCCAAGCTGCTCCTGAAACCCTTAATCTATCTCCTTAATTTGTCTAAGAAGATGAAGCTTTTCAGCGAGTGTTTCTCATAATTCCAACTTGTCGGGTCACCTATGCAATTCTTCCCTTTCCACCAGTCTCAAAGGATGAAAATCCGTGTATCCGTTTCAAGGCCCACCGTTCTTTTATTTGCAATCTTGGCCGCAGTCCCTACTGCTCTTCTGGGGCCTTTTTCCATCAATTGTAACATCTCATTCCTGGATCCTGAGTCAATCCAATAATAGCTGTAGGAAATATCCACCCAGTAAAATATTTGTAAATACCACCTCTTGGTGCTTTTGGTTTCTCTCAAAGATACTCTTTCTATAAAGAATGAGGCTTTCAGATTCTGCTTGACAAATCTTCTCCAAATCACTTCAGAACATAGCTAATTCATTTGCATACTCTCTTACCACTTCCATTAAAAAACTTCAACTGCAAATTGATTACAAAAAAATAAAAGTTCCAATCATTATACCATAAGAACAGCAACAAATTCTCCCTCCACAGCTAGGCTCCACATTAATGCTCTGTCCAAATATGTTATATTTATTTAATCTATAGTTTTATATCATTTACTGTATTTGTAGAACTCAATCAAAGGTATAAACAAATCTCATCAGAAAAAAATTGATATGCACAGCACTGAAGTATTCCATTTTTTATTAAAATTTCCAGGTATTTTTTTTTTATTATACTCTAAGTTTATACATAAGATTAAACCTTTAGATGACAAACAAAAACATGACTCTTGTTAACTGTAACAAGATAAACATTACCTTTTGACACATTCCTGTCAGAAGTTGCTTTTCTATTTCTCCGTATCTTCATTTAGCTTTATTTCTAGAGACTCAAACTTTATATGCTGAGGATAAGCATCTGCAATTGATCATCAATAAGCTGAAGATTGCCAGCTATTAAAAAGTAACAGGTCAAATTAGGACACAGAGACATGGTGAGGTGTGCAAGAGGCCAGTCTTCTGGTTCAAAAATAAAGAGTATACTTTGGGGAAAGCATGGGTGTCTGCAATTTACTCTGAAAAAAAAACAAAAAAAGATGTAAGATAGATGAATAGATGAACAGAAAAAAATGATGAAGCATATATAATGCAAATGTAATAGTGAAATCTAGATGATAGGTATGTAAGTGTTGACTAGAATTGTTTCAACTTTTCTCTATGTTGAAGATGCTTAGGCATTTACCAGCAACCACTGTGCTCACTAATTTAATTTAATTTAATTTTTTTTTTTTTTTTTAGAGACAAGGTCTTGCTATGTGGCTTGCCCAAGTTGATCTCAAACTCATGGCCTCAAGTGATCCTCCTGCCTGGGCCTCCCGAAGTGCTGAAAGCACAAGAATTAGTCACTTTGTCTGGTTATAGCTTTTAAGAATACATCTGAAGAAAGTCCTTCCTAAGCATGATACAAAACCTGGAGGCAATAGGGAGATATCTTTATGAACCTCACTACATAAACATTAAAAATTTACATATGGCATAGAATAAACAAAAATAATACACTGGAAAAATAGTTACAATAATATGCAGGCATAACCAGGACTAAAGTTATTACATTTTAATATTGTTAAACAGCTCTTACAAATCAGTTAAGACAAAAGAAAACAAAACTGAAAAATGGGAGAAAACATGGACAGATTATAGAAAAAATAAAATGTCAAACAAAGATGAGAAATATTATCACATGTTGAATAAACATGAACAAAATCACAAATGCAAGTTAATAAAGCAAAGAAACCATTATTTTCCCTGTAACACCATTAAGATTAATACTTTGATAACGCTAATGTTGGCAATGGAGTGGAAGTGTAGCTATCCTCATTCCCTTGGGAGAGGTATGTGTCAGTGCTTATATATATTCAAAATGCAAGTGTCTTTCCATCTACTCATTCTAATTCTATGAATTCACACAGCTGTACTTTTACAGGTGCACAGAGTGTGCACATTGCATATTGGTTGCCTCTATTGGAAAAGGGCAAACAATAAGACAACTAAATTTCCATCAATGGGGGTTAAATATTTACTTTAAAAACAATTAACTCAATATACTGCTACAGATAGATATATTGGTGGATAGAAAAAGCAAATTGCCTACAGGATCTATAATATAATTTTATTTGATTGTATGTTTAAATTAGAAATACATAGACTTTTAACCTCAATTCTAGAAAAATAAGAAAGAAACAAAATTATTAAAATTCGAGTTATCAGTGGAGAGTGAGATTAGACAACACAGGCAGAAATTGCTAGTTTATTTTCACTTTATATCCTTCTGAATAATCTGAAACTTTGTTTTAAACCAGAAGCATAAATTATTTAAGAAATTTTTAGTTTCTTGAAACTAAAAGTATTAGTCAGCTCAGCACTTTATCCCCATCCCCATCGTCTTCACTGAGGGGATTACAGTTAGATTGCTTTGACAGTCTGCATTCTATCCAGGGATCAGAAGAACAAAATTTGCAAATATTAATGTTTCTTCATGGTGATGTAAATTATGGGCTTTCATATTGTTCTTTTCATTCTCCTAACAGTGTCTTTCACAGAGATGATTTTAATTTCAGTTAAGTCTAACATCTATTTTTTTCTTTCATATATCTTGCTTTTGGTGTCATATCACATCGTGAAACTCAGGATCACATAGACTTTCTCTTGTTTTTATTTGGAAATATTATAGTTTTGCAATTTACATTTAGGTCTACGGTTCATTTCCATACATATGAATATTCAATTATTTCAGAGTCACATGTTGAAAAGACCATATTTACTCTATTGGATTGCCTTTGCACCATTGTTAAAAAAATCAATTGACAATATTTGTGTGAATCTATCTCTGAATTCTCTATATCTATTCCCATTGATGTATGTGTCTATTCTTTTGACAATCATAGATAAGAATTTTAACTTTCTAAAAGCAAAGGGCCAATGTCCACATTTTCTTTCCTCGTCCAAATTTTGTGTGTATCATTATCTGCATATCTTTATCTCTCAAAGGAAATATTAACAGTGGGAAGACTGGGTGACTAGAAGCTAGGAGGAAAGTACTGTGACTATTCAACAGTTTGGCATCCCCTGAGAGTAGGTATACTAAAATAGGATAGGATGACATGTCTCTGAATCAGGGAACAGAAAACTGTTCAGTACAGTATATCTTCCTATAAGTTTTCTGTTGTCAAATTGGAAGCCACAAATTTTTAAAATAATTTTTCTTTTACCAGAAACTATTTTATTGTTAGCTAAGAATTCTATCCAAATTTTGACACTAGGATGACTGACATGTTTTCTACTCATCATTTTTCTGACTTCTGGAAATTTTACGGGGATGCTAGGTAAAGCTTGTAATGGTTGTCAGCCAGATAGATTTCTGAACCAGATGGATTTAAAGAGACTGTGTAAAGATGGAAAAACTGTTTTTAAAGATAATGTATTATAGTAAATATATAGATTATTTCATGTTGGGGGCCCAGTCAGGCTGGTGGAAAAAATATTAAAGACTGTTATAGTAATAGCCACAAACCATCTTGGAATGTCAGAGAGTTTGCATAACTTCGGTAACAGATATGGTTGAATATGGTTGAAGGCGACCTGCTTTACCTTTAGTTAAATAGATTAAAGTACTAACAAAGGAATGTGGGGAAGTTATGTAGCTAGCTTTTTTACTCATGTGGTCTTAAGACTAATCTTTGAGGTACCATGGGTGCTTAAGTGCTTTCCACTCGGGAATACCACAATGTCAATTACGCCCCAGTGGTGTTGACTAAAGTCTTTCTCAATTAATCTTTACTGATAAATGCGAGTCTCACTAGCTGGTCAGGGCCAAAGTTGCAACTGTTTTACAGCACTCTACTGGAGTCTGTAAGTGGCTCAGACACCCAGCTTCAGCTGGACTGGGAAAGCAGAACATCTGTGTATCAGTGCTGGTGCCACAGTGTGAGAAGTGTGAGAAGTGCTACCACAGTTTTTTTTATTTTCTTTCTTTCTTTCTTTCTTTCTTTCTTTCTTTCTTTCTTTCTTTCTTTCTTTCTTCCTTCCTTCCTTCCTTCCTTCCTTCCTTCCTTCCTTCCTTTCTTTCTTCCTTTCTTTCTTCCTTCCTTCCTTCCTACCTTTCTTTCTTTTTTTCTCTTTCTTCTTCTTCTTTTTTTCTTGTTAGGGGTAAAATGGAATCTAGCTCTGTCACCCAGGCTGGAGTGCAGTCATATGATCTCAGCTCACTGCAAACTTCACCGCCCGGGTTCAAGTCATTATCGTGCCTCAGCCTCCAGAGTAAATGGGATAAAATGCACTTACCACCACGACTCAAACATTTTTGAATTTTTAGAAGGAGTGGAGTTTCACTGTGTTGGTCAGGCTGATTTCAAACTCCAGAACTTTAGTGATCCTCCTGCTTTAGCCTCCCAATATCCTGGGATTACAAGCATAAGGCACTGTTCCTGGCCCGTAGATTATTCCTTAATATCTCTTCAAGCCATTCATTTTATTTTGAAGTAACAATTAAGCAATAGATAGCTGCTATATACCTTAGAATCATGCTGTTCATTATGATAGTCACTTTGCACATGTAGCTAATTAAATATAAATTAAAAATTTAGTTATTCAGTTACACTAGCTACATTTAAATTGCTCAATAGCCACAAGAGACTGGCAACTACCACATTAAACAGTATAGGTAAAGACGTTTCCAACATCACATTGAGTTATTCTGAATGGTGCCTAGAGCACAGACTATAGAATCATTTACCTACTGAATTTCAGTAGGGATGGTCTAGTGTGCAGGCAGCCTAGAAAGTCTTGTTCTTCAATTTATTTATCTTCTACTAACATTACTACAATGAAGCCTGGCAATTAAGTCACAGACTCAGTGGCTGGCAGAAAGTATGTACTCAAATGATTAAGTTCTGAATGAATGAATGAATGAATAAATGTCTCTGTCAGGATGATAGAAATGCATGCAACAGACAAAATCCCAAGGGCGTAGGAACACAAAAGGACCATTACTAATTCACATATTATTTTAAATGTCCTAAGGTATAACTAAGCATAAAAGGCAAGTTGCCAGCTTATGTTCATGCTACAAAGTCCATTATGAAGTCTAACCAATGGTCCAGAACTCACAGTAGTTACAAACTATAAAAGTTTTGTATGAAGGCCAAAATTAAGGCAATTAATCAGGTCTGTGTATACACTTAAGAGCAAAAGTTATATTACACATTACTAAACACATACTTTATTCATTAATGGCATATTAATGCATTTAATACTCTTATCAATTGCACTGGAGAGGCATACCTAGTATACAAAGATACTTGGCCTAAAAGACAGTTTTTTGAAGGTTTTTTTTTTCTTGGAAATGTTCCCAACAATGGATATTTTTACAGGCAGTATCTTTCAGTGTGTCTGTAGGACCCTTGATATTGTCTGAAGTTTTCTCATTTGACTATCTAAAAGTTATTATGAAAATGAAAATATGGGAATAATGACCTGCAGAACAGGTGAAATATTGCTTACAAAGTAAGATATGGTCAGCAAGGAAAAACATGTAATTTAAATCAAATTAAATTTCTTACTCTTCTCACTCAAAATTAGCTTCATTCTTTTAGAAGGAAAAGTACGTAGAAAAATCTTGCTACAGTTTAAAAAGATATAGGCTCCTACCTTTATGGGTTTCTTTATCAAACTCTGACACATGTTAAAAAATATTTTACTTTTATAAAGCTATTTGTTTATAATTAACAAACCAAAATAGATTATAGAAACTAAATAAACTTACCAGTGAGTTCTAGGAACTGGAAGTAGGGTGAATTTTTACTGAGTGCAATCAATCCTGCATAGTAAATACCTTAAGAAAATAAAAGGTTACCAATTAGACATGGTTTTATAGCAGTGTTTAAATCACACATTATAATGTTTATGAATATGAGATTGAGAAACATCCTTCAGAAAAAAAAACTAAGATTACAAAGGAAAATTGAAGCTCTTTCTTACAATGTTAGATAAAATACAAAAACACATTGAAATACCTTTCTTGATTTTGCAATCAACCTCTAAGTATTTTACATCAAAGGTCATTCAATTACAATTTTTTAAAAGTAGTGTTTAAAATATAAATAAGCTAAATTTTCATTGTCTTTGCAATCATGATGAAAGTGCACTTAAAATACTGTTAAACAGACATTTTGGGCAGCTATTTATATATATTCTACAAAAGTATATATCAATTATTATGTCTACCCTGAGAACACTGATATGTTTTCAACTGGATTTCCTTTAAAGAAAACATTTTGAATTGGCATTTTATATTTGTAGAAACAATTAAGTTGTTTCAGTGGGATGAATTCCTGTTATAAGAATCATACAATTGGTAATTACACTTACCAAAAAAAAAAAAAAAAAGCAGAATATGGTGGTGTGTGCCTGTAATCCCAGCTGTTTGAAAGGCTGCAGTAGTATAATTGCTTGAACTCAGAGGGCAGTTGTAGTAAACTCAGATTATGCCACTGCCCTTCAGACTTGGTGACAAAGTGAGACCCTACTACTAAAAAATGAATATGTAAATAAATACATTCATAAAATGGTTAAGTACAATTTGGTTGCTTATGAAGAAACAACACATTTAAAATTTTCATTTCAATACTGTACTAAGGCCAGGCATTTTGGTTCACATCTGTAATCCCAGGACTTTTGGAGGCTGAGGCAAATGGATCACTTGAGATCAGGTGTTCGAGACAAACCTGGCCAACAAGGTGAAACCCTGCCTATACTAGAAATACAAAAATTAGCCAGGTGCTTGGGTGAGCACCTGTAATCCCAGATGCCTGGGAGGCTAAGGTGAGAGAATCGCTTGAAACAAAGAGGTGAAGCTTGAAGCCCAAGATCATACTACCGCACTCCAGCCTGAGCAACAGAGTGATACTCCATTTCAAAGAAAATAATTACAATATGAAGCTTCTTGTGTCCTTAAAACTTTGAAATATGAAAGTTTTACATAACTATACAGAAAATAAAGAAAGTAAAAACATATACACAACACTAAGAGTGAAATTTAATGTAAACGATAGACTTTGGCAATAATGACTTTTCGGGGAAGGTTTATCAATTGCAGCAAATGTACCACCTTGATGAAAGATATTGACAGTGGGAGAGACTGTGCATGTGTAGGAGCAGTGGGTGTATAGGAATTCTTTGTACTTCTCCATCAACATGGCTGTGAACTAAAACCTGCTCTAAAAAACAAAGTCTACAAACAAACACCCCCACCCCCACCACACACATATTCACAGGGAAAGTTTTCTCTATATACATTTAAAATAATAAATTGGGATGAATGTTCAATAATAATGGTGAAGAAATGCAGTTAAAATAATTAGAAATGTACTAAAAATGATATGAATGTCTCTTTATTATTTGGAAACTTTACAGAGTTTTAAGAAATATGTCACATAATTTACTTGATTCACCTCTCCACATTCTGGTTCCTCATATGTAACACACAAAATATCTGTTGTGTGTCTATTGCAGTGCCAAGCTCAGAGCAGACATTTAGCAGATTAGCAGAGTTTTATAAACAGCAAAGAAAATAGATAAATCAATTTTAGCTCTTAAACATTTAGAGATTGTAGATCACAATCTTACAAAAGACTAAATGTGATACCAAGAAATTAATTTCAAATTTAGTAACCACTTGTTATATAAAAAATGTATGCAAATTCAAAGAGGAATGAGAAATGCACCTACTTTAAAAGCAGTTACCTATAATGCGCATGTTACAGTCAGCCAAGAAAAAAATCTTAATAAAAAGTACAAGGATACAGTTTCAAGATGGCCGAATAGGAACAGCTCCAGTCTACAGCTCCCAACGTGAATGATGGAGAAGACGAGTGATGTCTGCATTTCCAACTGAGGTACTGAGTTCATCTCACTGGGGCTTGTTCGACAGTGGGTGCAGCCCACCAAGCATCAGCTGAAGCAGGGTGAGTCATCACCTCACCCAGGAATCACAAGGTGTTAGGGAATTCCGTTTCCTAGCCAAGGGAAGTTGTGACAGATAGCACCTGGAAAATTGGGTCACTCTCACCCTAATACTGTGCTTTTCCATTGGTCTTAGCAAAGAGCACACCAGGAGATTACATCTTGTGCCTGGCTTGGAGGGTCCCACACCTATGGAGCCTCACTCATTGCTAGCACAGCAGTCTGAAATCAAACTGCAAGGCAGCAGCGAGGCTGGGGGAAGGACACCCGCCATTACTGAGGCTTGAGTATGTAAACAAAGCAGCTGGGAAGCTCGAACTGTGTGGAAACCACCACAGCTCAAGGAGGCCTGCCTGCTTCTGTATACATCACCTCTGAGGGCAGGGAATAGCTGAAAAAAAGGCAGCAGAAACTTAAATGTCCCTAACCGACAGCTTTGAGGAGAGTAGTGGTTCTCCCGGCACAGAGTTTGAGATCTGAGAATGGACAGACTGCCTCCTCAAGTGAATCCCTGACCCCTGAGTAGCCTCACAGGGAGGCATCCCCCAGTAGGGGGCAGATTGACACCTCACACGGCCAGGTACCCCTCTGAGATGAAACTTCCAGAGGAACGATCAGGCAGCAACATTTGCTGTTCAGCAATATTCACTGTACTGCAGCCTCCACTGCTGATAACCAGGAAAACAGAGTCTGGAGTGGGCCTCCAGCAAACTCCAACAGACCTGTAGCTGAGGATCCTGACTGTTAGAAGGAAAACTAACAGAGAAAGGACATCTACACCAAAACCCCATTAGTATGTCACCATCAGCAAAGGCCAAAGGTAGATAAAAACCAAAAAGATGGGGAAAAAACAGAGCAGAGAAGCTGAAAATTTGAAAAATCGAGTGCCTCTCCCACTCCAAAGGAATGCAGCTCCTCATCAGCAATGGAACAAAGCTGGACGCAGAATGACTTTGATAAGATGAAAGAAGAAGGCTTCAGATGATCAAACTTCTCTGAGTTAAAGCAGGAAGCTTGAACCCATCGCAAAGAAGTTAAAAACCTTGAAAAAGTTTAGACAAAGAGCTAAGTAGAATAACAAGCATAGAGAATTCCTTAAATGATCTGATGGAGCTGAAAACCATGGCATGAGAACTACATGATGAATGCACAAGCTTCAGTAGCTGATTCGATCAACTGGAAGAAAAGCTATCAGTGATTGAAGATAAAATGAGTGAAATGAAGTGAGAAGAGAAGTTTAGAGGAAAAAGAGAAAAAGAAATGAACAAAGCCTCCAAGAAATATGGGACTATGTGAAAAGAATAAATCTACATTTGATTGGTGTACATGAAAGTGGCGAGGAGAATGGAACCAAGTTGGAAAACACTTTGCAGGATATTATCCAGCAGAACTTCCCCAACCTAGCAAGGCACGCCAACATTCAAATTCGGGAAACACAGAGAACACCACAAAGATAATCCTCAAGAAGAGCAACTCCAAGATTCATAATTGTGAGATTCACCAAAGTTGAAATGAAGGAAAAAATGTTAAGGGCAGCCAGAGAGAAGGTGGGGTTACCCACAAAGGGGGGCCCATCAGACTAACAGCAGATCTCTTGGCAGAAACTCTACAAGCCAGAAGAGAGTGGGGGTCAACATTCAACATTCTTAAAGAAAAGAATTTTCAACCCAGAATTTCATATCCAGCCAAATTAATCTTCATAAGTGAAGGAGAAATACAATCCTTTACAGACAAGCAAATACTGAGAGATTTTGTCACCACAAGGCCTGCCCTACAAGAGCTCCTGAAGGAAGCATTAAACATGGAAAGGAACAACCAGTACCAGCCACTGTAAAAACATGACAAATTGTAAAGACCATCGAGGCTAGGAAGAAACCACATCAACTAATGCGCAAAATAACCAGCTAACATCATAATGACAAGATCAAATTCACATGTAACAATATTAACCTTAAATGTAAATGGGCTAAATACTCCAATTAAAAGACACAGACTGGCAAATTGGATAAAGAGTCAAGACCCATCAGTGTTCTGTATTCATGAAACCCATCTCACATGCAGAGACACACGGATGTAGGAAGATCTACCAAGCAAATGGAAAACAAACAAACAAACACAGGGTATGGGTTGCAACCTTAGTCTCTGATAAAACAGACTTTAAACCAACAAAGATCAAAAGAGACAAAGAAGGCCATTACATAATCGTAAAGTGATCAATTCAACAAGAAGAGCTAACTACACTAAATATAAATGCATCCAATACAAGAGCAGCCAGATTCATAAAGCAAGTCCTTAGAGACATACACAGAGACTTAGACTCCCACACAATAATAATGGGAGAATTTGAGACCCCACTGTCAACATTAGACAGATCAATGAGACAGAAAGTTAACAAGCATATCAAGGAATTGAACTCAGCTCTGTACCAAGCAGACCTAATAGACACCTACAGAAGTCTCCACCCCACATCAACATAATATACATTCTTCTCAGCACCACATCACACTTATTCCAAAATGGACCACATATTTGGAAGTAAAGCACTCCTCAGCAAATGTAAAAGAACGGATATTTTTACAAACTGTCTCTCAGACAACAGTGCAATCAATCTAGAACTCAGGATTAAGAAACTCACTCAAAACCACTCAACTGCATGGAAACTGAACAAACAGCTCCTGAATGACTATGGGGTACATAATAAAATGACGGCAGAAATAAAGATGTTCTTTGAAACTGATGAGAACAAAGACACAACATACCAGAATCTCTGGGACACATTTAAAGCAGTGTGTAAAGGGAAATTTACAGCACTAAATGCCCACAAAGAAAGCAGAAAAGATCTACAATTGACACCCTAACATCACAATTAAAAGAAATAGAGAAGTGGAGTGGTTCCAAGATGGCAGAATAGGAAGAGCTCCAGTCTACAGCTCCAAGTGTGAGCGAATCAGAAGATGGGTGATTTCTGCATTTCCAACTGAGCTTTCAAGAGAGTAGTGGTTCTCCCAGCACAGAATTTGAGATCTGAGAACGGACACACTGCCTCCTGAAGTGGGTCCCTGACCCCGAGTAGCCTAACTGGGCGGCATCCCCCATAGGGGCAGACTGACACTTCACATGGTGGGGTACCCCTCTGAGACAAAACTTACAGAGGAATGATCAGGCAGCAACATTTGCTATTCAGCAGCATTCGCTGTTCTACAGCCTCTGCTGCTGATACGCAGGCAAACAGGGAATGGAGTGGACCTCCAGCAAACTCCAACAGACCTGCAGCCGAGGATCCTGACTGTTAGCAGGAAAACTAACAAACAGGAGGGATATCCATACCAAAACCCAAATGTACATCACCATCATCAAAGAACAAAGGTAGATAAAACCAAAAAGATGGGGAAAAAACAGAGCAGAAAAACTGAAAATTCTAAAAATCAGAGCATCTCTCCTCCTCCAAAGGAATGCAGCTTGTCACCAGCAACGGAACAAAGCTGGATGGAGAATGACTCTGACAAGCTGAGAGAAGAAGGCTACAGACGATCAATTTCTCTGAGCTAAAGGAGGAAGTTCCAACCCATCGCAAAGAAGTTAAAAACCCTGAAAAACGATTAGACAAATGGCTAACTAGAATAACCAATGCAGAGAAGTCCTTAAAGGACCTGATGGAGCGGAAAACCATGGCACAAGAACTACGTGACAAATGCACTAGCCTCAGTAGCCAATTCAATCATCTGGAAGAAAGGGTACCAGTGGTTGAAGATAAAATGAATGAAATGAAGCAAGAAGAGAAATTAGAGAAATTCTTTTTATTAAGAAATGAAAAAAGCCTCCAAGAAATATGGCACTATGTGAAAAGACCAAATCTATGTCTGATTGGTGTACCTGAAAGTGACAAGGAGAATGGAACCAAGTTAGAAAACACTGCAGGATATAATCCAGCAGAACTTCCCCAACCTAGCAAGGCAGTACAACATTCAAATTCAGGAAATACAGAGAATGCCACAAAGATAATCCTCGAGAAGAGCAACTCCAACACACATAACTGTCACATTCACCAAAGTTGAAATGAAGGAAAACATGTTAAGGGAATCCAGAGAGAAGGGTCAGGTTACACACAAAGTGAAGCCCATCAGACTAACAGCAGATTTCTTGGCAGAAACTCTACAAGCCAGAAGAGAATGGGGAACAATATTCAACATTCTTAAAGAAAATAATTTTCAACCCAGAATTTCGTATCCAAACCAAACTAAGCTTCATAAGTGAAGGAGAAATAAAATCCTTTACAGACAAGCAAATGCTGAGAGATTTTGTCACCACCAGGTTCGTCCTACAAGAACTCCTGAAGGAAGCACTAAACATGGAAAGGAACAACCAGTACTAGCCATTGCAAAAACCTACCAAATTCTAAAGACCACTGATGCTAGGAATAAACTGCATCAACTAACGCGCAAAATAACCAGCTAACATCATAATGACAGGATCAAATTCACACATAACAATATTAATGTTAAATGTAAATGGGCTAAATTCTCCCATTAAAAGATAGAGACTGGCAAATTGGATAAAGAGTCAAGAGCCATCAGTGTTCTGTATCCATGAAACCCATCTCATGTGCAGAGACACACATAGGCTCAAAATAAAGGGATGGAGGAAGATATAACATGAAAATGGAAAACAAAAAAAGAAAAGCACAGGAGTTGCAATCCTAGCTTCTGATAAAACACATTTTAAACCAACAAAGATCAAAAGAGACAAAGAAGGCCATTACATAACGGTAAAGGGATCAATTCAACAAGAAGAGCTAACTATCCTAAATATATACATACCCAATACAGGAGCACTCACATTCATAAATCAAGTTCTCAGAGACATACAAAGAGACCTAGACTCCCACACAATAATAAATGAGAGACTTTAACACCCCATTGTCTACATTAGACAGATCAACGAGACAGAAAATCAACAAGGATATCCAGGAATTGAACTCAGCTCTGCACCAAGTGGACCTAATAGACATCTACAGAACTCTCCACACCAAATCAACAGAATATATGTTCTTCTCAGCACCACATTGCACTTATTCCAAAACTGACCACATATTTGGAAGTAAAACACTACTCAGCAAATGTGAAAGAACAGAATTATAACAAACTGTCTCTCAGACCATAGTACAATCAAACTAGGACTCAGGATTAAGAAACTCACTTAAAGCCTCTCAACAACATGGAAACTGAACAACCTGCTCTTGAATGACTGCTTGGGTACATAACGAAATGAAGGGAGAAATAACGATGGCTTTGAAACCAACGAGAAAAACGACACAACATACCAAAATCTCTGGGACGCATTCAAAGCAGTGTGTAGAGGGAAATGTATAGCACTGAATTTCCACAAGAGAAAGCAGGAAACATCTACAATTGACACCCTAACATCACAATTAAAAGAACTAGAGAAGCAAGAGCAAACACATTCAAAAGCTAGCAGAAGGCAAGAAATAACTAAGATCAGAGTACAACTGAAAGAGATAGAAACACAAAAAACCCTTCAAAGAATCAATGAATCCGGGAGCTGGTTTTTTGAAAAGATCAACAAAATTGATAGACTACTAGCAAGACTAATAAAGAAGAAAAGAGAGAAGAATCAAATATACACAATAAAATATGATAAAGGGGATATCACCACCAATCCCACGGAAGTACAAACTACCATCAGAGAATACTATGAATACCTCTACACAAATAAATTAGAAAATCTGGAAGAAATGGATAAATTCTTTGACACATACACCCTCCCAAGACTAAACCAGGAAGAAATTGAATCTCTGAATAGACCAACAACAGGTTCTGATATTGAGGCAACAATTAATAGCTTACCAACCAAAAAAAGTACAGGACCAGACGGATTCACAGCCAAATTCTACCGGAGGTACAAAAAGGAGCTAGTACCATTCCTTCTGAAATTGTTCCAATCAATAGAAAAAGAGGGAATCCTCTCTAACTCATTTTATGAGGCCAGCATCATACTGATACCAATGCCTGGCAAAGACACCACAAAAAAAGAGAATTGTAGACCAATATCCCCGATGAACATCGAGGCAAAAATCCTCAATAAAATACTGACAAACTGAATCCAGCAGCACATCAAAAAGCTTATCCACCATGATCAAGTGGGCTTCATCCCTGGGATGCAAGGCTGGTTGAACATATGCAAATGAATAAATATAATCCAGCATATAAACAGAACCAAAGACAAAAACCACATGATTATCTCAATAGATGCAGAAAAGGCCTTTGACAAAATTCAACAGCTCTTCATGCTAAAAACTTTCAATAAATTAGGTATTGATGGGATGGATCTCAAAATAATAAGAGCTATTTATGACAAACCCACAGCCAATATCATACTGAATGGGCAAAAACTGGAAGCATTCCCTTTGAAAACCGGCACAAGACAGGCAAGCCTTCTCTCCCCACTCCTATTCAACATAGTGTTGGAAGTTCTGGCCAGGGCAATCAGGCAGGAGAAGGAAATAAAGGGTATTCAATTAGGAAAAGAGGAAGTCAAATTGTCCCAGTTTGCAGATGACATGATTGTATATCTAGAAAACTACATCATCTTAGCCCAAAATCTCCTTAAGCTGATAAGCAACTTCAGCAAAGTCTCAAGATACAAAAGCAATGTGCAAAAATCACAAGCGTTCTTAGACACCAATAACAGACCGAGAGCCAAATCATGAGTGAATTCCCATTCACAATTGCTTCAAACAGAATAAAGTACCTAGGAATCCAACTTATAAGAGATGTGAAGGAACTCTTCAAGGAGAACTACAAACCACTGCTCAACAAAATAAAAGAGGATACAAGCAAATGGAAGAACATTCCATGCTCATGGATAGGAAGAATCAATATCGTGAAAATGGCCATATTGGCCAAGGTAATTTATAGATTCAATGCCATCCCCATCAGGTATCAATGACTTTCTTAACAGATTTAGAAAAAACTACTTTAAAGTTCATATGGAACCAAAAAGAAGCCTGCATTGCCAAGTCAATCCTAAGCCAAAAGAACAAAGTTGGAGGCATCATGCTACCTGACTTCAAACTACACTACAAGGCTACAGTAAACAAAACAGTATAGCACTGGTACCAAAATAGTATAGTACTGGTACCAAAACAGATATACAGACCAATGGAACAGAACAGAGTCCTCAGAAATAATACCACACACCCACAACCATCTGATCTTTGACAAACCTGACAAAAACAAAAAATGGGGAAAAGATTCCCTAGTTTATAAATGGTGCTAGGAAAACTGGCTAGCCATATGTAGAAAGCTGAAACTGGATCCCTTCCTTACACCTTATACAAAAATTAATTCAAGATGGATTAAAGACTTAAATGTTAGATCTAAAACCATAAAAACCCTAGAAGAAAACCTAGGCAATACCACTCAGGACATGGGCATGTCTAAACACCAAAAGCAATGGCAACAAACGCCATAAGTGACAAATGGGATCTAATTAAAGAGCTTCTGCACAGCAAAAGAAACTACCATCATAGTGAACAGGCAAACTACAGAAGGGGAGAAAATGTTTGCAATCTACTCATCTGACACAGGGCTAATATCCAGAATCTACAAAGAACACAAAGAAATTTACAAGAAAAAAAACAAACAACCCCATCAAAATTGGTCAAAGGATATGAACAGACATTTCTCAGAAGAAGACATTTATACAGCCAACATACACATGAAAAAATGCTCATCATCACTGGCCATCAGAAAAATGCAAAATGAAACCACAATGAGATAATATCTCACACCAGTTGGAATGGCAATCATTAAAAAGTCAGGAAACAACTGGTGCTGGAGAGGATGTGGAGATATAGGAATACTTTTACACTGCTGGTGGGACTGTAAGCTGGTCCAACCATTGTGGAAGACGGTGTGGTGATTCCTCAAGGATCTAGAACTAGAAATACCATTTGACCCAGCCATCCTATTACTAGATATACACCCAGAGGTTTGTAAATCATGCTGCTATAAAGACACATGCAACATATGTTTATTGAGGCACTATACGCAATAGCAAAGACTTGGAACCAACCTAAATGTCCATCAATGATAGACTGGAATAAGAAAATGTGGCACATATACACTATGGAATACTATTCAGCCATAAAAAAGGATGAATTCATGTCCTTTGTAGGGACATGGATGAAGCCAGAAACCATCCTTCTCAGCAAACTGTCACAAGGACAAAAAACCAAATACCACATGTTCTCACTAATAGGTGGGAATTGAACAATGAGAACACTGGGACACAGGGAAGGGAACATCACACACTGAAGCCTGTCGTGTGGTGGCGGGAGGGGGAAGGATAGCATCAGGAGATATACCTAGTGTAAATGATGAGTTAATGAGTTCAGCACACCAACATGGCATGTGTATACATATGTAACAAATCTGCACTTTGTGAACTTGTTCCCTAGAACCTAAATTATAACCAAAAAATCATAAAATAAAGTAGAAGATACATAAAAAATGTTCAAAACTGAACAGGAAGTACATTACCTTTTATTTTGCCAAACCAATTTCTGGAAAGAAAACAGAAAGCGAAGACTCATAGCCACATCTTTGTTGGTGATCGGCCACTAAAGAGTTAGAGGCTTTTAGTAAGAGGGAGTTCCCTTGCATTGAAATGGACTGAAGCTACTATTCTCCATTCAATACAAGGTGCATCAACTCATGAATTAGCTGGTTTTGAATTTGTGTCTTGCAAGGGAGGAAGGAAGAAAGAAAGGAAAAAAAAAAGAAAGAAAAGAAGGAAGGAAGAAAGAAGGGAGGAAGGGAGAAAGAGGAAAGGAGAAAGGAAGAAAGGAAGGAGAAAGAAGGAAGGAAGGAAGTCAGTCAGTCAGTTAAGGTAAAAAAAAATCAGTAGGATTTTCTCAGTAGAGATATACACAGATGTGTTACATTCATTGGAAATCTTCCTTTTATTTCCATAATGTTTCTAGATCCACATCCAGAAGTTAGGAAACTTCCCCTGCAAAACTCTTACCCCATAGACAAGAAGGCCAGTGTGTTCTAGAAAAATGTTTCTTTCCTCAGCTTCCAAGTGAAACTGATGGTTAGCCAGACCCATTTGCAGACTCTTAACTTCCCTAGAAGGTGATTTCAGAAGCTTACGCTTGAGATACAAAGTATGAGGAAAAATTCTGCCAGTTCATCACACTTCTGTGGACTGTTGGAAAATATAACCAAAATATTCGACAGCAAGGGACTGTTTGTATGTTACAAAAATATCCAAAGATAAGTCTCTTACCTCTAAAAATGAGGATTTCAAGAAAATTCTAAGGAAACAGAGAAATGCTCACACCATATAGTTTAAAATGTTTAAACACCATAAAATAGTTTAAACACCATAAGTTTAAAAATGACATATACACTGGATATATCTACATATTTTAAAAGTAAAATATGCTTTTTAAATGCATATTGCAATAAAAATACGTTGAGCTAATCCTATTTCTAGCTGTTAATCAAAATATAAAGTATATCTACAGATATTTGCTGCTCAAGTTAAATATTCAGTCACATTACATAGTTTAAAGATGAAAATGTTCATTCCTCAAACTATTAAAACAGCACACTAGTGTTTTCTACATGGTGTGAATGTCCCTCATCCAAATGTATTACTAACCCACTTGTTAGTTTAGGAATCTGTAAGCCAGATTTATAAAACAGGCCTAATTTTACTAAAATGTGTTCATTATATAAATGCTTTCGGCTATTTTATTGTTGGTTCAATTAATTATTTGAACATTCTCCTTTAGGTCGACTCAAATGCAACATTTTCTCAATAGTTTCAAAGAGACCGTAATATTTCAGGATAGACTTTTGAAACCCAAACATTGGATGAATTTAAATGTGAACTACTTTTTACAGGTTACACTTTTAAAAGTTATGGAGCAAATGAACGTACATCTGATACTTGAGTGTACCCTGTACACCCCAATCCTTCAACATTCTGTGTAGCTTTCTGTGCAGCTTATTTTGACTCAACACGTCAGACATGGGGAGAAAGGTGGACTAGAAGACAAAATGGTTACAGGTTACCTGGGGGATAGAGGAAAGGTGAACGACGGAAAAAAGATCACTGGTCTCTGGGGACACCCTGAGTGGCCTAGCAGGGAAAGGGGTATTAAGGACTATCAACAATACTTCATTTCTACTTGTCCCCGATGAGGGGCAGTTGTGTATTCCTGAGTCATCAGGCGCCAGCTTCCTCCAGTCACTAGCTGCCTCCCAAGCCGCCTCACTGGCCCCGCTATGGGCCGAGTTGACTGCCCAGTCCAGGCTGCAAGGCCAAGATGAGGGGGAATCCCTGGCCTCAGAGACATGCCTCTGTCCCAGGTGAGGAGCAAGGGTGCTTAACACTCTCAATCTCACAGTCCCAAATAGGTTTTCTATCAAGCATGTGAGCCTCCTCTCTTCGTGGTTCTGAGGCATGGATGAGGACCGTGACCTAGGCACAATTCAAAGGCGCTTGGAGGGCTGGGACCCAAAGACTAGGGATGGAAAGCAGTGAGGCAGGACCGCGAGATTACAGCCCTCACACCCCATCCTGCCCCTCCTGGAGACCTACAAAGTACAGTCTTCCCGTCTGAAGAGACATGGTGCATGCACTTTGTTGCCTAGCACCCGACAGAAGCTCCACCCATATCTCGGGAGAGCACATCCAGGGTATCCAAAGAACTGCCCCCGGGGAAATGTGGCTGAAGCAGTGGAGCGCGGGACTCCACAGCTGGACTTAGATTGTCTTTCCCTCGTCGGCCTCTCGCTGCAGGTAGGGGATGGAGTGAGTCGAAACAGGCGTTTTGAGTCCCTGTGGGACTTCACTGGCCCTGCGTGACTTCACTGGCCCTGCGTGATGGCGCAGGCTGGTGCCATATCTCCACTCCTCCCTGGGGTAGCCAGATCAGATCTGCCACGTCCTGACCGGCTCATCCATGCTCTAAGCACTTCCACCTGCAAGTGTCTGCCCTCTTTGGAGTCTGCTTTCGCGGTTGACAGTCGAACATTCACCTGACCCAGGGTTTCTTAATGAAGCCACTGTTGCCTTTTGGAGCCAGCAGATGTTTTGGGGGCTGTCCTGGGCATTGTAGATTTAGCTGTGTCCTCGGTCTCTATTTTGTCAATAGCACCTTCTCCCCCAAGCGAGACAACCAAAAATGTCTCCAGACATTGTCAGATGTCCTCTTGGAAGCAAGATGTCTCAGAATTGAGATCCACAGAGCTAATTTTTTCTGAGTAGCCACCGTTGTGTGTTGTGAGGAAAGATGAGCCTGACCTCATGACGCTTACATTAATTAAAAAGAAAAGGAACCAAACCTCTCAGAAGCAATAATGAAAATATTACAGCTAGAGAATTGAGCAAGTGCTAAGATCACATTATAAACTGAGTAAAGAGTTTAAAGGGGAGGTGGTTGAAGATGGAAGTGATCCAGATCATCTCTCAGAAAAAGTGTAAACTCATCAGGACCTTGATGCATAGGATTTGCGTGGTGCACTAAAAGAAGAGCTTTGCAGGGGAGGGAAAATGAGCAAAGGAATAAAAAACAAATAAAACAAACAAACAAAAATCCAAGACCTTCTGGGGGCAGTGAGGAATCTACCCCGAGTCCAGAGTTGTATGCTGGAAATATAAGCCTGAGAAACTATCTAAGCCCTGTGAGGACAAAATTTGATCAGTGACACCTTTGTACATGACATTGAAAAAGTGTACAATGAGTTTTGATCACTGGCTGTGAAAAACTTAAAGTCTTTAAGAAGCAGTATGAGTGACAGGACTTCTTAGCACGTGGAGAATGTGTAGGCTTTTGTTGGAAATAATTGAGGAGGAGGAGAAACTTAGTTGAATTTTAAAAAATAGGTAAAGGCTGCAGGCAGAATCAGGGAGAACATTCCAGGGATGATGACAGAAACAGTAGTAACTCTGAAGTGGATACAGTCAAGGTGGATTTGGGGGCAAAAAAAGTAAATGACAAAACTCTAGCGAAGGTGGAACAATAGGCCACTGTAACAAATTATTACAAATTTAGTGGCTTAATACAAGTGTATCATCTTACACTTCTGTAACATACGAGTCCAATAGAGGTCTTGTTCAGCTAAAATCTAAGTGTGCACAGGACTGTGTTCCTCTTGGAGGCTCTAGAGGATAATTTGTTTCCCTGTACTTTCTAGCTTCTAGGGGCCTGCTGCATTCTTTAGCCATAGCCCCTTCCTCTGTTTTCAAAGCCATCAACATCACATTGCTTTTCTCCTTCTTCTGTCACTTCCCCCTGACTTTCCTCTTTTGCTTCCATCTTCTACATTTAAGGTCGTTCCAATGGCATTGATCAAGCTGCATGATCCTCGGCAATCTTCCTATCTTAAGGTCAGCTGCTGAACAACCTTAATTTCTCTTTGCCATGAGCCCTCACATACTCACAAGTTTTAGAGATTTGGATGAGGGCATCTTAGAAGAGAGGTCACAATCTGTTTGTTCCTCTCAGCTAGACATTTGAAAACTATCTTAGATTCTCCTCTTGTCCTCCATTTCCCAATTTAATCTATTATCTAATTCTATGTAGCTACGTCCTCAGGGCCTCTGGGACAAGTGTTCCTTGGAGATTCTTCAAAGGCCCTTATTTAAAGCAACAGAAAAATCGAGAAGACCATGAATACACATTCATGCCAATGCAGGTATGTCAGTCATGGCTGTTGCTTTATTTGCATTATGTGTTGGAATTCTAAGTAACACTTGTTTTGTTGGTGAAGGAAATATGGAGATATCACAGAAATTTTATTTTAAAAAGTTGAAATTGGGCTGAGCATGGTGGCTCATGACTGTAATCTCAGCACTTTGGGAGGCTGAGGTCTGGAGATCTCTTGAGGCCAGGAGTTCAAGACCAGCTTGGGCAGTATGGCAAAACCCTGTCTCTACTAGAATTACAAAATTTACCCTGGCATGATGGTGCATGCCATTAATCCCAGCTACTCAGGAGGGCGGAGGCAGGAGAATCTCCTGAACTTGGGAGGTGGAATTTGCAGTAAGCCAAGATCATGCCACTGTCTTGGAATCTTCTATCTAAACCTGTGCTTTCTATTACATAGCCACTATCCTCATGTGGCTCTTCTTCTTTAATTAAAATTCAGTTCTACAGTTACAGTAGCCACATTTCTAATACTTGCTGGCTTTCATATTGGACAACACAGGTGTACATTTGCATCCTTGGAGAAAGTTCCACAGATTGGACAGTGCAGAATCCTAATGTGTGTCTCACCTTTGTCCCATACCCTCAAGTATTTGCTAAGTGTTGCAGCTATTCCCTTCCCTTTCTGTGACAACGGTGTCATTTTCTCCCAGGGTTTCAAATTCTCCCACTTCACCTGACAGTTTTTCTTTGCAAAATTGACTGAAAAACTATAGCCTTCTTGCTTCTTCAGCTGTTTACAAAAGGAAAACCAAACTGACAACTTACGATAAACATGGAATGTATATAAAGTAAACTCCGTCTGATCTTCTGCCCATCTGTGTAGTTGATAACAGCACCATCATGCAATTGTTCTTTGAGTTCCCTTCTGTCTGTCCTCCTGCTGATTTAGCACCATGCTGCTCACCCATTTGTGGCTTTTCATATAGGGCTGAGTGTGGGGATGCATGTTATCTCCCTTACACACACACTGACACTTCTACATCCACACCCACACACACATGCAAACCACCCACACACAAACACACACATTTGCCCCCCTTCTTTTTAGCACTGCTGCTTCAATGCTTGTGCAGAAGAAGGTAACAAGCACTTCTTTTGGCAAACTTCAGCTCTAAAATTTAGCCCAGTAATAATTCATGATATCATTATTTACTTTATTCAATTTTCCACTGCCCATCCTTTCTCCCATAACCTTCCCTGGAGAATTATTGCCAATTCCTCTAGTTTTTCACGGCTTTTGTATCATTCTTGCTTGTCTTTGTTACCCAATTTTTCTTCCTCAATCTGTTTTTCATCTGTTTTCTAAAGCAGGGGCAAAGGTTTTCCTTGGAAGACCAGATAGTGAATATTGTTGGCTCTGTGGGATAACCTGATTGCAGGTACTTAACTCTGCCTTTGAAGGGTGAGAGCACCTTAGATGGTAGTGAGAAAGTGAACAAGGCTATAGTCCCCCATCTCACATGATATTTTAAATCCTACTTCATCATGCCCAGAGTCTTCTATTTGCCTTTCCTTCTACAGTCATAACCCTCCAATTCTAAAGTTAAAGCTGCCAGCTGTGCCTTGATTTTATTTATGAAATGCATCATTCATTAGCACATGCATATCATGTTTCTTCTGATTCCGTTTTGTGTACGTGAATCAGGAGAAGATCCAGTGAGGCTTGATGAGCCTTGGTTTCTAACCCACCTCAGATGTATCTTCCAGGAGTTTGACTAACTCCTCGCTTACTTGATATCCACCCCATGTTGAGAATTTTACCAGTCACCACTTCTCAGTTTGCATTTGGCCTTCCATGTTATTCTAGAAAATATTAATTGAGCATGTCCTGTGAGTCAGACACTGTGCTGGGTACTTTACTGTAAGGTGCTACAAAGTTACTACTATTCCATAAAGAAGAAAGCCAACAATAGGTTAAGTGCTCCCTGTGGTAACATTGCAAGTAAGTAGCAGAGCTACATAGAACCTAACTTTTTTTTATTTCAATCCTCTTGAGTTAAAAATACACACAGTGGGGTTACCATTGAGTATATCCATCCATGTTCCCTCCCATCCGTCTTTCATCTATATTTTCATTATCTGTGCTAGAAGCCAAGGAATCACTTGTAATTTTTCCAGCGTTTCTCATGAGTTTATTTCTTTTGCGAATCTGTTTGTTGTTGTTGTTGTTGTTCTTGTTTGAGGCAGGATAGTTCAGCTTACTGTTGTGTCATGTAATTCTCTCCTGTCAGGCTCCAGAGTAGCTGGGACTACAGGCAGACACCACAATGCCCAGAAATTTTAGTATTTCTGTAGAGATGTATTTTTTTGTAGAGAAGTGTTTCTTCTTTCATGCTGTTGCCTTGGCTGGTCTCAAATTCCTGGACTCCAACAGACTGTCTGCCTCAGCCTTCTGAAATGCTGGGATTACAGGCATGAGCCATTACACCTGTCCCAATCTGTTAAACTTCTTTGTAAGATCTCTCAGTACCTCAGAATATTTTCCTTTATCTATCATTTCTTTCATCCTTTATAGAATAGAAAACTTCCTTTCTTATAAATTGGTGTATCAAGAGGCATATCATAGTCTCTTTTATTAGCACGGACATGTATTTATAACACACATAGTTCAGTTAGAAAGAAAAAAATAGAGCACAAAGTGCTGCATTGCCTCACTTTTCTAGGTAAGTCACATGAGAGAAAGCTGATTTTAGCTTCCCCCAACAGATGCCTTATGGAAATTTCTAAGGCAAGCTAATTAGTTTCATCTTCTCACCACTCTTTATGATCCTTAACTTACCATCTACCTCTGTTAAATCTTCTAAGTGTCAGTGCTGGTGCTAACTGCTCCAGTCCAAGTGAAGCCTAGCTTACTCCACCAGACACTCAGGGTCCTTTCAGTTGAATGTGCCATACATTCAGATCGTGAGAATATTGTCTGTGATGTTATGTTAGAGGTCTTCTGGTTTTCTTATGGAAATACATAGGATTCTATAAGAAATATCACAATTATATCATTTGTTTATTCCAGAAGTCATGCATCTTCACTAGTATGTGGGGAATGGTGACAAGCTTACTGGCGTATTTCAGGTTTAAGTTAGAAAGCAAAACAAAAGAAGAATTTTACATTTCCCATTGGTCATCTTTGAATTTCAATATTGACTGCTAAAAATATGCACTATTTTTTGCTTCATTAGGAGCCATATATTGAAGACCATGTCTAGGAGCTTCTACTTTGTAATTGTTGGCCACCATGATAATCCACTTTTTGAAATGGAGTTTTTGCGAGCTGGGAAGGCAGAATCCAAAGTGCATGTGGAAGCTTAGTTTTCATAGGAATTTTTATTCCATTGTAACGATATAGTGTAATATGATTTTAGAACTGGAAGATCTGGACAGAGGAGGTAAATGAAATCCAGCACAATTAAATGAGGCTTGCACTGGAGTCCCAGAGACTGATAGCAGTCAACCAGGGCATATCCTGGGAGTTGTTTATTTATACTTTAATTCAGCACAGACTAGCATGACCTCTGACTTTCCCATGATGTTCAGTTCATTATGTCATCCATCATGAATTGCTGCCACTTGAACACTTAAAACCCTAGTCCACCTGTAGCAAGTTGTGGCTTTGAAATGTCATCCATCAGTGTTCAGGCAGTTTTCATGAATCATATTTTTCATCAGGACCTATTGTGTTCCATCCATTAAAATTCAGGCAGTTTTCATGAATCATGTTTTTCATCAGGACCTTCGGGGTTAAAAAAGACCCTCAGTGACCCTCAGCAGCACTTCCTGACTGGGTGATTCATGTATGCTTACATCCCCAGTGACTACCTTGGCAATGCACAGGAAGCGCAAAAGCAGTACCAGAGATGATGACACCTTTTTTTGTCAAGAATGTTTCCAGAAACCAGGCTTGGCTCGAGAACATGTTATTATTCAGAGTAAACCAGCCCATAGATTTTTGACGTGAGAAGAGCCCAGTCCTTTCCAATTTATGTTTCTAATACATTGCTGGCATGTTTGCACTGTTTCTCTCAAGCACACAAGTCAGCTTTAATGACATTTGAGGAAGTGATATTGTAAGTTACTTGCAATGTATAATGTTTAAGTGGGTGATACTTTTTAACTATTCAGGACTTGTCACCAAAATATGGTAGACAGGATTATGTGCCAGGTATTATTGTGGCATTACTTTCTCATATTATGAGAACACTGCTCATTAAAACTTGTTTTGAGTACTTGTAGCAGTATTGCTTTCTAGGATGCAGCTACTTGTATATAATTTCTGTGCATTCCACTGGCCCTGTTGTGGAGAAAGGAGCAGACATAAAAATAATTTGTTGCATATATTGATTTTAATTCTTTCTCCTGCTACCATTCACCTTGTTAAAGCATTTTCACAATTTGCTTCTAATCTTTCAGAATTGATCATCATTGTAAAAGAAACCACTGCTTGATCGAGACACGAAGAGATCCATTTATCTAAAGATTCACTTAGGTTTGTCATGACAATGTGAGTGAAGTGAAGCATGCTTTAGATGTCCGAGGGATTTTGGGAAAATGGGCTACCCTCCTCCAGCCCAAGATTGGGAACAGCTTCTTTGGCAAGGAGGCTGTCTCTGTTTCCTGTGGCTGTTGTAACAAAGTACCAAAAGTGTAGTGGCTTTGGACATCAGAAATGTATTTCCTCATTTCTGAGGGCCACTGTCTAAAATCAAGATATCAGTGGTGACAAGATTCCTATGCAGGTCTTAAGGTAAGAATCTGTTCAGTTTCTCTCCCAGTTTCTGGAAGTTCCCTGGCTTGTAGCAGTGTAACTCCAGTCTTTCTGTGTCATTTTTCTCCCTTTGTGCATATCCAAATGTTCCTTTTTTTACTAAGTACATGAGTGGTTTTATTAGAGGCTCACCCTACCCTAAAATGACCTAATCTAAAATAACCATATATACATGTAACCTATCCTTCCAAATGAGGCCACACTCTGCGGTACTGTCACTTAGGACATCAACAAAAGAATTTTGAAGAGAATACACTTCCACCCGTAACTGAGGTGTTATTTTAAAACTATATTTTTTAAAAAATAATTCCATATAATGTGAAAACAGATCTCTTTTATGTCTCTTGAAAATAACAAACAAAGCAAAATCAAACTTTTTTTTTCTGCGCAAGAAAACCATCTATAGAATTTACAGAATGAAATGTCGGCATTCTTCATTCCATAAGGATACATTAATCTGTTATTGCTCACACTGTCATTTATGACAACCGTCACTGTCTGCACCAGTTCATAGCTCATGCTGCTCTTGACCTCATAGACGAGAACATGTGGCTTTTGAACAACATGTACTTGAAAAGTGTGGACAAGTCCAATAACTGGTTTGTGCCAGCACTCATTACTGCAGAGCATACCTTTTTCCCTTTTTAGTAAAGATAATTAACTAAAGTTTGGGTTTACAAACTAGAGGAACATGGAACACAGATGCCTGGCTCTGAGTCTGTGTGCTTCAAAATTTGTATGAATGTAAAAGTTTCCATTTATGGGACTACTTTGTTTTATTAGGGGAGAAAATATTTTGTTGAACAGCTAATGATTAAACTAAGTCTCATACCCCCAAAGAGTTTATCTGATTCATATCAAGGTTGATGTTACATTACTTTTAGCTTTTTTCTTTTTTTACTTAGAATGCTTATATTCTTTTTCTGGTAAAACTAAGCTAATTTTGAACCCAGTTAATGTATTCAAGTCTTCCATCAGAAATACATGGAGTGTGACTAATTTGAAGAATATTGTATCAATGAACTGGTTGCTTTTTGTTTTTTACTTCTAAGAAAAATATTGCCTTAATTATGTCACATATGAGATTTATTATGCTTCATGGCATAAGGCAAGAAGATGGAATAAATCACTTCCTTACTGATGTTCATGATTAACATATAAAAGTAAGTCATGTTCTATAATTTTAAAAATCTGATGATGGAAAAAAAGATTTGATCTTTGTCAGGAAACTGGCCTTTTCAAGTAACCCACTTAGGCTGCACAGCTTACGTTTCAGACTGCGTTTTCTCATAAGAACTGTGTCTGTCAACTCCCTTGGCAGGCAAGTCTTCACAGCGAGTTGAATGGGTATTTAGGAACACAACTTACAATAGTTATTTGTAGAATATTGTGAAGGCAAATTGTTTTCATGTTTTCCCTCTTAGTGTTCATAGTTGATTTCATCAGGGAACCATAAAGATAGCAAAGAAGCAGCCTACATAAGGGAAAACTAATTAAAATTTAATCTGAAATGTTTCCATCTATATTCTTTTTGTTTAATTATATTTTAAGTTTTAAGGTACATGTGCACAACGTGCAGGTTAGTTACATATGTATACATGTGCCATGTTGGTGTGCTGCACCCAGTAACTGGTCATTTAACATTAGATATATCTCCAAATGCTATCTCTCCGCCTCCCCCACCCCATAACACGCCCCGGTGTGTGATGTTCCCCTTCCTGTGTCCAGGTGTTCTCATTGTTCAATTCCCACCTATGAGTGAGAACATGCGCTATTTGGATTTTTGTCCTTGTTATAATGTGCTGAAAATGATGGTTTCCAGCTTCATCTATGTCCCTACAAAGGAAATAATCTCATCATTTCTTATGGCTGCATAATATTCCATGCTGTATATGTTCCACATTTTCTTAATCCAGTCTATCATTGTTGGACATTTGGGTTGGTTCCAAGTCTTTGCTATTGTGAATAGTGCTGCAATAAACATACGTGTGCATGTGTCTTTATAGCAGCATGATTTATAATCCTTTGGGTATATACCCAGTAATGGGATGGCTGGGTCAAACGGTATTTCTAGTTCTAGATCCCTGAGGAATTGCCACACTGACTTCCACAATGGTTGAACGCGTTTACCGTCCCACCAACAGAGTAAAAGTGTTCCTATTTCTCCACATCCTCTCCAGCACCTGTTGTTTCCTGACTTCTTAATGATCACCATTCTAACTGGTGTGAGATGGTATCTCACTGTGGTTTTGATTTGCATTTCTCTGATGGCCAGTGATGGTGAGCATTTTTTCATGTGCTTTTTGGCTGTATAAATGTCTTCTTTTGAGAAGTGTCTGTTCATGTCCTTCACCCACTTTTTGATGGGGTTGTTGGTTTTCTTCTTGTAAATTTGTTTGAGTTCATTGTAGATTCTGGATATTAGCCCTTTGTCAGATGAGTAGATGGCAAAAATTTTCTCCCATTCTGTAGGTTGCCTGTTCACTCTGATGGAAGTTTCTTTTGCTGTGCAGAAGCTCTTTTGTTTAATTAGATCCCTTTTGTCAATTTTGACTTTTGTTACCATTGCTTTTGTTGTTTTAGACATGAAGTCCTTGCCCATGCCAATGTCCTGAATGTTATTGCCTAGGTTTTCTTCTAGGGTTTTTTATGGTTTTAGGTCTATAATTTAAGTATTTAATCCATATTGAATTAATTTTTGTATAAGATGTAACGAAGGGATCCAGTCTCAGCTTTCTACATATTGCTGGCCAGTTTTCCCAGCACCACTTCTTAAAAAGGGAATCATTTCCCCATTTCTTGTTTTTGTTAAAAAAACAAAACAAGGTTTTGGTTGTTTTGTTTTTGTTAAAAAAGCAAAACAGGTTTGTCAAATTTCAGATGGTTGTAGACATGCAGCATTATTTCTGAGGTCTGTGTTCTGTTCCATTGGTCTATATCTCTGTTTTGGTACCAGTACCATGCTGTTTTGGTTACTGTAGCCTTATAGAATAGTTTGAAGTCAGGTAGCGTGATGCCTCCAGCTTTGTTCTTTGGGTTTAGGATTGACTTGGCAATGCGGGCTATTTTTGGTTCCATATGACCTTTAAAGTAGTTTTTTCCAATTTTGTGAAAAAAGTCATAGGTAGCTTGATGTGGATGGCATTGAATCTACAAATTACTTTAGGCAGTATGGCCATTTTCACGATGTTGATTCTTCCTACCCATGAGCAAGGGATGGTCTTCCATTTGGTTGTATTCTCTTTTATTTCATTATGCAGTGGTTTGTAGTTCTCCTTGAAGAGGCCCTTCACATCCCTTGTAAGTTGGATTCCTAGGTATTTTATTCTCTTTGAAGTAATTGTGAATGGGAGTTCACTCATCATTTGGCTCTCTGTTTGTCTGTTATTGGTGTATAAGAATGCTTGTGATTTTTGCACACTGATTTTGTATCCTGAGACTTTGCCGAAGTTGCCTATCATCTTAAGAAGATTTTTGGCTGAGACGATGGGGTTTTCTAGATGTACAATCATGTCATCTGCAAACAGGGACAATTTGACTTCCTCTTTTCCTAATTGAATACCCTTTATTTCCTTCTCCTGCCTAATTGCCCTGGCCAGAACTTCCAACACTATGTTGAATAGGAGTGGTGAAAGAGGGCATGCCTGTCTTGTGCCAGTTTTCAAAGGGAATGCTTCCAGTTTTTGCCCACTCACTATGATATTGCCTGTGGGTTTGTCATAAATAGTTCTTATTATTTTGAGATCTGTCCCATCAATACCTAATTTATTGAGAGTTTTTAGCATTAAGCATTGCTGAATTTTGTCAAAGGCCTTTTCTGCATCTATTGTGATAATCATATGTTTTTTGTCTTTGGTTCTGTTTATATGCTGGATTATGTCTATTGTTTTGCGTATGTTGAAGCAGCCTTGCATTCCAGGGATGATGCCCACTTGATCATGGTAGATAAGCTTTTTGATGTGCTGCTGGAATTGGTTTGCCAGTATTTTATTGAGGACTTTTGCATCAATATTCATCAAGGATACTGGTCTAAAATTCTCTTTTTTTGTTGTGTCTCTGCCAGGCTTTGGTATCAGGATGATGCTGACCTCATAAAATGAATTGGGGAGGATTCCCTCTTTTTCTATTGATTGGAATAATTTCAGAAGGAATGGTATCAGCTCTTCCTTGTACGTCTGGTAGAATTACACTGTGAATCCATCTGGTCCTGTACTTTTCTTGGTTGGTAAGCTGTTAATTATTGCCTCAATTTCAGAGCCTGTTTTTGGTCTATTCAGAGATTCAGCTTCTCCCTGGTTTAGTCTTGGGAGGGTGTATGTGTCAAGGAATTTATCCATTTCTTCTAGATTTTCTAGTTTATTTGCGTAGACATGTTTATAGTATTCTCTAATGGTAGTTCATATTTCTGTGGGATCAGTGGTGATATCCCCTTTATCATTTTTTATTGTGTCTATTTGGTTCTTCTCTCTTTTCTTCTTTATTAATCTTGCTAGCAGTCTATCGATTTTGTTGATCTTTTCAAAAAACCAGCTCCTGTATTCATTGATTTTTCGAAGGGTTTTCTCTGTCTCTATTTCCTTCAGTTCTGCTCCGATCTTAGTTATTTCTTGCCTTCTGCTGGCTTTTGAATGTGTTTGCTCTTGTTTCTCTAGTTCTTTTAATTGTGATGTTAGGGTGTCAATTGTAGATGTTTCCTGCTTTCTCTTTTGGGCATTCAGTGCTATAAATTTCCCTCTACACACTGCTATGAATGTGTCCCAGAGATTCTGGTATGTTGTGTCTTTTTTCTCATCAGTTTCAAAGAACATCTTTATTTCTGCCTTCATTTTGTTATGTACCCAGTAGTCATTCAGGAGCAGGTTTTTCAGTTTCCATGTAGTTGAGCAGTTCTGAGTGAGTTTCTTAATCCTGAGTTCTAGTTTGATTGCACTGTGGTCTGAGAGAAAGTTTGTTATAATTTCTGTTGTTTCACATTTGCTGAGGGGTGCTTTACTTCCAACTATGTGGTCAATTTTTGAATAAGTGCAATGTGGTGCTGAGAAGAATGTATACTCTGTTGATTTGGTGTGGAGAGTTCTGTAGAGGTCTATTAGGTCTGCTTGGTGCAGAGCTGAGTTCAATTCCTAGATATTCTTGTTAACTTTCTGACTTTTTGATCTGTCTTGTGTTGACAGTGGGGTGTTAAAGTCTCCCATTATTATTGTTTGGGAATCTAAGTCTCTTTGTAGGTCAGTAAGGACTTGCTTTGTGAATCTGGGTGCTCCTGTATTGGGTGCATATATATTTAGGAGAGTTAGCTCTTTTTGTTGAATTGATCCCTTTACCATTATGTAATGGCCTTCTTTTTATCTTTTGATCTTTGTTGGTTTAAAGTCTGTTTTATCAGAGACTAGGATTGCAACATCTGCCTTTTTTTGTTTCTCATTTGCTTGGTGGATATTCCTCCATCCATTTATTTTGAGCCCATATGTGTTTCTGCATGTGAGATGGGTTTCCTGAATACAGCATACTGATGGGACTTGACTCTATCCAATTTGCCAGTCTGTGCCTTTGAATTGGAGAATTTAGCCCTTTTACATTTAAGGTTAATATAGTTATGTGTGAATTTGCTCTTGTCATTATGATGTTAGCTGGTTATTTTGTGCATTAGTTGATGCAGTTTCGTCCTATCCTCAATGGTCTTTACAATTTGGCATGTTTTTTCAGTGGCTGGTACCAGTTGTTCCTTTCCATGTTTAGTGCCTCCTTGAGGAGCTCTTTTAGGCAGGGCTGGTGGTGACAAAATATCTCAGCATTTGTTTGTCTGTAAAGGATTTTATTTCTCCTTTACTTATGAAGCTTAGCTTGGCTGGATATGAAATTCTGGGTTGAAAATTCTTTTATTTAAGAGTGTTGAATATTGGCCACCACTCTCTTCTGGCTTGTAGAGTTTCTGCTGAGAGATCAGCTGTTAATCTGATGGGCTTCCCTTTGTGGGTAACCCAACCTTTCTCTCTGGCTGACCTTAACATTTTTTCTTTCATTTCCACTTTGGTGAATACGACAATTATGTGCCTTTGAGTTGTTCTTCTTGAGGAGTATGTCTGTGGCGTTCTCTGTATTTTCTGAATTTGAATGTTGGCCTGCCTTGCTAGATAGGGGAAGTTCTCCTGGATAATATCCTGCAGAGTATTTTCCAATTTAGTTCCATTCTCCCCATCACTTTCAGGTACACCAGTCAGATGTAGATTTGGTCTTTTCACATAGTCCCACATTTCTTGGAGGCTTTTTTTCATTTCTTTTCATTCTTTTTTTTTTCTAAGCTTCTCTTCTCGCTTCATTTCACTCATTTGATCTTCCATCACTGATACCCTTTCTTCTAGTTGATTGAATAAGCTACTGAGGCTAGTGCATTCTTCTCGTAGTTCTCATGCATGGTTTTCAGCTCCATCAGGTCCTTTAAGGACTTCTCTGCTTTGGTTATTCTAGTTAGCCATTCATCTAATTTTTTTCTCAGCACTTTTGATTTCTTTGCCATGGGTCTGAACTTCCTCCTTTAGCTTAGATCATCTGAAGCCCTCTTCTCTCAACTCGTCAAAGTCATTCTCTGTCCAGCTTTGTCCCATTGCTGGTGAGGAGCTGTGTTCCTTTGGAGGAGGAGAGGCACTCTGATTTTTAGAGTTTCCAATTTTTCTGCTCTGTTTTTTCCCCATCTCTGTAGTTTTATTTACCTTTGGTCTTTGATGATGGTGATGTACTGATGGGGTTTTGGTATCGATGTCCTTTCTGTTTGTTATTTTTCCTTCTAACAGTCAGGACCCTCAGCTGCAGGTATGTTGGAGTTTGTTGGAGGTCCAATCCAGACCCTGTTTGCCTGGGTATCAGCAGCGGAGGCTGCAGAACAGTGGATATTGGTGAACAGCAAATGTTGCTGCCTGATCATTCCTCTGGAAGTTTTGTCTCAGAGGAGTACCTGGCCTTGCGAGGTGTCAGTCTGCACCTACTGGGGGGTGCCTCCCAGTTAGGCTACCCAAGGTTCAGGGAGCCACTTGAGGAGGCTGTCTGTCCTTTCTCAGATTTCACGCTGTGTGCTGGGAGAACCGCTACTCTCTTCAAAGCTGTCAGACCGGGACATTTAAGTCTGCAGAGGATTCTGCTGCTTTTTGTTTGGCAATGCCCTGCCCCTAGAGGTGGAGTCTACGGAGGCAGGCAGGCCTCCTTGATCTGCGGTGGGCTCCCCCCAATTCAAGCTTCCTGGCCGCTTTGTTTACCTACTCAAGCCTCACAATGGTAGGCGCCCCTCCTCCAGCCTTGCTGCCGCCTTGCAGTTTGATCTCAGACTGCTGTGCTAGCCATGAGTGAGTCTCCAAGGGTGTAGGACCCTCCGAGCCAGGTGCAGGATATAATCTCCTGGTGTATTGTTTGGTAAGACCATTGGAAAAGCACAGTATTAGGGTGGGAGTGACACAATTTTCCAGGTGCCGTCTGTCACCCCTTTCTTTGACTAGGAAAGGGAATTTCCTGACCCTTTGCACTTCCTGGGTGAGGTAATGCCTTGCCCTGCTGCGGCTTATACTCACTGCACTGCATCCACTGTCCTGCACCCACTTTATGACACTCCCCAGTGAGATGAACCCGGTACGTCACTTGGAAATGCAGAAATCACCTGTCTTCTGCGTCACTCACGCTGGGAGCTGTAGACTGGAGCTGTTCCTATTCAGCCATCTTGGCTCCACCCCCTCCATCTACTTTCAAATAAGTTGCTGTGCTATTAATAAAGACCATGAACTGGCAGGAATTGAGTTTTCTATGATCAAATAGTCATTCAAGAAGAATGGTGCCACTTGTTTGTTTGGTTTGTTCGTTAATTTGTGATTTTGTTGTTGCTGTGATTAAGTCTTGCTTTGTTGTCCAGGCCGGGGTGCAATGGCATGATCTTGATTCATTGCAAAGTTTGCCTCCTGGGCTCAAGTGACTCTCCTGCCTCAGTCTCTGGAGTAGCTGAGACTACAGGCCCCAACACCATGCGTGCTTAATTTTTGTATTTTTAGTAGAGACGTGGTTTCACCATGTTAGCTAGACAGATCTTGAACTCCTGAACTTAGGTGATTTATCCGCCTCTGCTTTCCAAAGCCCTGAGTGTACAGGCATGAGCCACGGTGACAGTCCCAGGTGGTTGATTTTAATGTAACAATCCAAAAACAAATGTCACAGTCAAGATTTTGTAGATAGATTTAAAACTAACATATTCTGCAGTTGGGAATGAAATGTAATAGCACATACCTTCACATTAATTCATTTATACATTTAGAGATGTTATAAAAATGTATAGGCAGTATACACAGTAGTACTCAAGAAGCCAAGGAAAGATGTGTGCAGTGCTAAGTGTTGCATATAGGCTTCTGCCAGTGGCTAGGAATAGTGGTCCTGCTGATTATTTCCTTTCCCTCATAGAGTAAATCATTGATATTCATCCTTGCAAAAAGCTGTAAGGCAGTTTTTAGGAGAGTTGTCAAAGAAAAGCCAAGATTACATTAACATTCATACTCAGCCTTTTAGATGTGTCAAAGGTCTCTATTTAAATAAGTAAAATTTGACCAGAACATGAATACACACTCACATCAATGTAGGTACTTTGGTCACAGCAGTTGCTTTATTTGTACTATATATTGGAATTCTCAGTAATGCTTGTTTTGTGGGTGAACGGAAAGTGGAGGAAGTCACAGAACTTTTATAAAATGTTTGGAATTGTCCTGGGCATGGTGAATCATGCCTGTAATCTCAGCATTTTTGGAGTCCGAGGTGATACACCAGAGGAGGCTGGGAATGGTCTCCTTGTTCCTATAATAAGATCTTACTGTAAAATAGGTAATGTCCATTGAAAATCAAGTTATACAACCTGTTCTAATGGTGAGCACTTGAACAATTTTGTTCCATTCTGAATTAACTTTAAGCAAGTAATTCTAAGTTTTGTCTTTTTACCTTGTGTGAAATAACTACCTTCATTTTTACACCATTTATTTGATTTTTAAAATAAAGATGTTTGTTCAAGGTTGTGGTAGTTTAATATTCATATTTAATGTGCTGCCCATCACATCTGTTTATGTTCTATTTCCCCTATTGGTAGTGTTCAAACTAATATGATGTCTTAACCTGTTATACAGCACTGATATTGAAACAAACTAAATCCCAGATCTATGGGTGCAGAAAAAGGTAAGACTCATATAGAAATCTAGGAGTAATTTCAGCAAGCATGTATTTTTTAATACAGTTGTTCCTGCCTTCAATGAGCATATAATCCAGAGGGATATCATCCATCCAAGAGCAGCAGGGTGAGTGACAGCAGGAAGACATGGCTCAGCTGCTGACAGTGGAACATTGAAAATAGCCTTTTCTCCATGCTAATGAAGGTGAAATAGGAATAGCAATCCATGTCCTGGGTATTTTGTAGTAAAGTTAAGTGCCAAATTTCATATGTGACAAATTCTTTGAAGGAGCTGCAAGGAAAGTGGAGCATTAAATGTGACCTCCAATGTGGGCTGCAGAGAAAAGTATTGCAGTCATGAAGGTGTGAAGAAGAGCACTGGGTCACATGGGTAGAACTGTCAGCTGATAGATAGGAGCTGATCATGGGGAAAGATAAGCTGGCAAAGCTTGGATCTGGTAGGTGATGTCCCTTTAAGGCTCTTTAACATAAGAGCAATGAAATGAAATCAGTCTTAAAATCAGTCCCCTGTTAGAATATGTATGTTACCACTAAATTGGTTATCTGCTTTAGTGCTCCAAGAGTGATCCAGAAGAAATGCGGATATGGAGTTTCATCCTCTTGTTATACCTGGAAACTTCCAGAATACATCCTTTTCCATGGACACAGATATTCTCAATCTCTCTTTTGACCATGCTGTACTTGTGATCTTTATCTTTTCAGTCACTTCAACACTTCCTAGTTGTCAGTCCAGAGTTCCAGAAAGCACTGACTGTCCAGACACCACCTTTCACTGGGTACCACACTGGTGCGTTTCTCTACTTACCACTTTGCTACTCTACCTGACACGTTTATTGTGAGAAAACTTATATGGTGGTGTCATGATACAAAAGTGAAAATTTAGGTTTTTCCAGAAACGTAAATAGTTTTCTTCTAAGATAGGAAGCAGTAGGAATGTTTTCTCTTCAACTTGGAAACTTTCCCAAAGAATGAAAATTAACAAAGTATTTATTTAATTGGAATGGAATTATAATTTTATATCCTCTACTCAGCACATTGTAATTGTTACATAAGTTATTAAATGCACATTTGTCTATTCTCCAAGTTCGGTAGTTAGCCTTTTCTATAAACTGAACTCTCTCTATGGAAAAGCTTTCTTTTTTTTTTTTTTTTGAGACGGAGTCTCGCTCTGTCACCCAGGCTGGAGTGCAGTGGCGGGATCTCGGCTCACTGCAAGCTCCGCCTCCCGGGTTCACGCCATTCTCCTGCCTCAGCCTCCCAAGTAGCTGGGACTACAGGCGCCCGCCACTACGCCCGGCTAATTTTTTTGTATTTTTAGTAGAGACGGGGTTTCACCGTTTTAGCCGAGATGGTCTCGATCTCCTGACCTCGTGATCCGCCCGCCTCGGCCTCCCAAAGTGCTGGGATTACAGGCGTGAGCCACCGCGCCCGGCCTATGGAAAAGCTTTCTATTCATAGCTTGAATCTAGCTGTATATATGACAGACTGTATGGAGCAACTTCTGTACCACTGGGAACCACCCTTCCTTCAAACTATGAAGTATCGTCTATGGTTCTTCTGTCCAGGGTGGCTCTGCAGCTGCTTCTCACTGCTCCTGCTGCCACACTCACCACCTGCTTTGTTCTCCTAGCATTTTCTATTGCATTTTTTATAAAATCTTTCCCAATGGCTACATTGGGTGGGGCCAGGAAGAGAAATGTTTTGATGTAATTTTTCAGAACTCCACCCCCTATATGACAGCCACCTCCCCTCACCCAGCATGTCCTTTGATATCCCCATCACTCCCCAGTTGCCGGTCTCATCCACATTCAGTCCAAGCTTCAGTTAACTTCTGTATAATCAGATAGTCACCAGCTGCATGGAAAATTAACATCCATAAGAGGACACAATTTGCTTTATCAAGTCTGATCTTTGCAGCAAATATTTTTTTTAAACAAACACAAAATTCCTTGAGAGAGAATCACTAAATGATGTTCAGTAATAGAGGAGACACTGAGCAAATACATGGGCTAATAAAGACATCTTTATTTACCCTCTGACAAAGTACAATCCTTCTTAGTATTTCCTCTAAGAGTGATAAAGTTAGCTTGTGTCTTGTGTTCAAAAGCAATGGCTTAACTTCAACTAGGAGACTTTCCACAAGAGTGAAGAAAGTAACACAAATATTAGCTATCCCATTAGTGGAATTGTAATTTTGTATCCTCTGAACACATATTATATTTCTTAAATCAGTTATCAAATGCAGATTTGTCTTTTCTCCAAGTTCAGTAGTTGGTCTTTATCTGAAAACTGAACGTTGTATATGGAAATGCTTTTTATTCATGGACAGCTTGAATTTAGCTGGATGTGTGACAGAGTGTATGAGGCAACTCTTGTGCCACTGTTGGCCATCCCTCCTCCTGGGGCTGTGAAACATGACCTATGGTGGTATAAGTTTATTAATGACACACAAATGAAGAGTAATTACTAGTAAGAATAATTCTAATACTATGTGGAATGGAAATAAAAAAGGTTAAGTCATTTTGAAAAGGATAAATAAGTAAATAAGAATGCATTGGAAATATGTTAGATTCTAATCTTTCATATCCAACATTATTGTCTTAGGAAATCATTTTCTTTCACCAAGAATACAATGTTAATTGCACAAAAATCATGTACATAGAAAAATTAGTTTCCCATTTTTCCAGGAAAAAATTTCAAGTATAAATTCTAGAATAGTCAAGTATCTTATCTTAATTATAATTAAAGTCTTGGTCCTCTCATTTATTAGCTCTCTAATTTGCATGTGTAAATCAAAGAGACTTTTTAGACAACCATTACAATTTATAAATGTAAGGTTTCATTATTGAGAAAATATATTCCTCCATGAGTGGATATGTCCCATCTCCCACCAACTAATGACACAGGGCTATACATTTGTTGAATCTTATTAGTAAGTAATACACTGCTACAAACACTAATTGTCTTCTCCATGTCCATGTTGATTTTGTGTATATGTGTGAATTGGTTAGCATGCATCTGCCTTATCTCTAACATTCAATAACAAGATGTGCCAGGCTTGGGCTTTTGGTGAAGGTTGACCATGCCTGTGTTCATCAAGTGATCTGACATATCCACAGTCACAAGAATTTTTTGAACCCCATCCTCAAAGGCTGCTGCCACATTTGTGGCATCTTTTGCACTTGTTGCAAAGTAAGGGTAGTCACTGTCCTTCCTGCATAATGCAGCTGTTCTTCTATAAACACCTGCCTTTCGTTTATGCCAGTCCTGGAATGCAGAACTACAAAAGGAAATCGCTCAGGTTCTTTCCAATTACTTAAGTTCTGGAAGCTTCCTAAATCATTGATTCTAAAAATAAGCAGAGAACTGTCAGAACCTCTGTAAAATGGTGTCCTCAGGCTTCAGAATCTCTCCTGACCTGCCATGTCACAAATCTGTATGGTAACAAAATGTCCACCCCTTTCAAATCTTATTTTAAAATTCCACATCTATTGCATGGAACAGCTGAGTGCCAAACTTAATAGTTACTTATCTGTTCCTAAGTGAACTCTTCCCAACCCCACCATCTCCAAAGAGAATTACTTTAAAAAGTGATGAATTTCCTGCCACTGTTAATTGCAAGAGCTTCAAGAACCCTTGAAAATAAAAAGGCACCATAACATTCCTTTTTGCCTACCTATTCATCTATATGAGTGTATGAATATCAGCTTTATTTATTTTTCTTTTTTTTTTTTTTTGAGATGGAGTCTCACTCTGTTACCCAGGCTGGAGTGCAGTGGCATTATCTGGCTCACTGCAAGCTCTGCCTCCCAGGTTCACACTATTCTCCTGCCTCAGCCTTCTGATTAGCTGGGACAACAGGAACCTGCCACCACAACTGGCTAATTTTTTTGTATTTTTATCAGAGACGGGGTTTCACAGTGTTAGCCAGGATGGTCTTGATTTCCTGACCTCGTGATCCACCCGCCTCAGCCTCCCAAAGTGCTGGGATTACAGGCGTGAGTCACCATGCCTGGCCGAATATCAGCATTTAACTGAAGTAACACACATAAACCTACAGAATAACTAAAAATAAGACTTGTTGTTTACTGAGCATACAGCCATGTGTGGGCTACTATACTACCATGATTCTCTGAAACAACTAAAAAGGGCTCACTCTTCCCCTTTATCAGGTCACAATTGACTGTGAAGCTGGTACTTTAGCTGAAATGTGACATCAAAGCTCTTGTTATGAACAGTGAATCTATGATAAGCCCCTCTCTGCTCATAGTAAGCTCCACTACTGTTGGTTAGAGATGGATAAGAGAGCAAAGATTGTATGTTTCTGATACAGCAAGATTTATACCTTAGGGAGTATGTTTATGACAAAGGTAATGGAGGTTAGTGTTGAGAGAGCAAGAAACTTTATAGTTATATCTGAGCCAAAAAGAAGAGCCATGTTTAAGCTAGGCACGTTGGTTCATGCCTGTAATCCCAGCACTTTGGGAGGCCAAGGTGGGCAGATCATGAGATCAGGAGCTTGAGACCAACATGAAAAACAGGCTGAAACCCTGTTCTACTAAAAATACAAAAATTAGCCAGGGGTGGTGGTGTGTGCCTGTAATATCAGCTACGCAGGAGGCTGAGGCAGGAGAATCCCTTGAATCCGAGAGGAGGAGGTTGCAGTGAGCTGAGATTGCACACATGCACCCCAGCTTGGATGACAGGGCAAGCAAGACTCCATCTCAAACAAACAAACAAGCAAACCAAGTAGGTTTCGTCTTTTCACATAGGCCTGTATTTCTTGGACATGTTGTTTGTTCCTTTTCATTCCTTTTCTCTGACATTTTCTTTATGCTTTATTTCAAAAAGTTGATCTTCAGTCTTTGATATCTTTCTTCCACTTGATCAATTTGGCAAGTGATAATTGTGTATCTTTCCGCAGTCTTTTTGCTGTGTTTTTGATTTATGTTTTTCTCTAAACTGGTTATTCCAGTTATCAATTTCCCTGACCTTTTTTTGAGGTTCTTAGCTTCCTGGCATTGGGTTAGAACATTCTCCTCTTCTCAGAAGAGTTTTTATTACCCACATTCTGAAGCCTACTTCTGTCTATTCCTAAAACACATTTTCTATTCAGTTTTGTTTTCTTGCTGATGAGGAGTTGTGATCCTTTGGAGGAGAAGAGACTTTCTTGTTTTTGGAATTTTCAGCCATTTTGTGCTTTTTTTTTACATCTTCGTGCATTTATGTACCTTTGTTCTTTGATGTTGGTTACTTTTGAATAGTTTTTTATGTGTGCGTGTGTGGAAATCCTTTTAGTAGATGTTGATACTGTGCCTTTCTGTTATGAGTTTTCCTTCTAACAGTCAGGCTTCTCTGCTGCAGGTGTGCTGGACTTTGCTGGAGGTCCACTTCTGACCATTTTTGCCTGTGTTTCACTATCAGAGGGTGCAGAAAAGCAAAGATTGCTGCCTATTCCTTCCTCTGAAAGTTTCCTCCCACAGGGGCACCTGCCAGGTGCCAGCCAGAGCACTCCTGTATGAAGTGTCTGTGGATCCCTGCAGGGAGGAGTCTCCCAGTCAAGAGGCATGGGCTTCATGGACCCACTTGAGGAAGTAAGTAGTCTGTTGGAAATCTGCACCTCTCTTCAGAGCCAGCAGGTAGGAAGGTTTAAGTCTGCTGAAGCTGTGCCTACAGCCACCCTATCCCCCAGGTGCTCTGTTTCAGGGAGATGGGAGTTGTATCTACAAACCCCTTACTGGGGCTGCTGCCATTCATTCAGAGATGCCCTGACCAGAGAGGAGGAATCTAGGGAGGCAATCTGGCTACAGTAGCTTTGCTGAGGTGCAGTGACTTCCCAGTGGCTTTGTTTACACTCTGAAGGGAAAACCACCTACTCAAGCCTCAGTACTATTTGACGTCCCTGTCGCCACCAATCTCAAGCACTTCAGGTTGACTTAAGACTACTGTGCTGGCAGCAAGAATTTCAAGGCAGTAGATTTTAGCTTGCTGGGCTCCATGAGGAAGGCATCCGCTGTGCTAGACCTCTTGGCTCCCTGGATTCACCTCCCTTTCAAGGGAGTGAATGGTTCTGTCTTCCTGGCATTACAGGTGTCAAGGGGGTATGAAAAAAAAATAATTTTTCAAGCTAGCTCTGTGTCTGGCCAAACCAGTTTTATACAGCTTGCATGAAAATTTATGTTTAGCACCTTCAATTATGTATTATAATGTAACTTTTAGCAATTTTTAAATTTAATGTAAAACCTGTTATTTCTTGTTTTTTTTGTTTTTCCTGTAAATGGCAGTAACATTAAACCTTTTCCATGGGTACAAGTGGATGATATATTCTTTTCCATGGGTACAAGTGAATGATATATTTGTTCATTCACATATTTAACTATTAGAATTTCTGGGAAGCTGGATTTGCTATAAAGCTACTTTGAAAAAGATCTGTTTTCTTCTAGATGTCCCCAGACAATAGACAGAAACCCTGAATCCTCTTTCTGAAAGAGGACAGTTATGCTGAGAAAGCACTGTGTGTCCCCAAGATTTCCTCTAGCTTAGTCCCAATGGTCTTTCAAGGAAATGGACAGCAGGCCAGACTTTCTCCAGTACAAGGAGAAAGCCAGGAAGAGGTAGATCTTACCAGATGGCTGAATTAGTGTTGTTTGTTGGATGTTCCAGTTGGAATTGGCAAATGGTCTCCCAGACTGGAGCCACATGAGGAAGAGAGAGTAAGATAATGAGAGAGATGGAGAGAGAGAGAGAAGAGGAAAGAGGGAGCCAGTGTTAGGAAGTGAAATAACTATTGTTGGTGCTCAAAGGTGGATTCCTGAGACTTGAGGGTTTTAGAGCCCTGAACTGAGCCTTGCAGTTCCCTTCAGGTCAGTTGTCCTTCTCACACAAATCTCTTTAAGAGTAAAATGAGAGAAAAGATGGGGCATGTGGCCAGAGACTCTCAGGATCCACGAGTTAACTTAGGGTAAACTGCCATTGCCCACAGCTTACTGGGATGCAAGGGAGCCTCTGCCCCCAACACCGGTCCCGGATTTCAGCACCCAATGTAAGAAGTAAAGAAAGAGGAGAGAAACCTGAATGGTGACTTGACAGTCAACACAGACAGGTTTATTTTGAATCAGTCTGAGAGGGGTGGCTAGCCAGGTTAAGTCAGAGCCACACACTAACGGATTAAGAATTTTTCACAATTCAGTCTCGGAGAGTTTATCAGAGGCTTGCACTGCCTCTGTGTCTCTTTGCTGTGGTTATCTGAGAGAGAGAGTTCCTTTTCTGTTTTTGTACATCTTTCTGGAGTTGCAGGCATATCCCCCATGTCTGCTTCTAGCTTCCTTATCTTAGTGCACCTGAAGGGAAAGGAATGTGCTGGTTATTTGTAGTTAGGAGAGAAGTGATTTCCTTGAAATGCATGAGGCTAAAAAGAGAGCTGGATGTTAAAGTGATGGTGTTGGTTCAGGATGAAGGTGCTCCTGCTCTATCACTTCTAGTCAGGTAATTGTACAGCTATTATTTTTGTTTTGCTTTTTGGAGTAATTAAATACTTACAAGTAAATTCTGTTGTCTGCAAATTCAAATCAGCAAACTTATATGACTCTAATTGATGTATTTTCCATACACAAATGCATGCTTACAATACATTACAACACCTGTGAGTTCTAAAAATTATTTTATGCTAATGAATACTGATTTCTGCACTCTCTGAAAAACAAGATTAAGTGATTTTGTGTATTGAATATACACAGTTACTTAGGAAATCCCTGAGGTTTATATTTTTTAAAATGTCCTTTTCTAATGGTTAAATTGAAATATATTTTAGTAAAAAAAACCTGTAACATAAAATTAAAATTAGTGACAATGTAAATAACTGCATGGCTTAAATTATTCTTTTGAAGTTGTGGAAGTGTTGTTGTTTTTGTTTTAATTATAACAGCATACAACATCTGCAATAAAATTTACCACAGCTCTTCATTTTTTCTCTCAAAGAGGAATTGTATTTAATAATTTTCTTTGTGAGATGTTTGCTGTTTATGAGAACAGGACTCATTATTCAAATAGAAGTTGTTTTTAAATCTTGATTCTATTACACCAATGAATAATTGCTTTTCAGAGAAATGTAACAACTTTAGCAAGAGTGGTCAGTTACTAAGAGCAGTATTTGATCTCCTGAGAAGAAAAGATTCAGAGCATAGGGTTTATATTTACAGAAATATATTTGTTTGTAATGTATGCAAGCTCAGGTAAGATATTTTCATAATTTTATATCAATGATGTTTTTATTTTTATATATTAAATGAGAAGCACATTTTAATCAAGTTATAACATGTAAAGTGTCCTAATGTACAAGCAATATTCCACGTACATATACACATATACACATCAAAATGCCTTGCAAATCTGTGTAACTTTAATGTATTTCATGTATTCTCAGGTAATTTATATTTATGCACTTGTTTCATTTTTCTGGTAACCTTTAAGATTAGATATTGTGCCTGATTGATGACCTCTTGATGTTATCTTTTTCTTTTGTATTTTTTTTTTTTTGAGATGGAGTCTAACTCTCTGGCCAGGCTGGAGTGCAGGGGCATGATCTCATTTCACTGCAACCTGCCTGACCAATATACATATATATATACATGTATATATATACACATTTATATATATGTATATATATACACATTTATATATATGTATATATATACACATTTATATATGTGTGTATACACACACACACACACACACACATATATATATATGTATAACTTTTTTCATACTTTGGTACAGACAGGGATTCACCATGTTAACCAAGATGGTCTCGATCTCCTGACCTTGTGATCCGCACACCTCGCCCTCCCAAAGTACTGTGATTACAGACTTGGGTCACTGTGCCGAGCCGATGTTATCTCTTAATGTTGCTTTTTGAAAAGTACTGGCTTCCAGGTCATATCCACACTATCTAAATCAGAATTTCTAGAACCTTGAAAAGGAATCCATATCCTTAAGGGATCCCAAGTGGTTGTTTTGCTTGTCAGGTTTAAAAATGACTTCTATGTGAAACTTACCATATATGTATGTTTTTGTTAAAATAAAGTAAAAGAAATTTAGTGATAATGTAAATAAATAATTCACTTAAATTTTTTGTTGATGTTAGCATAAATTAAGAAATGCGATATTCAGTAAAGCTCTCTTAGAGAAGCCTGATTTTTGTCACATCAACCTATTGCACAGTAGTACTAAAGGCATGGATAGATTGTCAGAAATGTACAACAAAAATATTTGTAGTGTTTTCAGTGTTATTTTATGTCATTTTTATGAGTGAAAAGAAGGGGAAATTTATTACAGATGCTGTTGTCCAATTTGAATATCAGCAATTCAGGTGTTAGTGCAACTTTTCAAAAATTACTAATTTATGGATATAGCTAGAATTTAATTACTAGTTAATATCTCCCTGATATTGATAAATATTAGGTCACATTTATATGATGACTCAGACAATTAGCAGATCATTTTAAGTAACTTGTTAGAATCACAAATATTTTACTATCTAAAACTAAGTTCTATGGTCACACATTCCTGTAATGAAAGTGTATTTTTATTATTAATATATACCTCCAGGAGGAAATAAATTTTACCCTTTCCTCTTCCTGCTCTGACCATCTCTGTGCTTTCTTTTTCTCAGGCTAGTCTGACTACATCTGAGATTCTGGGATACTTCTAGTAGAGTAGAAGCATACATTATAGAAACACAAATACAATATTTATTTTAAATTTAAAATTATGAAACTTAAGAACTCACAAAATTTTTGTTTTGCTCAATTTAACTTGAGATTTTAGTTTCTCATACACAACACATGGTTGGTTTATGATATAACGTAAGTTTAAATTTAATTGCCAAGGTTCAATATACATTTATACATCTTAAGGCATTTAGGTAGTATGTTTTAGGTTTTAGGAATTTTTGGATTTGAGAAAACTGAGTCATCACATTTGCATCACATTGTGTATCATTCCCTGTAAGGCTCCCAAAAGTACCCAAGAATTAAACATACTAATGCTTCTATAAAAGTAATGGATATTCCCTTTAAGGGTGAAGGGTACATGAATGAAGGCTTAAGTAGCTTCCCTCAATTAAGTCTTTTTTGCATTGGAAATTGAGTTACATATGAATCTTAGTTTTAAAAGCCTTGCTTAATTGAGCTTTTTGCATTTCAGATAAAGTATTTTGAATCTGTCTTAATTATGATTTTGAAAATACAGTACTGAATTAACAGCCCAGGTGGGCTACAAAGCACCATAATAAACAAGAGAAATACAAAGTGCTCTCCTGCCTACTATAGGGAGTATGTGACAGATTTGAAGAGTAAAAAGCATCTTGCAGTAGAAAAGGGTTACTTTGTTAAGCTTTTTTTTTAAGTAGCTAATGGGTACAGACTTAGTATTGACATAACTTGGCTTTTTAGCAATCATGTGAGATATTCAGTGTAACATGATAAACCACTAGAGGATCACAAAAGGCATATATTAGTAGCATGTCATTAGCTATAAAATAGAAAGTTCCACAATAGACCACAGTAAGGAAGTATTCAAAATTATCTGTAGAAAAAGATTGTGGGTGCTCCATAATAGAAAAACTAGCAATGTAGAACATATGTGTAGACAAATTTATGAGCTCTTTATGAGTTAGGATAGCCAGGTGTTCGTAATTGGAGATTTGAGGAAGTGGAGCAGGAAAGAGATGTTAACACCTATGTCCTGGGTGTGATTTGATAAGCTGTGGGAATAGTAATGCAATTTACTGATAGAAAAAATAGAACCTCTTTGAGTGGATTGCATTTTAGAAACATATGGGACACCAAATAAAAAATTGTAATGGGGAGTTGGATACATATGTCCACAATTTGGAATCATCTAAAAGGATACGTGTGTTACCACAGATGTAATAATGAAAAACTGTCACAGAAAGGTATGTCCTAGAATGGAATTTTTTTTAATTTAGTGTTATCATGGTAGATAATATTAACTTATCCAAAAAGCAATCCATAGCCTCTAAGTAGTTAGTTTAATTAGTATGTCAGAGAAGACTTTTATCATTATTATTATTATTATTATTATTATTACTATGATGATGTGTGTGTGTGAGAAGGAGTCTCACTCTCTCACTCAGGCTGGAGTGCAGGAGCAGAATCTCAGCTCACTGAAACCTCCACCTCCTGGGTTCAAGCAATTCTCTGCATCAGCCTCCTGAGTAGCTAGGATTACAAGCGCCCACCACCACGCCTAGGTAATTTTTTTATATTTAGAAGAGATGGGGTTTCACAATCTTGGCCAGACTGGTTTTGAGAAAAATGATAATTTTAAAGAACTGTGCTTATTCTAAAAACTGATCTTTAGCATTATTCTAGAACTCTTAGTTGTATCATCTGCAGTAAAAGAAGCCTAAGAATTGCACCAGAATTAGTTGCCCAACTCTACCAGGAGATTCAAAGTTTTATTGTTATAGGATTCTAGAAACAAATCATACTATATATCTGGAAACTCTGTACACACACCCCCACAAACACACAAAATTTTCACTCAGTAGACATTATAATAAGCACACTGAAAAACTGATAATAAACTGAAGTTATTATAAAGCTGTAGAACACAATGATTAAAGGCAGATGATCACCTTAAATTGTAAACAACTGAAATATTAGATTTTAACAATGAAAATTTTCTAATTCTTCTTTTGTCCACCATCATAGATTTCAAGCAGATTAATTAATGTTGTAAATGACATTAAGAGTTCCTATCAATTGAATTTAATTTATGCCATTTTAAAAATTATTTGTAGTCATATATTGTTTACTATGTAACTTCTTTTATTTTCTCTAAAATAAGGCTAAATCACATCTTAGCCTCATCTCATCGAAGGATGTGATTACCGTAAAGGTATACATGTTGGGTTAACATGGAAAATCAATTACCTGGATTAATATGGGATTCATGTATTAATTTATTATTCTCCTTATTAAGTTTGAAATGGTTTGTGTAATGAACATTTAGTCTATTCAACAGGCAGTATTCAACAGGTATATATCAGCATCTACTGTGTACCAAGCACCGTTCAAGGCAGTAGATAACAATACAGGCAAAGATAATATTAATCCAAATTGCACATGAAAACTTTTGATACTATTGATAATGTGGCAAATGACGTGATTTTCCCTTTATTATAATTTTTAAGAGAATAAGATAGTGAAATGTGTACTATAAGTGTAACAGGAAGCCTATTTGTGTTATTCTTTACATTAAATAATTAGATTACTAAAATTACCTTTTCCAAAGAAATTTATATTATAAATGCTCCTATGGCAAAAAGAAAAAACCTGGCCTCTGACTTGGAATATAATATAATTATATTAAGTAAGATACATGCTAGAGAGAAAAAAACTATTTTATTTTTTTGTCATGGTAATGAGAAAAAAGACAAGCCATTTTTTTGCAACTTTTAAAATTGACTCCTAAGAACAGTAAACAGTAAGCAGTATAACAGTAGACAGTAAACAGTAAACACCAAGCAGTGTAAATATGTTGCATTTTAGCCAGCTCTGAAAGAAAATGACTGATCATTAGCAAATCAGGCAAATTTTATTGTTGCCATTGAAAATTGCTTTACCCATCGTGTGTGTTCTTATATTAACAGAATTGAAATCAATTTTGTACTGCCAATTAATATTGCTGTTTTATAATCACAGGATTCTTGCTTTACCTTCTAAAATGTCCCTGAAAAATGAGTGAACACCAAGTAAGTTTTGTTTTTCTTAAAAAAGGTAGTCATAAAAAACTGCTCATATTTAGTAAAAATAATGAGGTGAGTTGGACATGGTGGTGCATTTCTCTAATCCAAAGTAGTTGGAAGGCTGAGGCAGGAATATTCCTTGAACATTGGAGTGTGAGGCCTCATTGAGCTATGAGCTATAATCTTCTCACTGTAGTCCAGCCTGTGCCACAGAGCATAATCCTAAGTATAGAATAACAAATGGAACTATGAAAAGTAATATAGCATTACTGTGTTTAATTCACTTATAGTAATGCATGGATAGTATATTTAGCAAAACATTTTAAATTGGTAATATGTCAAGAGGTCAGATATTTGAGTCAGATTGCTAGCTAGCCCCTCAACTGGCTAAATCTGTAATAACTGGCAAAGTATTTCTCCTAACTGTAATTTTTTTATTTGTTAAATGGATTTACTAAGGTTACCCGCTTAAGAAACTAACTCTAATATTAATTAGATTACCTCAAACACTTGTTCTGAATGGCACATAATAGGCAATAAAATATTAGCTACTACTATATATAATAAATTCTTTTCATCTGCTTATTTTTAAAGCTCTTAGACCACATAATAAAATTCCAGAAGGCTGGGAAAGGCTGTTAGATACAATAGGGTGCCATAAGAGTCACTATCAAAAATGAGCATATCAGTGCATAAAATGTATGGTAGCTTTATTTAGCAGTTATTCCATTGTTTACCATAGTGTTTTTTCTTACAATTTTGTAGAAGCCTGTGTCAGAATTTGAACTTTTTTAGAAGACAGTAATCATGGATGATTGAAATTAACATTTTAATCTGATACTGGAAATTATTCTAAATTCTATTACATTTATATTTGTATTTTCTTTTGAAAGCTAACGGAAATCTTAAAAAGAAAATGGAAACTTCTCTGCCAGGGGAGATACCATGATCACAAAGGTGGCTTTCTCAGGGAAAGGCTGATTTATTGCACTCCAGATGTGCTGACCCCTGAGATTTCTCCAAATGTGGGAAACTCAGCTGCATAATTTGTGGAAGCGAAGGACTGTGTTTGTGCTTTCATGTGGAAAAAAAATAAAAAAAAAGAAAATTGACTCGTTTAGTGTATATAGAAAGGTGAAAGAAGGCCATATACTGGAAACAATTCAGTATGTCTACAGAAATTGGTCTCCTCCAGTACAAAACAATAAAACAGCAAGTGGTTATTTCTTAGAAAGATCAAATAGTGTTAGGATGACATTTGCAAATGCTTGAGAACTTTGTCTAGATAAGGGGGTGGGGGGAAGCCTCCACAGGGCAGCATATAAATCTGGGAAAAAGACAAGTAATTTTTAAATGTGTAAGCCAATGTTTATGTATTAATCTTGCCCTGAAAATATTTATTTTGTTAAATGATTAACATTGGTTTGTTTGTTCTTAAAAAGTAAGTTTCCTTTTGGAAACAACTTGTGTGAAATGGTCTAAAAATGATGTAGCTAAAATAATTCAGATTTTTCCCCTCTATTATAAATCATTTGCAGGAATTGTAAATATGTTATAGATGTCAGCTTTCTTACATTTCTTAAAAGTTTATTCTAAATGAAGAAAATATAATATAAGGTACAAAGTTACTTTTATAATCAAATTGTCAATCTTGTTAAATATTTAGAATTTCGAGCCAGATGACCAAGATGTCTTAGATGGGCATAAGACCTGTCCAACAGAAGATGCTCCATTATTTCCTCATTCAACAGGCTCTATGTATCAACAGGTAAAATAAAAATAATAATAATAATTTTCTTTTTCAAACTTATTTTGATGCTTTACTTATGTAGTCTTCAATTATTATTTTCTTACATATTTTGTAACATATCAGCTGTGACTGCAAATTAAGAAAAAATTATCTAGGACAGCTTTGACAAGATGATCAGAAGAATAGTTTAAGTGGGGTCATGTTTTATTTTACCCTTGTGATTTTTTTATTTTTTTTTTTTGTAACTAGGTACTACCTTGTCCTAGTTCATAAAAAGTGTGATATTTCAATAAGAGCATAAAGCAATTTATTTACATTTTCTCAAAATCCAGTGAGAGTAAAAATTAACAATTTTAACAGCTGTAATACAAAGTATACTTAAAAAAATACTCACCAAAAATATAAACAAAAACCATTTATAAGCACTTCTCAGTTGAAACAAATATTTTTGTTAAAATATTCTAGGAAGATTAGCCACAACATAAGTAAGGTAGTTTTCTTTTCACTTTCCTTTTTCTTTCTTTTTTTCTTTTCTTTTCTTTCCTTCCTTCCTTCCTTCCTTCCTTCCTTTCTTTCTTTCTTTCTTTCTTTCTTTCTTTCTTTCTTTCTTTCTTTCTTTCCTTTCTTGTTTCATTTCCTTCCTTCCTTCTTTCCTTCCTTCCTTCCCACATTCCTTCCTTCCTTCTTCCTTCCTTTTTTGCTACCTTCCTTTTTTCTTTCCTCCCTTCCTTCCTTGCTTCCTTCCTTCCTTTCTTTTTTTATTTTGATAGAGTTTTGCTCTGTTGTCTGGGCTGAAGTGCTATGTTTGCGATCTTGGCTCACTACAATTTCCACCTTCTGAATTCCAGCTATTCTCCTGCCTTATCCTCCCAAGTAGCTGGGATTAGAATCATGCATCACCACACCTGGCTAATTTTGTATTTTTGGTAGAGAAAGTGTTTCACTGTGTTGGCCAGGGTGGTCTGGATCTCCTGACCTCACAATCCACCCACCTCGGCCTCTCAAAGTGCTGGGATTACAGATTGTTAGCCATTGCACCTGGCCAGGTTAATCATTTAAAGCTTTTCTTGTAACATTTAGCATGACTTCTCATCAAGTTCATGTAGCCAAGAAATGGAATTACCTAAATTACAGCAGGTGCCCAGAGTAACAGCTGTATTGCTCAGAAACCTTATTTTATCACCAGAAAAAAATATAAAACAGGGGAAAAATGTAAAAAAACAAGGATATTTTCATTCTACATTTTCTTTACATTTAATGTTTGATAGTTTAATTTCTTGTTAAGATAAAGAATATGGATATATTTTTAATAGAAATTCTAAAATATTAAAACCAATCTGCACAAGTTTCATATGTCACAATGTGTGGAGCATGGTAGGTTGTATTTTGTGCTTGGGGCACTGTTGTGGTAGAATTTATTAAGTGATGCTTCTAAAATTTGGTTTCATCTAATCCCATGAAGTGCATATCATCAGAATCCACATACTTTGAAGTACCATTGCGCCAAGATTTCTGACTGCTTTGATAGCCAGGCACAATTTTCCTTGAAATCAGTAAGTCTCCTAGTTTATTTCTATATTATTTTAAAGCTTTTGTTGTTAGATGTGGTGTTCACTGAAGATATAAATGCCTTCTGATTTTAAAAAAATTTGTATTTTTTTTTAATTTCCTGTAATATCTCTATGCCCATTGTTGGAAACAATAGGATGTGAAGTGTGTTGCGTAGCTTGAGGAACAGTAATTGGTTTGTTCAAATTGGTTAGAATATACTATGTTTTTAAATCTTTTTATAGTATATGAGCATTAGCATTGACCACTATGAATGCCAAATGCAGTCTACATTAGTCAAGACCTATAAATACACTATCAGGGCTACTGATATTTGTACATTTTAGTCCAACTATGTTATGGCCCTTCCTATTTGGCCTATTGTTATTTGCCATCTACATTTCTCTTCTGGCCTAGACTTAGATTTTGGAATTTCTGTTCCTTAGAGAGTACAAGAGAAATATGTGTAGATTAATGCTATCTCTGCATTACTGCTGCACCTCTATAAGTTTGCCACCTCAAGTAAATACATCATGTTGTCCTGGTTCCAGTCACCTCCCAATCATCCTGGAGAGGATACTTCAAATGGAAATCAACATGTCCTTCTTTAATGTACCTCTTAAATTTTTAATATTATGCAGATGTCAGGATGTCACTCGGCCCATTGAAAGTACAAGTGTCACATACTGGCATCTGCTTGAAAGTCCAGTTTTCTACTGTTCATGTGGCCAGGACATTCATTATTATTTACTACTCATGCATTCAGACAATTGTCTTTGTAAAATAATAGTTTAAAGTTTTAATCCTTCATTTAAAAAAAAAACAGCATGCAATTTCATCCATGTCCCTACAAAGGACATGAAACTCATCATTTTTTATGGCTGCATAGTATTCCATGGTGTATATGTGATCATTCTCAGTAAACTATCGCAAGAACAAAAAACCAAACACCGCATATTCTCACTCATAGGTGGGAATTGAACAATGAGATCACATGGACACAGGAAGGGGAATATCACACTCTGGGGACTGTGGTGGGGTGGGGGGAGGGGGCAGGGATAGCATTAGGAGATATACCTAATGCTAAATGACGAGTTAGTGGGTGCAGCGCACCAGCATGGCACATGTATACATATGTAACTAACCTGCACAATGTGCACATGTACCCCAAAACTTAAAGTATAATAAAAAAAAAAAGAAAAGAAAAAAAAAGAAAATGAAAAAAAAAAAAAAAAAGCAGCCTGCAGTTCAATCATTGAGCTAATTTGCTCATTCCATCTTCAATTGGTCTTTTTATTTCTGGTCTCTGTGAAAGCCTGCCAACAGGATATTGTTCATCCACCTTGAAACTGTCATTTGTCAACCAAGCAGGTTGTTGTAGTCAATAGGGAGCTCTTCAAAGGGCATTGCCCATGTAAGAGTGGGATCCAGTAATTCCTGTGGTTGTTCCAAATTTGATGCTAGAAAATACCAGACTATTTGCCCTTGAACAGGATAAGCACCTCCTTGCACTTCCCTGTTAACATTGTACTCTATAAAGCCATCTTTTATGTTATTTTGGAAGTCTGAGCACTTCCTCATTAAACTGTTTCCTTAATATGCCCAACACCTTATGGGTGTTCCAAATTCTATAATTATTTTACGGTCTTCTGTCAAAGAAGCAGTCTCAATACCAAGGCAAGACAAGCTAGTAATTATCTTTCCAATGGCACATATTGTTTCATGGCATCCAGGAGTGCCCTGGACCACAATTTCCAGCTAATGCTGAAGAGGGGCATGTGTGGGTTTTCTGCCATGGCCTCACTGTGCCCAGGAACATGTTGCAAGTACTTCTAAAATCAGAATTTGGATCACAAAGACCCAATGTGTAGAGAGAAAGAGCATTTTACCATTCAGAAATGGCCAGCTTTAGTGAAATTTCTTATTTAAATAGACCACCATTTATTGTTTTTAAATGGATGCATTATAATTTTACATATTTACAAAGTAGAACTATTATTTGTATACACGCACACAACGACAGATGACCAAATCTTTAAATGTCATATTAGTAATTGGTATATTAGTAATTTCAGACATATATGACATATTTGTTTAAAGAACATTCCGAATCTAAACGTCTAGTTGTTTTGAAATCTACAAGAAATTATTCATACCTATAATATCCCTCCCACACAATCAAACTTTAAAACCTATTCCTTCTAATTGTGTTTTTTATCCATTAACTGACTCACTTATTTGCTTGCTCAATGTCTTTCGCAGCCTATAATAAACTGTCATTCTATTCTCTGCCTTCATGAGATCAACTTTGTTATTTCTCAAATATGAATAAAAACATGCAATCCTTGTCCCTTATATTTCCTGGCTAATTTCACTTAATATAATGTCCCTTATAGGAAGCCTTTTTCTGAGTAATGTTCAGTTAATGTATTGAGGTTTTTATAAAACTGAAATAATCACTCACTTAAAATTTAACTTGTTACCAAAATTCTTTGGGTATATAGGACTGTAGTTTGAAAATAGCTAAATGAACAAAGATGTCTTGAAGGTGCCTTAGGACACTAATATTGTACTCTTTTCTACCTCCTGTCTTACTTAACTCTGATTTGTCTTCAAATTAATAAAAATATTCTAGTAAATTATCTTGGGGATCAACATTAAACGCCAAAAGAAATCAGTAATGCACTAATTTAACTTTACAAATATAAGGAAAGAAGTTGCAACCAATACCAAAAGTTACCGAATAAAATGATATATTTTTATACTCCTAATTTTCAAAGTACTTAATTTATTTTTTAATTTTTACTATTATTGCTTATTTCAAACATGGGCTATTATAATTGAGTTCACAGAAAAGTTATTATAAAAGAGTAATAAAATAATAACATACACTGGAAGTAATATAGTAAAGTTTGAACAAGTAGGCAGGAGTAAAGACAAGTGAGTCATCTGCCATGAGTAACTTTTGGGGAATAAGTAACTTTTTGGGGAATAAGTTACTGAGTCTTTCTAGGATTCAGTATCTTCTTTTGAGAATAATGTGTTTTCCAAATTAGATAAGATTATTTACATGGTGAAATCAGAATTATTAACACTCAGTAAGTATATCTATTAACCATAGTTGTGGAAGGAAAGGGAGCATAGACAGAAGCTCCAATAGTCAAAACATGATTGTAGCCATAAAGCAAAATACAGTTGGTTTACTAGTATGTAAGACATTTCTGTGTTTTTCATTTTGTCTTAGGTTTGTGACAAAGAAGTAAATAATATCCAATTCCTGCCCTGGAGAAGCTGACTGCATAGAAAAAGGAACAAGGCAGATATACATGCCAGAGTACAGTGCTGAGAAAACATAAAGCACAACCAACCAAGTACAAAGGTAAGACATCAAATCTGAAATTTTATATTCTGTCTGTTTCATTTGTTTCTTGCTGGTATGGTTAACCATCTTTATATGTGTTAAATTCAACACCCTAGGGGTCACACATGCTATAGTACCAGAACTTACATTCCAATTTTTCTTCCAATAGTGGCTGTTAACCAAGTATTGGTGAATATCATATATGAAGACTCTACTAAAAGTAAAGCTACCCCGACTGTGATGCTTGGATTGTATAATTTACCGGATCTAGCAAAGAGAAAGACAGTGTGTGTTTTGTAATCTCTATAAATGATAAGTATGGAGACACTAGTAGCTGAAAGACAAATTATTTCTGCCCACTGAAAGGAAAAAAATGAAGAAATTGTAGGAAAACCATTTACTACAGTTAAAATATACTGATCTTAAAATTTAGTTTCTATCAGTGTCTATAAAGAAAAGTAAAAATATAATAACAATAATAAAGAGTTTGAGTATAAACAGCAAAATTCAGGTATTCCATATTCACTTATTTGGAGGTATGCCCTAAATAGGTGATCTATCAGTATAACTTAACTTTTTCACTGCTTTATTTTCAAATGAATACTTTTCATAGGCAGTTTGATGATAATTCTTAACTAATATTTTTTACAAGTTCACATAGCAAATTTGAAGAATAAATTTTTTTCTTTAGCAGGAAAACCTCGCATTTGAGAAAAATATTAGAGAATTTAAATAGAAGCACATCTTATGATACACAGACAATATAAATATTCAGTCATAGTATCTCAGAGATTTTAGCCATATTATGAAAAGTAATTCCCACATAATTCTTTTAAAGTAAAATAATTTCAGAGATAAAAACAGTAGCTGCTATCAGAATCTTCAAGGTAATAGTAATTAATAATTAGAATTTACCTCACTGTTCTGCTTCTCATCTTCATAAAATCATTGTCTGTATTTTTACCTATGCATTCAATTGCAAGAATACTGTCTCCATTGGAATATATATACACACACAAACACACACACACACACATATATATATGGCTGCTGGATCACAGAATTCATGTGATAAAAAGTACCAACATTTTGAAGTCCCACGAGATTTTCTGGTGGGTGAGATATAAGAGGGAGCAGATATTCCCATTCAAAAAGTGCTTCACAACCTGAGATAAGAAGAAAAAATAATGCTTGTACTATGAAAATAATAATTCTGCCTACTCTTATTTCCATCAACTGACAATATTAACAACAACTCATCAACAAAGCATCAACACAGTCATTTTGAAAGAACACTTTGAATTTTCATATTAACAACAAATAGAGTGACCATATAGATTTTTAACTACAGACCCCTTAGTTCTGTATTTTAATGATATTACATCTATTTGTTAAAAAAAGTGTTTGTTTAAAAAAAATCTCTTTAGAATATATATATAAACTGTGCCAATTCAGTTGTTAAATAAATTAACAAAATGAGTTTTTAAAAAGGAAATGCTTCTCTCTACATAGATCCCACAAGACAAAGATCGGACCTTTTAAGGAGTGAGTTTAGCTAGAAACTCCTACAATGTGGTAGAAAATATAGTCACCCAAAGAAAAATATACATGAATATAATTTCACATTTTCCAATAAAAGATCTGTACAGAATGCTATTGTTAATTGTATTCTAACCTTCACTTTTCTCTTGAAATAAACTAAATTTTGTTATCATTCGTTAATTTACTTATATTACTTCCCAACCTGAGTTTCAGTTCTGTGTAAGATTTTAACATTGCTACTTACTTTTTTAGCATGATGTGGACATTTAGAAGTAATAAAATGCACTCAAAAGTTCTCTTCTCACATTATGATTTTTAAAGCCATACCTCTGTTATACTTTAACTAAAATAACATTAAGCAGCTTCAAGGCTTGGGTTATGAAAATATTTTTAATGCATACATTTTAAATATAAACATAACACTAACTTCGGCTTCCCATTACTCTGAGGTTTCAGTATTTTTTAACACATGATTCAATAAAACCCACTTTGGTTACCAACACCAAATATAGGGGAGCACTTAAGAAATACATATTTTTTAAATTTACTATTGTCTGACATAAATGGTTTTATTTATTTTTAATTTTATTTTATTATTATTATACTTTAAATTTTAGGGTACAGGTGCACAATGTGCAGGTTAGTTACATATGTATACATGTGCCATGCTGGTGTGCTGCACTCATTAACTCATCATTTAGCATTAGATGTATCTCCTAATGCTATCCCTCCCCCCTCCCCCGACCCCACAACAGTCCCCAGAGTGTGATGTTCCCCTTCCTGTGTCCATGAGTTCTCATTGTTCAATTCCCACCTATGAGTGAGAATATGTGGTGTTTGGTTATTTGTCCTTGCAATAGTTTACTGAGAATGATGATTTCCAATTTCATCCATGTCCCTACAAAGGACATGAACTCATCATTTTTTATGGCTGCATAGTATTGCATGGCACATATGTGCCACAATTTCTTAATCCAGTCTATCGTTGTTGGACATTTGTGTTGGTTCCAAGTTGTTCCTATTGTGAATAATACCACAATAAACATACTTGTGCATGTGTCTTTATAGCAGCATGATTTATAGTCCTTTGGGTATATACCCAGTAATGGGATGGCTGGGTCAAATGGTATTTCTAGTTCTAGATTCCTGACGAATCGCCACACTGTCTTCCAAATGGTTGAACTACTTTACAGTCCCATGAACAGTGTAAAAGTGTTCTTATTTCTCCACATCCTCTCCAGCACCTGTTGTTTCCTGACTTTTTCGTGATTGCCATTCTAACTGGTGTGAGATGGTATCTCACTGTGGTTTTGATTTGCATTTCACTGGTGGCCAGTGATGGTGAGTATTTTTTCATGTGTTTTTTGGCGGCATACATGTATTCTTTTGAGAAGTGTCTGTTCACCGCTACACAAATAAACTAGAAAATCTAGAAGAAATGGATAAATTCCTTGACACATACACCCTCCCAAGACTAAACCAGGAAGAAGTTGAATCTCTGAATAGACCAATAACAGGTTCTGAAATTGTGGCAATAATCAATAGCTTACCAACCAAAAAGAGTCCAGGACCAGATGGATTCACAGCCAAATTCTACCAGAGGTACAAGGAGGAACTGATACCATTCCTTCTGAAACTATTCCAATTAATAGAAAAAGAGGGAAACCTCCCTAAGTCATTTTATGAGGCCAGCTTCATCCTGATACCAAAGCTGGGCAGAGACAAAACCAAAAAAGAGAATTTTAGACCAATATGCTTGATGAACATTGATGCGAAAATCCTCAATAAAATACTGGCAAACCAAATCCAGCAGCACATCAAAAAGCTTATCCACCATGATCAAGTGGGCTTCATCCCTGGGATGCAAGGCTGGTTCAATATATGCAAATCAATAAATATAATCCGCATATAAACAGAACCAAAGACAAAAACTACATGATTCTCTCAATAGATGCAGAAAAGGCCTTTGACAAAATTCAACAATGCTTCATGCTAAAAACTCTCAATAAATTAGGTATTGATGGGACGTATCTCAAAATAATAAGAGCTATCTATGAAAAACCCACAGCCAATATCATACTGAATGGGCAAAAACTGGAAGCATTCCCTTGGAAAACTGGCACAAGACAGGGATGCCCTCTCTCACCACTCCTATTCAACATAGTGTTGGAAGTTCTGGCCAGGGCAATTAGGCAGGAGAAGGAAATAAAGGTTATTCAATTAGGAAAACAGGAAGTCAAATTGTCCCAGTTTGCAGATGACATGATTTTATATCTAGAAAACCCCATTGTCTCAGCCCAAAATCTCCTTAAGCTGATAAGCAACTTCAGCAAAGTCTCAGGATACAAAATCAATGTACGAAAATCACAAGCATTGTTATACACCAATAACAGACAAACAGAGAGCCAAATCATGAGTGAACTCCCATTCACAATGGCTTCAAAGAGAATAAAATACCTAGGAATCCAACTTACAAGGGATGTGAAGGACCTCTTCAAGGATAACTACAAACTACTGCTCAAGGAAATAACAGAGGATACAAACAAATGGAAGAACATTCCATGCTCATGGGTTGGAAGAATCAATATCCTGAAAATGGCCATACTGCTGAAGGTAATTTATAGATTCAATGCCATCCCCATCAAGCTATTATGACTGTCTTCACATAATTGGAAAAAACTACTTTAAAGTTCATATGGAACCAAAAAAGAGCTCGCATTGCCAAGTTAATCCTAAGCCAAAAGAACAAAGCTGGAGACATCACGCTAGCTGACTTCAACCTATACTACAAGGCTACAGTAACCAAAACAGCATGGTACTGGTACCAAAACAGAGATATAGATCAATGGAACAGAACAGAGTCCTCAGAAATAAGGCCACATATCTACAACTATCTGATCTTTGACAAACCTGAGAAAAACAAGCAATGGGGAAAGGATTCCCTACTCAATAAATGGTGCCTGGAAAACTGGCTAGCCATATGTAGAAAGCTGAAACTGGATCCCTTCCTTACACCTTATACAAAAATTAATTCATGATGGATTAAAGACTTAAACGTTAGACTTAAAACCATAAAAACCCTAGAAGAAAACCTAGGCGTTACCATTCAGGACATAGGCATGGACAAGAACTTCATGTCTAAAACACCAAAAGCAATGGCAACAAAAGCCAAAATTGACAAATGGGATCTAATTAAACTAAAGAGCTTCTTCACAGCAAAAGAAACTACCATCAGAGTGAACAGGCAACCTACAAAATGGGAGAAAATGTTCACAACCTACTCATCTAACAAAGGGCTAATATCCAGAATCTACAATGAACTCAAACAAATTTACAAGAAAAAAACAAACAACCCCATCAAAAAGTGGGTGAAGGACATGGACATAAAGGGTTTTAAATATATATCTGATGGCTACCAAATGTTCAACTAGTTGATCAAAAGCAAGCAAAAAAATCATGTGCTAATTTTTTTCCAAATGAAAATATACTTTCAAAGTAAAGTATTATTAATGAACAAAACAGTTTTATAATTTAAAAACTCAGTATGCATTGCCTTATGTATGTAATGTATTTCTTTCAAAGTGAGGAGTTTGAGACCAGCCTAGGCAACATGAGGAAACCCGTGTGTACTAAAAATGTTAAAAAATAATAAAAAAAATACTGCCATTTGGACTGGTGGGTGACTGTGGTCCCAGCTACTCAGTTGGCTGATGCAGGAGAATTGCTTGAACCTGAGATGCAGAGGTTGCAGTGAACCAAGATCCTGTCACTCCAGGTTGAGCAACAGAACAAGATTTAATCACAATTCACCCACCTGCCACAAACAAAAAATAAATAAATAAGAAAAATAAAAGGATCGAATCAACTGTGAATATATCAGGTATTGATAATGCCAGTTCACCTAACAAAAGAGAAAAATCCATGTACTGATGGAACTTATATTTTGGCTTTAATGGAAAGTAGTGACAAAATCTAGTGATTTTATTTTTAAGTCAGAAGGATAAGGATGGTGGGTTCATTTATTAGCAGGGGAATAGTATAAACTCAAAGGGGATTTGAGCAAATTTCTTGAAACAACAAAGAGAGCAAAACCTCTGATGTTGTAGTGTATACTAAGACTCTGAACAAGAAAGAGTATGGTAGAAGAAGATATGCAAAAGAGAATGAGAAGAAAATAATATATGGTTGTTTGTTACATTATAAAAACCATGGTTTAAGCTTAGGAAAAAGTGAAGCCGGGATTGAATATTAATAGGTAGAATTATTTTAAGGTAAGGACAACATTATATATTTAAATAATAGTGATGATTGCAAAACATTGGGAATATCTTGGAAATCATTGAATGCATACTTTAAAATTGTTAATTTTATAGTATCTGAAATATAACTCACATAGTTTAATAGAAGTAATAGTGTAATCGTTGTAATAGCAGAAGGTAGGAGATCACTAAAGTGGCTGAGTTAATCAGATAAGAAATGTGGATAACCTGTATCTTGCTGACAGCAGGAGAAATAGGTAAAAGTGTTTAGATTCTTGACCTGTTTTAAAAGGAAAACATGCAGAATTTGAGGATTAATAGAAACGATGAGATAAAAAGCATGTAGGATGACATTACAGTTATAGGCCTTTGCAACAGGATGTAATTACTATGAAGTGAAATGGGAAACACTTGGGGAAAGTTGTTAGGAAGTAGCATCAAAATTCAGTGTGTAGCCTTGAGACAAGATTGCCTGTTAAACATGAGTATGTGCAATAGAGTCATATGTGATTTGGGCTTTGGTAAGAGATTGGCTGGAGATAACAATTTGGGACTCACAATATCATTCAGAAATCCATTGTACAAGAAGAGATAACTGGAAGATTGAGCGTAAATTCATCAGCAATAATTTAAGGAAGAGGATGACTAAGAAACAACGGTTATATTTGGCCAGGCCTGGTGGCTCACACCTCCAGTGCCAGCACTATGGGAGCCTGAGGCAGGCAGACGGCTTGACCCCAGGAACTCAAGTCCAGACTGAGATACACGGAGAGGCCCTGTTTCTACCAGAAGTAGCTAGTCTGCGTGGCCTGTAGTCACAGTCAAGCAGGAGGCTGATGTGGAAAGATCACTTGAGCACGGGAGGTTGAGGCTGCAGTGAGTTCTTGATCTCACCACTGCACTCCAGCCTGGACAACAGAGGCAGACCCTGTCTCAATAAACAAACAGACAACAAAGACTAGAAATTAAAAAAAAACTATTATTATATTAGTCAAAACAAAGTGGATTATTTTAAATATACAACATATTTGGTAGACTGTTGGGGATGAAAGCCTGCCTGGTAAAGGTAAGTGGAATTTTCAAATGACAGCATATCACCAATGGTAAAAAGATTCACCTGAAATTCAAGGTAACATTTTAAATTTAGCAATTAGGGTGTCACTGATTACCTTTGAGAAAGGACTGTGACTTCATTGTTGTGGGATAAAACCTGAGACAATAAGAACTGATGGAAAGAAAATAGCTAATAGAAATTCTCTGTGGAAATTAAAAGCAGACAAAAAAGTCAGTACCAAAGGAGACGGTTTTTGTTGTGTGTCATAAAATATGGAGTTTTTTTATACATATGTGATTAGGAAATCAAGGCAGTGAAGAAGAGGATAAAAAATTACACGAAAGAGGAAAGGATCAATCATATTGATGGGCTGAGTCCAGGAGGATGTATTTTAAAATGTGATAAAGGTTTTGTCTTTGAATAAATAAGTGCATATAGATATAGGTATGATTTAGATCATAGTAACAAACAACAGAAGTTGAGGAATTTAATACTCTGCAGCATAAAACTTAACAAATTAGAGGAAATGATTTTTATGATAAGCTATGAGAATAAAAGCAATGCAAAGAAAGTTCAGGAAATGAACATCTTATCAAATAAAAATAATATAGGCAACTTCTTGATTCTTCTCTCCCACTTTTTTAAACTACTACTTCTATTTTTCCTATTGATATATTTTAATAAATGACCAATATCTTCTGGGGAAATATTATGCTTTCTCTCTGGTAATTTGCATTAGCTTCTTACACATTTCATGCTCTTTTCTCATATTAACAGCACTTTTAGTCAGAAATATTTTCGTCTAAATTCTGTTCCAATATTTACTTGATTTTAAACAACTGTTGCCTTTTATCTTCCTTCTTATTCATTTTTGCTGAATATTGCTTCCCACCCATAATGACTAATTGAATTTCACAATATATCAGTAATTTCTCTGACAGTTTGTCTAGAAATAATCTAATATGAGCTATTTTGCCACCCCCCTCAAACAAAAGAGACTTTAGATCTTCTCTAGCCATGCAAAGTCTGGATTTCACATCTATTTAAATTGAAACTTTACTTGATTAATAACTTCATAGCATTAAATCAAGCCAAGAAACAGTATACTAAATGCAAAATGACCAACATCTAACAATTAGTGGAACTTAAACGGCTCACTGTTTTGTATTCCTTTCCGAATCAGAAATATCTGCTAGATAGTTTTCTTAGTGTCATCATGGTTAGACTGGGCTTATCCCTTGTGAAGTTTTGTTTTAGTCGATGTCAGCCACACACGCTGGCTGAAGAACACAAAAAGAAAACTAATGAGAAATATACACCTTTTTTCATACTACCTGAAGACAGGACTATCATCTTGGTGTTAAGAGGTAGTTAATGCCTCGTAGAAGTTTGATTGTCTATTTCCTTAAAACAATGTTTGCTGAATAAATAATATGTCAAGTTATTTGACATATTGACTAAATTATGTCAAATAGTTTAATTGCTTTAATTGACTCAATTATGTCAAATGGTGGTTCAATATTTCCTAAACCAGACATCGATTTTTTTTTATTGTGATTAGTGATACATATTTACCTTTCTGCATTTTCCATGAATAGTGAATTATACAGAATCTTGTTTTCTTCTGTTTCGATTTGATAGCGAACTATACTAGATTCACTGACAAGAAGAGTTTGAATTAGCAGCAGTATGAGAATGGACACAGTGTTTGAAGAAAGTGATAAAGAAAGTACAGGAGGAGTTTTATCTTTGGAAGAAGAAATGGTCCTTGGGCACAGACACCATATGAGCTTTCCTTTCAGGATTCTCTGCTCAACTGTCCTCTGCTGTGGTGAGGCCACCTATGCTTTGTATATGTTTGAAATTAATTGAAAAGCTAGTGACAGATTCTGATATCATTTGCTATGAGCTTTGTTGATGTGGAGATAATTTTGGATCAAATTACTCTAACGTTTTTCAACAAAGACGTGAGGAGAAATAAAGCTGCATTACTTTTTTTGGCACATTCTTGCTTTAGGACCTATAACGAGGCAAGTGACAGAAATATCTCTCATTCTCTGTTTCCAACAAATAAGTAGAACATAAATGGTTTGCTAATAAGCTTAAAAATGTGATAATCATGGTTCCTCTAACTGAAATGCGCTGTGGTTTAGTTTTGTTTAGTTTTCACAATATTGAAAATTTTCCTATGCAATTTTTATCAGTCATAAGGTAATGATAGTTTTTAAAAAATTCAAGTGGGATTAAGTCAGTCATTTTTTCTGTTCCTTTTAATATTATTCTCATTCAGCCTAATGGGCATTCTAAATAGTTATGAGGGATAGAAACATAATCTTAAATTAAGGAATGAGCATAGTGTGAGTGAGAAGAGAGTATGGCTTGAAAATAATCTCATAAATTTTTTTTGTCAACTGACGTGTATTAACATGTTAGTGGTAGATTTCTAGACATCCTTACATTTGTAGCTGTGACTTGGAACTTCAAAACATAGCTAAGCAATTCATTTCCATATGTCTCCTGTCTGTTACTATACTGATTTGCACATGTACTGTAAATTTTTTAAAAACTAATTTCATTCGGATCTGCATTTAGAGTTCCAAGATAGTAAAATGTATAAAAAATTACATACATTTTATAGAATTGAGTCACTGGGGATAACTGTTACCTTTCATTAAAATGGTAAGTGCAGAATTTTATAAACACATGCAAAAATGTGCAACCTCATGATTTAATCTTCTATGCAAATAAAAATTAGTAATAGCAAGGGTAATGAGTAACACTAGCAGGGCAAGAAACACTTCTGCAAAGCCAAAGAGTTAATCCCAGTGACAATGCATGAAGTGATTGTGGGCCATACTCTGGAGCTAATTTAAGTTTAATTGACTGAATCTCCTGAAAGAAAAGGACATAGGCAGAAACAACCAAAAATGAACAACACATTAGCCAGAAAACTCAACAAGTAAATAAAACTGCTGACAATATTAGAACCAATAAATATCCGTGTCATAAAAACGTACCTAATTTTGTTGCTGTAGTTCTTGTTGTTTGGAGAGAATGTCTCACTCTGTTGCCCAGGCTAGAGTGCAGTGGCATGACCTCAGCTCCCTTCAACCTCCAACTCCCAGGTTCAAGGGATTCTCCTGCCTCAGCCTCCCAAGTAGCAGGGACTACAGGAGCACAACACCACGCCCAGCTAATTGTTGTGTATTTAGTAGAGATGGGGTTTCACTATATTGGCCCAGGTGGCCTCAAGCTCCTGACCTCGTGATCCACCCACCTTGGCCTCCCAAAGTGGAATTACATGTGTGTACCATCATGCCTGGCCAACTTTTTCTTTTTCACCAGGTTAATTTAAGAAATTTATAAAATTTCTTAAATTTCTTGCAATAGGTCGGGAATGGTGGCTCACAACTCTAATCCCAGCACTTTGAAAGGCCGAGGCGGGCAGATCCCCTAAGGTTGGCAGTTTGAGACCAGCTTAGCTAACATGATGAAACCCTATCTCTACTAAAAATACAAAACTAGCTGGACTGGTGGCAAATGCCTGTAATCCCAGCTACTTAGGAGGTTGAGGCAGTAGAATAACTTCAACCTGGGAAGTAGAGGTTACAATTCTGTGATGATGAGAAAAGTTGAGATATGTAGATAATTAGATAGATAGATGATAGATAGAGAGATAGATAGATAGATAGATGTAGATGTAGATATACACAGCCACAGTCACTCAAGCACACAAACACACACACACACACACACAGCTGTTATCTGTGTATATATATTCTTTTGAAAACAGAAGATACTTATTTTTAATTAGGTTATTATTTGCTTGTTCTTTTGAATCTGTTTTTAGTTCCTTGTATATTTTGATTAACCCCTTGTCTGATGTACAGTTTGCAAATATTTGCTCTCATTTTATTTTATTTTGTTTTTATTTTTTGGTGTATGGAAGTTTTCTAGTATGATGTAACCTATTTTTCTGTTTGTGTGTTTTTTACTTCTGTTTTTGAAGTCTTATCCAAAAAATATTCTTGCTCAGACCAGGGTCGTTAAATATGTTTTGTGATTTATTCTCCTAGATTGACAGTTTTGTGTTTTCATTACATCTTTATTTTTAAATGTTTTTAAAAATATATTCTTATAGGTGAGCTCTCACTATATTACCAAGTGTGGAGTACAGTGGCATAAGTGTTTCATGCTACAGCTTTGGACACCTGGGCTCTCGTGATCCTCCCATTTGAGACCCCAAAGTAACTGAAACTATAGGTGGACTCCACTGCAATAGGCTTTTTAATCCATTTGCGTTAATTTTTCTATTTTGTGAGAATATAATTAGGGTTCTAATTATATTCTTCTGCATATAGCTCTCTTGTTTTTCCAGCACCAATTATTGAAGAGACTGACATTTCTTCATTTTGTGTTCTTGGCACCTCTGCAGAATATCAGTTGGCTATACAGGTGTAAATTTATTTTTGCTGACTGCATTCTGTTGTATTGGTTGATAGCATTGTGACACCTCCAGTTCTGTGGATTCACTCCCCAACCCCACTGCCATCTTCAGGATTGCTTTGGCTATTCAGGGTTTTGTGTGTGTGGTTTCATATTAAATTAGGATATTTTTCAATTTCTGTGAAAAATGCCATTGGTGTTTTGATAGAGATTGCATTCAGTCTGTGCACTGCTTTGGATCATATAAACATTTTAACCATATTAATTTTTCCAATCAATGAATATAGATATTTTTCCATATTTTTATGTCATCCTAACATTTTATTAATGTTTCATAGTTTTCAGAATGCAGATTTTTTTAATTCCTTGCTTAAATTTACTCCTTTTTATTCCCCGTACCTATTGTAAATGAGATTGTTTTCTTAATTTTTTTTATATTTTGCTATTTGTTTATGGAAATACTAAGGAATTGAATATGTTGATTTTGTAAACTGAAATTTTACCTACTTTCTGAGTCAGCTCTAAGTACTTTCTAGTGGTGTGTTTATGGATTTCCATATTATGTAATTAGTATATATGGACAATTTTACTTCTTCCTTTCCAATTTGGGTACCTTTTCTTATTTTCTCTTGTCTAATTGCTCTGGCTAAGGAATTTTAGTATTCTGTTAATAGATGTAGTGAAAGTGAACATCCTGGTCTTTTTTCAGATCTTCACAGAAAAGCTTTCAACTTTTAACTCCCACTGAGTGTGATATTAGCTAAGGGTTTGTATATAGAATGTTACCTGGTTCTTTGGGTCTATGTCATTTGTTGTGTTGAGTTACAGTTGTTCTATGCATAATTTGTTAATGGTTTTTATTCAGAAAAAATGTTGAATTTTGTCAAATTTTTTTCACTTATTGAAATGACTGCATATACTTTGTTCTTTATTTTTTATATAATTTATGACATTTAATGATTCTTGTGTATTAAACCATTCCTGCATCCCTGTAATCTCACTTGATCATGGTGTATCAGGGGAAATTCACCCCCAATATTTCACATAGTTTTTTTTCCATTTTCCTTAAGTGTTGGTTGGTCTCAGAAATAAAGGGACAGAGTATAAAAGAGAGAAATTTTAAAGCTGGGTGTCTGGGGGAGACATCACATGTCAGCAGGTTCCGTGATGCCCCCCAAGCCACAAAACCAGCAAGGTTTTGTTAGTGATTTTCAAAAGGGGAGAGACAGTACAAATAGGGTGTGTGTCACAGAGATGACATGGTTCACAAGGTAATAAAATATCACAAGGCAAATGGAGGCAGGGTGAGATCACATGACCACAGGACTGGGGTGAAATTAAAATTGCTAATGAAATTTTGGGTGTGCACTGTCATTGATAACATCTTATCAGGAGACAGGGTTTGAGGGCACACAACCAGTCTGACCAAAATTTATTAGGTGGGAATTTCCTCATCCTAACAAGCCTGGGAGCACTATGGGAGGCTGGGGCTTATTTCTTCCCTTACCTACCACCATAAAAGACAACCATCCCCAAAGCGGCCATTTCATAGGCCTCCCCTTAGAGATGCATTCTTTTTCTCAGAGATTTTCCTTGCTGAGAAAAAGAATTCAGTGATATTTCTCCTATTTGCTTTTGAAAGAAGAGAAATATGGCTCTGTTCCACCCAGCTCACAGGCAGCCAGAGTTTAAGGTTATCTCCCTTGTTCCCTGAACATTGCTGTTATCCTGTTCTTTTTTCATGGTGCCCAGATTTCATATTATTCAAACACACATGCTCTACAATTTGTACAGTTAGTGCAATCATCACAGGGTCCTGAGGTGACATACATCCTCCTCAGTTTATGAAGATGATGGGATTAAGAGATTAAAGTAAAGATAGGCATAGGAAATCACAAGGGTATTGATTGCCAAAGTGATAAGTGTCCATGAAATCTTCACAATTTATGTTCAGAGATTGCAGTAAAGACAGGCATAAGAAATTATAAAAGTATTAATTTGGGGATCTACAATGTCCATGAAATCTTCACAATTTATGTTTTTCTGCCATGACTTCAGCCGGTCCCTCTGTTCAGGCTCCCTGACTTCCCACAACATCTCTGCCTTTCTTTTTATGCAAATGTGCCATAACGATGAAGGCTTGTTTGTTCTCTCAGTTTGACACAGGATTCTTTGACTGGTCCAGCACACTAAAAAGCCACCTGATCTAATGCCTCAGCTCCAGGTGTAATGCATATGCAAGCTTGAGAGGCTTCAAAAATTTGTTCTTTAATTTAGTGATGTCCAATGATAAATTATCTTTGCTACCCAGAAGGTGTCCTTTGACCATTTCCCATGAATGTTCAGTCTCATTATAGGAATACGGGGTGATACAGAAGTCCAAAGTATTCCAATTGCACTGCATTTGCATGTGATGTTCAAGACTCCCTACTTAATCTCCAAGCCCAATAACAGACTGTCTTAAATCATTAATTTGATTAGCCAATTTTTGATCAAAACTTTGTTGAGAATTCCACATGTAGGTGGAAATGGCTTGACAATCATTAACAAAATGAGCCGTTTGAATAGGTTGATGTAACAACATTCTGACTGTGGTGGCCATTGCAGTGACTGTAATTAGGCCCATGATCACAGTGATTAAAGTGAACATAAATCTCTTGGATCTTTTTAGAATTCGCTGTAACACTTCATTAATTAAATGTGTTGAGGGGGAGGTTTCCCAATGTCTGGGCATCCAGATTCCTTCTTGAGCTCGAACAACATTACACTTTTCCTGGAGTCAAAATGGGAGTTAATACAAGTGTAAAAATGACAATTAATGCATTGGACAGTTTGATTGTTGGTCCAAATTTTGATATTTCCCACTAACAGCATGTAATGAGACTTAACACAACTCTGTTTGGGAACAGTCAGGTTGGAGGTAAATAAAGCGGAATGCCTGGATCTGCGTTGATACTGAGAGAGTGGGATGGTAGTGGGGACAACAGCAGAATCATTTCCCCTTCCCATACTCACAGTCCAGACATGGCAATAGCCAATTTCCAAAATTCTGGGTGTTCTGGGCTCAGAATGTGGAGTATCATACAAGGCCTTGGTGGGGGTTAATGCCTTTATCTTCCCATTTTAAGGGAAAGAATGAGCTGAATCTCCTATGCAAAGTAGAGTGATGATTCTCCTTCTCCAGATAAGAAATAAAATAAGTAGCCTCCTGGCATGCCTTTCCACCAGTGGAGCAATTGTTTTTTAAATAGTCCTTTGGGCCCAGTCTGTTACTAAACTGTATGAGTCATTTTTAAATATTACTGCATGTGAGTTAACACAGTCTTCCCAGATTAAAGTTTTAGATGGGCCTTCCAAATTTTTTAGGCATGGTTTTCCTGCAGGTTTATATTGAAAGTATGGGGTATCTCCCATTACTCCTCCTTTCATTTGTTTTAAAGGAGAAAGGAGAGGCCAAAGACCAAATATCCTGGTTCCTCTGCAGTTGATCTCTGGAAGATAAGTGGCCCAGACTTCAGTTTATAGATGGATACAACCAGGTCCATGTCTGAAGCCCAGAGGTGAGTATTTATAACCCATGGTAACATTAAATGCAGTGCCTTCTTCTCCTGGTGAATGATTTTCTAAACGTGCATTATAAGTCATTTTCCCAGTATTTTGTTGAGGATTTTTACATTATATTGGCCCATAGTTTTCTCCTTTTTTTTTGTATCCTTGTCTGCTTTTGTAATCAGAATAATGCCATCCCAATGAAATGAGTTGGAACAGTTCCCATATCTTCTTTTTTGTTGTTTGTTTTTTTTTCGTTTTGTTTTGACTACATTAAAAAAAGTTGCAGTAGTTTCTTTTTTGTGGTAAGAGGAATGCAGCAGTGAATATATCAGGTAATAGGTTTATCTTTAATAGGTGACTTTTTACTGCTGATTTGATTTCTTACCATTAATTTGTTTCTTGGTATGAGTTATGGTATCTCTTTTTTGACTCTGATTTTCTTTATTAGGGGCTTTTTTTGTACTTTTGAGTTTAGCTTTTTGTTTTTCTAATTCCTTGATTGAAACATCAGGTTGTGTTTTTGGTATCTTCTTTTAGTTGAAAGCATTTATTGCCATAACTTCACTCTGAAAACTGCTTTGGTTGTATCCCTTAGGTTTTGGTGTGTTGTGTTTCTATTTTTGTCTCAAGAAATATGGTGTTTTGTCTTTAATGTCTTCATTGACTCATTGGTTTTTCAGGAGTATATTATTTAATTTTGATGTACTTAAGAATTAGTGATTTCAGAAGAGATACTTGATATGACTTTGATCATTTCCAATTCGTTAAGAAGTGATTTTTGCCTAATGTATGATATATCCTGGAAGATGTTCCATATATGCAGTGGAGAAGAATGTTTATTCCATAGCTCTTGGATGGATAGTTCAGTGCCTGTTTTTAGCATTTGTCCTACAGGGCATTTTAGTCCAATGTTTACTTATTGAATTATGTCTGCATTATCTATTCATTGCTGAAAGTAAGGTGCTGAAGTTTTCCAGTATTATCTTGCACTTTTTTTCTTCCTTTTGATCTATTAACATTTGAATTATATGTATGCTTATATTAGTTATATAGGTATATTCCTGGTATAATATTTTCTTTTATTTTTCTCCTCCTTAATTCTGTATCTTCTTTTTGTCTTTGATATTTGGTGGTTTGATTACATTAAGATTACATTAAGCTATGGGGATATTTTTATTGAAATTGAATGTGATTGGAAGTCTTCGATATTCCTGTAGCAGAATATTTGTATTTTATTTAAGTTTAGAAAGGTTTCTGTTATTATTTCTCTAAATAGGCTTTCTACTCTTTTTTTTGTACTTTTCTTTTCTTTCCTTTTCTTTTTGAGATGGAGGTTTGCTCTTGTCTCTCAGGTTGGAGTACAATGGTGTGATTGTGGCTTACTGCAACCTCGACACCCTGGGTTGCAGTGATTCTCCTGACTCAGCCTTATGAGTAGCTGGGATTACAGGTGTCCACCAATATACTTGACTAATTTTTGTATTTTAATAGAAAAATGTTTTCACCACATTGTCCAGGCTGCTCTCAAGCTCCTGACAACATACGATCCACCCACCTTGGCCTCCCAAAGTGCTGGAGATATAGGCATGAGCCATCATGCCCAGCTCTACCAAGCTCTTAAATGCCAGTGTCTAATACCTTTGCTCTTTGGATATTATCTCATTAATCTCATGAATCTTATTTATGTTTTCTCCTCTAACTGTATATTTTCAATTGACCTGTCTGAGTTTTGCTGCTTGACCACTTCTGTTGTAAGTGCTGTCAATTGCATTTTTTATTTTGTTGTGTTTTATTCTTCAAGATTTCTGTTTGTTTTTTCCTCCCATTATTTTAGTCTCTTGGGTGAGTTTCTCTGATAAATTTCGGAATTCTTTGTGTTTTGCTGAAGTCCACTGCATTGTCATAAAATAACTATTTTAAATTCCTTTTTGGGCCATGTGTCCATACACATCTCTTTTGGGTCAGTCACCACTGGCACCTTACTTTGACCACTTGATGTCATGTTTTTCTCATTGATCCTAATCCTTGTGACTATGCATGGAAATCTGTGCAGTGATGTAGGTGCCTAATTCAGTGTTCACGCTTTGGCTTTGTTTGGATGCTTTCTCCCACAGTAAGCCTGTCCAGAGATTCAGGGCAAGGAGAAGAAGGAAATTAAGGTCTTTAAGCCTATGATACCTTCAGCCCTGGTAGCACTAGGGGAAACACTAATGAGCAGATTTTCATGGCTGGATTAATTTATACACAAAGCTGACTCAGTGCCAGGTTGTACCTGTAGCACACAGTTGAGCACTTGGTGCACTCAAGGCCTGTAGCTTCCATGGTCTGCCCTCTGCTCCTTATTCGGGGCCTGAGGTTACAGTAGTCAATCAGCAGGAATATTGACTCGAACTCAAGTCCATTCGGCTGAGGTCATAGTTTCTAGTCTGTTGCTGCGGTTGGTCTGCAAGATTACCCCTGGGTATCAGCCTCCCAAAGTGCTGGGGTCAGGGGACAGGCAAATCAAAGTCCCAAGGCAAAAAAGTCCTATGCCTACTTCCTTTGCCCAAGGAATCCTCCAACCTCCACCTACTGAGTAGTAGAGACTACAGGCATGTGCAGCTATGCCTGGCTAATATTTTTTGGGTTTTGTTTTTGTTGGGCTCAAGTGATCTATTCACCTCAGCTTCCTAAAGTGCTAGGATTAAGGGTATGAGTTACTACACCCAGCTAAAATTTACTTTCTAAAATTTAATTTTTAGGTCATTTACTTTTATTCAGTCTTATTTCTGATAAATGCAATTAAGCATGTTATTGCTTTAGTTTCTCTCTGGGTATTCCTGAAGGAATAAATGAACTCTTGATATTCATTTTCTAAATGGTGTTAGAAAATGAATAATTACTTTAGATGAGTAATGACTATATGGCCTCTTTTTGTTTTCTGGCTTCATTTCATTGTGTATGAAGAGTGTATTTTTTAACCCACCTGTTTATGGGAAATGAAATTTTACTCTTTCAACTAAAGGTAGTACAAAATTGTTTAAACTGATTATTCAACTACTTCATAATTTTGACTTGGTTCCTTTTGCATATTAGTCTAATTATTGGGAGAACAATGTCAAAATTAAATTAATTTGCTTATTAAAAACTTTCTGATAAAATTACATGAATACACACAAACAAAAACATGCACACTCATACCACTTAATTTCTAAAATGTTTAATTTTTCTGCTTCTCTGATACCTTGTATTTTATCACTCAGCAAAATCTGTCAGCTCCACTTCCAGGATTTACTTTAACTGCACAGCTTATTTCTATTTCCCTTTATCACCATAGTCTAAAACACAGTTTACATTATATTTGCCTCCACTTTGCATTGTAATTTCCTCTTTACACTCTAGCTTTCTATGAGAAGGTAACTACCTTTTCAAAATCTAATCAGGTAATTTTGCTTTTTCTTAATTGAGACTTCTTTCTATGTGCTTTCACACCTTATAGTATCAGATATGAATGTCTCTATCCAATTGCATGTGTTCCAGTTATTTTTTTTATTGGGGGGATGTGTATGTACATTTACAAACATGGGTATGTATGTATTTACTTATTATTTGTTTTTCCCATGTGTAATATAGGTTTTGCATGCATATATTTACTAAATCCCTGATAATGTAAAATTAACAATTTTTTTTTCTTTTTTTAAGTAAATTATTTTCTGAAGGATGCGGGTTGGGAGGAATATACCTTAACATGGAAACTTTAAAAGAGAAAGTGGTCATTACTAATGAAAATTATTCTCTAACATTTTCTTGTTTATCTTTAGTAGCATTGCTGATGACATGTTCCTTCTTACCACTTGTGTATGCGGCCATTCACTGCAATACACTGGCCATCCATACCAGCAACGACTTTCCTGACATTAAGCTACAAGCGATAAAATTCATCTGTCATGATACGGTGTTCCTTGGTGATTATCTCACGTGTAGTGACTCTGGAATTTTTTCCTGCATCTCTGAAACAGAGGAGCCTACCATTACTATTAATCATATATTTTGTATTATTGTTGGCACCATGGCTGGAGTTTTGGAAAAGTGGAGCTCATCTTCATAACAACACAGAAAATAATTCCAGCATGGTGGGTACATACGGATGCTTACCTTAATCATGCTACTATATGCTGCTATCAACTTCTCTGGCTGGTCAGCACTGAAACTGCAGCTCTCAAATGAGGAAGTAATTGACAAGAGACTGAGGTGGGCCATAGAATCCTACACTACAGCTTCTAGTTTTTAGAAAATGTGATAATAATATTGATATTTATGTTCGTTGGAGGGAAAATTTCACTGAAGTCTTGTGACTCATTAATTGCCATGTAGTTCATCATAACCTAACTATTAGCCATTGGCTTTATGCTCCTCTTCTGTCAGTATTTGCACCCAAGGTGGTCAAGAAAATTTTTGCGAGGACATACTGAAAATCATTCAGAAGCACTGTGATATTGTGTAAACATCTGGAGAAAACTCAATTAAAAGAATAAAAATAAGCAGCTGAGGAATTAATATCACTCATGGAGAAGGGTTGGATATTTTCAATAAAAAACATATGCAATATCCATAAACTATCCATATATACTTTCACAGAACAAAGAGTAAAGAGGCTGAATATGACATTACAAAGATACTCATAAAAATTATAAACAGCAAAACCTTGGAAGTAGCTTCCAATAAGATTGATCTTTCTCCTGTGACTATGCATAAGTAATTTTTGTTTTCTTAAATATAATTGTACAACTTATTAAACAAAACAAAATAAAAAATCCATCTCTGTCCAAAAACTGAACAGAAAAAATAACCATAATGAATTTTTCACCTAGTATATTTTTGGTACCTATGTTTTTAATTTAACAAGTGTTTGTAATCTAGCACATATATTATCAGAGAACATTTTCTTTTCAGAAAGAGTACTTACCGCAGATTTCATTCTGTACTTAAGAAGAGCCTGAAACAGAAGTCTTATGAGTACAATCCTATTTATATTAATTTAAGATATCGAAAGTCTTTCTCATTAAACCTTGACTAACAGAAAGCAACTCATATTAATGCATCTTAAAGGACAAAACCTGTTCTATTAAGAGGAAATACTCAGGTTAATAATTTAAAATACAAATTTACATTCCTACCAATAGTGCACAAGAATTCTCTGTGCTCTACATTCTCAAAAACACTTGTCATCTTTCATCTTGATAGTAATAGGCATTCCAACATGTGTAAGAGGAGAGCTCATTGTTGATTTTAATTTGCATTTCCCTGATGATTGGTGGTGTTGAGCATCTTTAAGTATACAGTTGTTCAGAAATTAGCTGGGCAAAGTAGCGTACATTTGTAATCCCAGCTACTAGGGAGGCTGAGGCAGAATTGCTGGAAACCAGTGGGTAGAAGACTCAGTGAGCTAAGATCACACCACTGCACTCCAGGCTGGGTGACAGAGTGAGAATAGAAATGAAATCAATCCATCCATCAATCCATCAAACAATCAATCAATCCATCAAACAATCAATCAATATTAAATATAGAGTTGTTGGCCAGTTATATGTCTTCTTTAGCGAAATATAAATTTAGGTCTTTGACCATATTTAATAGGCTTAGTTTTGTTGTTGTTGTTGTTGTTGTTGTTAAATTGCTTGAGTTCCTTGTATGTATTTATTATTCACCCTTTATCATATATATGGTTTGCAGATATTTTCTGCAAGTGTTTGGGTTGTCTCTTCACTCTACTATTTGTTTCCCTTTTCCCTTTGCTGTGCAGAAACATTTTAGTTTGATATAACGTGATTCAATTGTTTTTTGTTGTGCTTTTGTATTCTGTGCTTTTGGGGCCATAGCATTGAGGTTTCAAAAATTAAATTAAATTGAAAATAGAATTAACACATGATCCAACTACTCTACTTCAGAATGTGTACTCAAGGGATATAAAATTAACATGTCAGAAAGATATCTGCACTCCTATATTCATCTCAGCGTTATTCATAATAGCCAAGATATGGTAACAACCCAAGTGCTCATCAACAGATCAACAGATAAAGTGTGGCACATAAACACAATGAGATATACTATACAGCCTTAAAAAAGGAGGAAGTTTTGTTATACATTTGTGACCAAATGAATGGAATTGGAAGATACTATGCTCAGTGTACTAAGAGAGGCACAGAAAGACTAGTAAAGAATGATCACAATTATATGTAAAATCTAAAAAAGTTGAACTCATTCAAACTGTGAATATGCCAGCGGTGGTGGCTCATGCCTGTAACTTCAGCACTTTGGGAGGATGAGGTGGTTGGATCACTTGAGGTCAGAAATTTGAGGCCACAGTGAGCCATAGCTGTGTCAATGTACTCCAGCCTGGGCAATGCAACAAGGCCCTGACTCTTTATACAAATACACAAAATGTAGTCAGAGATTGGAGTGTGGGGTGGAGATGGCAGTGGATAGAGAAATGGGATGTGTTCATCAAAGGGTAACAAATTTCAGTGAGATAGGAAGAAGTTCTGGTGATCCGTTGCACAGAACGGTGACCACAGTTAATGAATGCCAACTTCAAAATTGCTTAATTAAAAAAAAAAAGGGCAGGCATGGTGGCCCAAGTCTGAAATCCCAGCACTTTGGGTAGACATGGTGGGAGGATCACTAGTGGTCAGGAGTTCGAGACCAGCCTGGCCAAAATGATGAAACACTGTCTCTACTGAAAATATAAAAATTAGCCAGGTTTGGTGGCATGTGCATGTCATCCCAGCTACTCGAGTGGCTGAGGCAAAAGAATAACTTCAACTCAGGAGGTGGCAGTTGAAATGAGCTGAGGTTGCACCACTGCACTCAAGTCTGGGGAACAAGAGCAAAACTATATCAAAAAAACAGATTGTTTAAAAAGCAGAATTTATGTATTCGTACCACAAGAGAGACATGATAAGTATGTGAGGTGATGGATAGGGTAACTAGCCCAATTTAATTCTTTTGCAATATATACATGCATTATAAAATCACTTTGCATCCCATAAATATTTACAATTGTTAATTTAAAATAAAAATTTTTTAAAAATGAATTAAAATTAAAATAAACTTGGCTTAATATATATAGACAGTAATATATGCAAATGTTTTCTTCTATTTTGGCTATTTGGCTTCTGTTATTTCTTGGGGAAACAAACACCATGGGAACGGATGAAGAACATTAAAGCTAAATAGTATATAATTTACATTATTTTTTGTTCTTTTTTCTCCTTTTTTTTCTACCAAAGCAATGGTGACAACTTTCTTGTCACACTTTCTTTTCTGTTTCTTTCTCATGAGAAATCACCACCAAAAATAAAGCTCGTGTAGATTTGCGAATATTTTTTTCTGCCCCTAGCTATGACCCTCTTCACCTTTGCTTTGGATTTCACAGCTTCTTAAAACACTGATTTACTTATTATTTGTTGTCTCCTTGTACCATTACTTCTTCGCTCTACCTGCAGGATCTTTTCTTTTTATTATATTTTAGTTTAATTTTTTTCAGACAGAGTCTCCAGCACAATTTCGGCTCACTGCAACCTGGGCCTCCCAGATTCAGGTGGTTCTCCTGCCTCAGCTTGCTGAGTATCCGATATTACAGGCATGCACAACCATGCTTGGCCAATTTTAGAATTTTTAATTGTGACAGGGTTTCACCATTTTGCCAAGGCTGGTCTTGAACTGACCTCAAGTGATCTACCCTCTCAGCTTCCCAAAATGCTGGAATTACAGGTATGAGACACTACATCCGGCTTGATCATTTTCTTTGCCAGATCTACATGCTGCTTGTCTTAGCCTTAGATATGCCACTCTCAACTCATGTATTTATTTTCTGTGATAGCAAGACTCATGGAAAGAGTTGGCCCTGACAAGGTTTAATTTTATTTCTCTTAACCCTCCTTTCTTCAGGCATTTACCCTGTTTTTTAGAATCATATCTTATACTTCTCACTAAATACCATATTTCACTTATCTGTTGCATATTACTCAAACCGTCATGTGTATCTGTAAAACTGATTCACACCCTCATTCCTGAAATACTATTTTGCTTTGGATTACATGACTCAACTTTCCTCTGATTTCTCTATTTAATTGTCAGTGCCTTTGGTTTCATTTTATCTCATAGATATCTATTCATTAGACCACTAATCTAACTACACAGAATACCTCTTTCTCTTTCCCTTTCTCCTTTCCCTTTTCCCTTCCCATTTTCTTTTTTTTTTTTTTTTTTTTTTCGTTTTCTTTTTTTAGGAAACTGTTCTGCCACCCAGCCTGGAGTGCAGTAGTGAGACCTGGACTGACTACAACCTCAAATTCCTGGGCTCAAATAATTTTCCTGCTTTGATCTCCTCAGTAGCTGAGACTACAGATGCACACCACCACACCTGGCTTTTTATTGATGTTTTGAGACAAAAGCCTGTAAGGTTTTAAACCTGTAGTTCTAAGGAATTCAGTGATATGACCTCTGAATTCCTATACATTGTGATTTTTTTCTCTTATGAGCGTTCCAAGATTAAGACAGCTAAATTGAAAGCTTCCCCTGAACTTCCTTACACTTTCTACATACCTCTCCCTTCCATCATTTTTGTCCCAAAATACATCATCTATATAACATAAAAATATTCCAAATACATTATTTTCCCTCATCTCTTTCACATTTTACCTATAATAACTTTTTTTATTATCTACCACTTACAAATGTGTTTTTCTTGTTGCTGCTTATACATTCTACTGGAGGTCATCATTCATTGCTCCCTAAATTGTAGTATCAACATCTTAATCTACTTCCTCCTTCTGTGTTACTATATTCAATTTATTTTTCACTGAGGGTTCTAGAATTATTCTTCCTTTCAATGAATAAAGCACATCGCTTTTCTTTTTCTTTTTATTCTTCCTTTCTGCTTTACTATTAACTGTTACTTTATGAGAGAGGAGCCATTTCAGTGTTATTTCCTATTATACCACAATTTTAAGCTAAAAGTCTGAGATATCATAACCTCTCTATAAGTGTTTAATATTATAATAAATAACACAACTTTGTAATTTCAGCATTAAATTTTTGAATACTAAGTCTATAGATTATTTATGAAACAAGATTTTAGTTGTGTTGCAGATGAGCTTGTTATTTTTTTAACTCACTCCTTCCATTTCTATCCATACTAGCTATAAGACATTTAGAGGTGTGAAAGTGGCATATTCTTCCCTATACTTGAGAGTCTGTTGAGGTTATATGAATAAAGAAATGTACAATGACCATTTAATTCATATAGCTAAATATAATGTTTAATATTTAAAATTTGTTTAAATGTTTTTATTACTTAAATTTATTATAACAAATATTATTTAGATTTTTCATTATTTAAAACTCAATATAAGAAACAAACATGTGGGAAAATCTCAAGTAATTCATTATCGTTGTTCTTATCATAGAAGATACAAGCCATCTCCTTATTGGTTAGGGTCATATTTACAGAACAGTCACTTTTCATTTCCCAATGAAATCTGAGGAGTGTGTTTTGAATTCCCTAGTGATATGCCTACAACTACACAGTATAATTCTGTCTTCTTTGGAGGGTATGACTCTACAGGATCAATATGATAATGTCCTAAAATATCACTGTTACATTTAATTATATAAAACACCACTAAAGTGAGAATAATATATGAGCTGTTCATTACGTAGTCTAATTATAGAGTTAATTTTTACACTCAAATACTTTAGTTAGAGACTGTGAAATTAAATTGGCCCTAGATGGAACTTAATTATTTGTAACAACTACCATACTGTGGTGAAATGAATTAACTGAAATCTTAATAATTTGGAAAATAATAAAGTTATTTCACTTAAAAGTTATTTTAAAAAAACTATATTTCTTAACTATTTATTTTATTATTATACTTTTAAGTTTTAGGGTACATGTGCACAATGTGCAGGTTAGTTACATATGTATACATGTGCCATGCTTGTGCGCTGCTCCCATTAACTTGTCATTTAGCATTAGGTATATCTCCTAATGCTATCCCTCCCTCCTCCCCGACTCCACAACAGTCCCCAGAGTGTGATTTTCCCCTTCCTGTGTCCATGTGTTCCTGTTGTTCAATTCCCACCTATGAATGAGAATATGCAGTGTTTGGTTTTTTGTCCTTGCGATAGTTTACTGAGAATGATGATTTCCAGTTTCATCCATGTCCCTACAAAGGACATGAACTCATCATTTTTTATGGCTGCATAGTATCACATGGTGTATATGTGCCACAATTTCTTAATCCAGTCTATCATTGTTGGATATTTGTGTTGGTTCCAAGTCTTTGCTATTGTGAATAGTGCCACAATAAACATACGTGGGCATGTGTCTTTATAGCAGCATGACTGATAGTCCTTTGGGTATATACCCAGTAATGGGATGGCTGGGTCAAATGATATTTCCAGTTCTAGATCCCTGAGGAATCACCACACTGACTTCCACAATGGTTGACCTACTTTACAGTCCCACTGACAGAGTAAAAGTGTTCCTATTTCTCCACATCCTCTCCAGCACCTGTTGTTTCCTGACTTTTTAATGATTGCCATTCTAACTGGTGTGAGATGGTATCTCACCGTGGTTTTGATTTGCATTTCTCTGAAGGTCAGTGATGGTGAGCATTTTTTCATGTGTTTTTTGGCTGCATAAATGTCTTCTTTTGAGAATTGTCTGTTCATGTCCTTCACCCACTTTTTGATGGGGTTGTTTGTTTTCTTCTTGTAAATTTGTTTGAGTTCATTGTAGATTCTGGATATTAGCCCTTTGTCAGATGAGTAGGTTGTGAACATTTTCTCCCATTTTGTAGGTTGCCTGTTCACTCTGATGGCAGTTTCTTTTGCTGTGCAGAAGCTCTTTAGTTTAATTAGATCCCTTTTGTCAATTTTGGCTTTTGTTGCCGTTGCTTTTGGTGTTTTAGACATGAGGTTCTTGCCCGTGCCTGTGTCCTGAATAGTATTGCCTAGGTTTTCTTCTAGGGTTTTTATGGTTTTAGGTCTAACATTTAAGTCTTTAATCCATCTTGAATTAATTTTTGTATAAGGTGTAAGGAAGACATGCAGTTTCAGTTTCCTGCATATGGCTAGCCAGTTTTCCCAGCACCATTTATTAAATAGGGAATCCTTTCCCCATTGCTTGTTTTTCTCAGGTTTGTCAAAGATCACATTGTTGTAGATATGCGGCATTATTTCTGAGGGCTCTTTTCTGTTCCATTGATCTATATCTCTGTTTTGGTACCAGTACCATGCTGTTTTGGTTACTGTAGCCTTGTAGTATAGTTTGAAGTCAGGTAGCGTGATGCCTCCAGCTTTGTTCTTTTGGCTTAGGATTGACTTGGAGATGCAGGCTCTCTTTTGGTTCCATATGAACTTTAAAGTAGTTTTTTCCAATTATGTGAAGAAAGTCATTGGTAGTTCGATGGGGATAGCATTCAATTTACAAATTACCTTGGGCAGTATGGCCATTTTCAGGATATTGATTCTTCCAACCCATGAGCATGGAATGTTCTTCCATTTGTTTGTATCCTCTTTTATTTCATTGAGCAGTAGTTTGTAGTTCTCCTTGAAGAGGTCCTTCACATCCCTTGTAAGTTGGATTCCTAGGTATTTTATTCTCTTTGAAGCCATTGTGAATGGGAGTTCACTCATGATTTGGCTCTCTGTTTGTCTGTTATTGGTGTATAAGAATGCTTGTGATTTTTGTACATGGATTTTGTATCAGCTTAAGGAGATTTTGGGCTGAGACAATGGGGTTTTCTAGATATACAATCATATCATCTGCAAACAGGGACAATTTGACTTCCTCTTTTCCTAATTGAATACCATTTATTTCCTTCTCCTGCCTAATTGCCTTGGCCAGAACTTCCAACACTGTGTTGAATATGAGTGGTGAGAGAGAGCATCCCTGTCTTGTGCCAGTTTTCCAAGGGAATGCTTCCAGTTTTTGCCCATTCAGTATGTTATTGGCTGTGGGTTTGTCATGGATAGCTCTTATTATTTTGAGATACATCCCATCAATACCTAATTTATTGAGAGTTTTCAGCATGAAGCTTTGTTGAATTCTGTCAAAGGCATTTCCTGCATCTATTGAGAGAATCATGTGGTTTTTGTCTTTGGTTCTCTTTATATGCTGGATTATATTTATTGATTTGCATATATTGAACCAGCCTTGCATCCCAGGGATGAAGCCCATTTGATCATGGTGGATAAGCTTTTTGATGTGCTGCTGGATTCAGTTTGCCAGTATTTTATTGAGGATTTTTGCATCAATGTTCATCACGGATATTGGCCTAAAATTCTCTTTTTTGGTTGTGTCTCTGCCTTGCTTTGGTATCAGGATGATGCTGGCCTCATAAAATGAGTTAGGGTGGATTCCCTCTTTTTCTATTAATTGGAATAGTTTCAGAAGGAATGGTACCAGTTCTTCCTTGTACCTCTGGTAGAATTTGGCTGTGAATCCATCTGGTCCTGCACTCTTTTTGGTTGGTAAGCTATTGATTATTGCCACAATTTCAGAGCCTGTTATTGGTCTATTCAGAGATTCAACTTCTTCCTGGTTTAGTCCTGGGAGGGTGTATGTGTCAAGGAATTTCTCCATTTCTTCTAGATTTTCTAGTTTTTTTGCATAGAGGTGTTTGTGGTATTCTCTGGTGGTAGTTTGTATTTCTGTGGGATCGGTGGTGATATCCCCTTTATCATTTTTTATTGTGTCTATTGGATTCTTCTCTCTTTTCTTCTTTATTAGTCTTGCTAGCAGTCTATCAATTTTGTTGATCCTTTCAGAAAACCAGCTCCTGGATTCATTAATTTTTGAAGGGTTTTTTGTGTCTCCATTTCCTTCAGTTCTGCTCTGATTTTAGTTATTGCTTGCCTTCTGCTAGCTTTTGAATGTGTTTGTTCTTGCTTTTCTAGTTCTTTTAATTGTGATGTTAGGGTGTCAATTTTGGATCTTTCCTGCTTTCTCTTGTGGGCATTTAGTGCTATAAATTTCCCTCTACACACTGCTTTGAATGTGTCCCTGAGACTCTGGTATGTTGTGTCTTTGTTCTCGTTGGTTTCAGAGAACATCTTTATTTCTGCCTTCATTTTGTTATGTACCCAGTAGTCATTCAGGAGCAGATTGGTCAGTTTCCATATAGTTGAGCTGTTTTCAGTGAGTTTCTTAATCCTGAGTACTAGTTTGATTTCACTGTGGTCTGAGAGACAGTTTGTTATAATTTCTGATCTTTTACATTTGCTGAGGAGAGCTTTACTTCCAACTATGTGGTCAATTTTGGAATAGGTGTGGTGTGGTGCTGAAAAAAAATGTATATTCTGTTGATTTGGGGTGGAGAGTTCTGTAGATGTCTATTAGGTCTGCTTGGTGCAGAGCTGAGTTCAATTCCTGGGTATCCTTGTTAACCTTCTCTGTCGTTGATCTGTCTAATGTTGACAGTGGGGTGTTAAAGTCTCCCATTATTATTGTGTGGGAGTCTAAGTCTGTTTGTAGGTCACTCAGGACTTGCTTTATGAATCTGGGTGCTCCTGTATTGGGTGCATATATATTTAGGATAGTTAGCTCTTCTTGTTGAATTGATCCCTTTACCATTATGTAATGGCCTTCTTTGTCTCTTTTGATCTTTGTTGGTTTAAAGTCTGTTTTATCAGAGACTGGGATTGCAACCCCTGCCTTTTTTTGTTTTCCATTGGCTTGGTAGATCTTCCTCCATCCTTTTATTTTGAGCCTGTGTGTGTCTCTGCATGTGAGATGGGTTTCCTGAATACAGCACACTGATGGGTCATCACTCTTTATCTGATCTGCCAGTCTGTGTCTTTTAATTGGAGCATTTAGTCTATTTACATTTAAAGTTAGTATCATTATGTGTGAATTTGATCCTGTCATTATGATGTGAGCTGGTTATGTTGCTCATTAGTTGATGCAGTTTCTTCCTAGCCTCAATGGTCTTTACAATTTGGCATGATTTTGCAGTGGCTGGTACCAGTTGTTCCTTTCCATGTTTAGTGCTTCCTTCAGGAGCTCTTTTAGGGCAGGCCTGGTGGTGACAAAATCTCTCAGCATTTGCTTGTCTGTAAAGGATTTTATTTCTCCTTTACTTATGAAGCTTAATTTGGCTGAATATGAAATTCTGGGTTGAAAATTCTTTTCTTTAAGAATGTTGAATATTGGCCCCCACTCTCTTCTGTCTTGTAGAGTTTCTGCTGAGAGATCTGCTGTTGGTCTAATGGGCTTCCCTTTGTGGGTAATCTGACCCTTCTCTCTGCCTGCCCTTAACATTTTTTCCTTCATTTCAACTTTGGTGAATCTGACAATTATGTGTCTTGGAGTTGCTCTTCTCGAGGAGTATCTTTGTGGCGTTCTCTGTATTTCCTGAATCTGAATGTTGGCCTGCCTTGCTAGATTGGGGAAGTACTCCTGGATAATATCCTGCAGAGTGTTTTCCAGCTTGGTTCCATTCTCCCCGTCACTTTCAGGTACACCAATCAGACGTAGATTTGGTCTTTTCACATAGTCCCATGTTTCTTGGAGGCTTTGTTCGTTTCTTTTTATTCTTTTTTATCTAAACTTCCCTTCTCGCTTCATTTCATTCATTTCATCTTCCATCACTGATACCCTTTCTTCCAGTTGATTGCATCAGCTCCTGAGCCTTCTGCATTCTTCATGTAGTTCTCAAGCCTTGGCTTTCAGCTCCATCAACTCCTTTAAGCATTTCTGTGTATTGGTTATTCTAGTTATACATTCATCTAAATGTTTTTCAAAGTTTTCAACTTCTTTGGCTTTGGTTTGAATTTCCTCCTGTAGCTCAGAGTAGTTTGATCATCTGAAGCCTTCTTCTCTCAACTTGTCAAAGTCATTCTCCGTCCAGCTTTATTCCATTGCTCTTGAGGAGCTGCGTTCCTTTGGAGGAGGAGAGGTGCTCTGCTTTTTAGAGTTTCCAGTTTTTCTGCTGTTTTTTCCCCATCTTTGTGGTTTTGTCTACTTTTGGTCTTTGATGATGGTGATGTACAGATGGGTTTTTGGTGTGGATGTCTTTTCTGTTTGTTAGTTTTCCTTCTAACAGACAGGACCCTCAGCTGCAGGTCTGTTGGAGTACCCGGCCGTGTGAGGTGTCAGTCTGCCCCTGCTGGGGGGTGCCCCCCAGTTAGGCTGCTTGGGGGTCAGGGGTCAGGGACCCAGGTGAGGAGGCAGTCTGCCGGTTCTCAGATCTCCAGCTGCATGCTGGGAGAATCACTTCTCTCTTCAAATCTGTCAGACAGGGACATATAAGTCTGCAGAGGTTACTGCTGTCTTTTTGTTTGTCTGTGCCCTGCTCCCAGAGGTGGAGCCTACAGAGGCAGGCAGGCCTCCTTTAGCTGTGGTGAGCTCCACCCAGTTCGAGCTTCTGGGCTGCTTTGTTTACTTAAGCAAGCCTGGGAAATGGTGGGCGCCCCTCCTCCAGCCTCGCTGCCGACTTGCAGTTTGATCTCAGACTGCTGTGCTAGCAATCAGTGAGACTCCATGGGCGTAGGACCTTCTGAGCCATGTGTGGGATATAATCTCCTGGTGCACTGTTTTTTAAACCCATTGGAAAAGCGCGGTAGTGGGATGGGAGTGACCCGATTTTCCAGGTGCCATCTGTCACCCCTTTCTTTGACTAGGAAAGGGAACTCCCTGGCCTCTTGCGCTTCCTGAGTGAGGCAATGCCTCGCCCTGCTTTGGTTCACACACAGTGTGCTGCACCCACTGTCCTGCACCCACTGTCTGGCACTCCCTAGTGAGATGAACCCGGTGCCTCAGAAGGAAATGCAGAAATCACCTGTCTTCTGCGTCGCTCACGCTGGGAGCCGTAGACCAGAGCTGTTCCTATTCAGCCATCTTTCAACTATTTCTTATTATATGAAAGACATAATGTGTCTCGTGATAATGATGGAAGCAGCCTCAAATAAAATCTTACAAAACACTCTGGACATGATGGCTCATGCCTGTAATCCCAGCACTTTGGAAGGCTGAGGCAGCTGGACGACTTGAGGTCAAGAGTTTGTCACTAGCCTGGCCAACAGGGTGAAACTCCCTCTCTGCTAAAAGTAAGAGCATTAGCCAGGCATGGGGGTGCATGGCTGTAATCCCAGCTACTCAGGAGGCTGAGGCAAAAGGATCCCTTGAACCCGGAAGGCAGAGGTTCCAGGGAGCTGAGATCTCACCACTGCAGTCTAGCCTGGGTGAGAGAGTGAAACTCATCTCAAAAACATCTCTCTGAACTTTAAAAAGCAAGGTGAATTTAATCAACTTTCTATTTTATGCTGTCATTAAAGTTCATTAGGTTAAAAGTGAAGAGATATAAGGAATAGAAAAAAACCTCAGACTTGATTTTCAGAGCTCTGGAATCTAACTAAGTAATCAGGGGAGTGTTTAATGAAGAAAGACCTGACCTCTAAGTTTGGGCAAGACAGAATGTGGGCTGTGTGATTTAAAATGTCTGAGGTTCCCTTGGTGATTATTAGCTCAGAGGCTTTCCTTTAGCCCACCTCAGATTTTTCTTGGGGGCAGAAAGTGACTCTCAGGAGGCATTTGTGGGAAGGGAATACACTAGTCAGAGCTGTCTGTAGCAAGGAATAAGAGTCAGGTCAAGCAGTACACAAAGAAAATGCCTGGAAGGAAGAGGCTGAGGAAGAAAACTGATGAGCAAAATCAGCTTTGAAAAACTCTCACAGTTTGTTGTTTTTCATTTTGGATTGAGTTGTAAATAGAGACAGAGCTTGCCTTGTGGCCCACATTGGAGGGATTATGGCCCACTGAAGCCTCAACCTCCTTGGGTTCAAATTGATCTTCCGACCTCAGCCTCCTGACCATCTCACCTCCCTGGACTCCACCTATCCTTCCACCTCAGCGTCTCACACTACAGGCATGTGTTACCACAACCAGCTTATTTTTTTTTATTTTTTTATAGAAAAGATATTGCCATGTTGTCAAGGCTGGTCTCGCACTTCTGGGCTCAAGTAATTTGTTCTCCTAAGTTTTCCAAATTGGTGGGATTACAGATATGAACCACCACACCCAGACTCCTATTGTATATTTAGAAGAATATAAGTATGTCCATTTTTGGATGCATGCACGGAGAAGACCCCAAAGCTTTTCGTTTTCCCTGACTTTGGGCTAAACACTAGAGTTCCTCACAGAGTCCATATGCGAAGTCTGGGTGGTTTTTATTTTATTTTCTTTATTTTCCTCTTTTTTTCTTTTAAAATATGTCAAGAGGAGTAGATGACCAAAAGGGTGACAGAACACAGGTTAAGTGGCCATACATGACAAAGAGTACAGACTACAAAAATAGCTTTAAAGGGTTGCTAAACAAGTAAACAACCCACCAAGTAAACAGTTATGGAGGTCAATATTTTGTTATCCAAATATGCTGAATAATATCCAAAGTGTTCACTGTTCAACAATAAAATAAAAGGCACTCAAAGAAAAAAAAAAAGGTTACACTCAAAACATAATTAAAAGAAACTATTTCAGGAAACTCAGTCATGGTAGTAACCAGGGAAATATTTCAATTCATTTCATTTTAGTGTTCTCAAAGACCTAAGGGAACCCAGGAGAACAGTGATTCAAAATTGAAAATATCAATAAAAATGTATGAATTATTTTGAAAAATGAAATCAATAATCTGTAACTAGAAGGACTGAATAGCATGTGTGAGCATGTAGAAAGCCTAATGAGGCAACTTGAAGATGGATTGTTTGATATTGTTCAGTGTAAGGAACAAGAAGAGAAACAAGAATAATGATCAAAACTAAGGTTTCCATGGGACACCATCAAGAATATCAACATATTCATAATGGGAGTCCCACTGGAATAGGTGAGATGGGGAAAAAAAGAATATTTAAATGAATAGTGGTTGAAACTTCCCAAAAGTGTCGATAGATGCAAATCTACTGATCCAAGTATCTCTAAAGAACACAATACTCCAGGGAGAATAAAATCCAAGATATCCACACTGAAACACATGCACTGAAATTGACAGAAGACAAATAAATAGAGAACTTTAAAAGAATCAAGACAGAAGTAACTCACCACATGCAAGTTATCCTTCATAACATTAACAGCCAATTTCTCATTAAAAATTATAGTGGAAAGAAGTCACTGTGATGAGATCTTTAAAGTGCTGGAATAAGAAGATAAAGTCAATCATAAACTCAATATCTGGCCAAACAAAAATTTAACTTTATGAGCAAATAAGGCATTTCCAAGCAAACATAATTAAAGAGAGTACATTACTACTAGATCAGCCTTACAAAACATGATGAAAACAAGCAAGGAATGAAAGAAAAATAGTGCCTCATGTGCAAATAAAGAAATAAGAACATCAATAAAATAATTACGTCACGAAATAGAAAAGCCAATATTATTATATTTGGGTTTTCTGTGACTTTATTTTTCTACTGGATTTAAAGGTATCTCACAACTGTAATCCCAACAAAGTAGGGGGATTTCCTTGAGTCTGGGAGTTTGAGACCAGCCAGGGCAACAAAATGTGACCGTCTTTTGAGAAAATAAACAAAATTAGCCAGCTGTGGTGACATGGACTTCTGTCCCCAGAACATAGGGCACTGAGTTGGAAGGGTCCCTTGAGCCCAGGAGCTCGAGGCTGTAGTGAACCATGTTTAGCCTGTGTGACTGAAACCCTGTCTCAATGAATTAAAATACAATACAATAATAAAATAAAGAAATGACAAAAAATAAAGCAATAATTACACATCTGGGTTGTTAGCAAATGTTGCATAACAAACTATTTTTGACAAAAAAATAGAAAGTTGGGGAAAACAGTATGGGAAAATGATTTTTGTATAATGTCAATGCTCAGTTGTTATAATTCACACTATATTATTATTAATTCAAGATATTAATTATAATACCATTAATAACTTGTCCTTTTTATGGCTGCATAGTATTCCACGGTTTATATGTGCCATATTTTCTTAATCCAGTCTATCATTGATGGACAATTTGGTTGGTTTCAAGTCTTTGCTATGGTGAATAGTGCGATAATAAACATACGTGTGCATGTATCTTTATAGCAGCATGATTTATAACCCTTTGGGTATATACTCAGTAATGGGATTGCTGGGTCAAATGGTAATTCTAATTTTAAATCCTTGCGGAATTACCACACTGTCTTCCACAATGGTTGAACTAATTTACACTCTCCCAAACAGTGTAAAAGCATTCCTATTTCTCCACATCCACACCAGCATCTGTCGTTTCCTGACTTTTTAATGATTGCCGTTCCAAGTGGCTTGAGATGATATCTCATTTTGGTTTTGATTTGCATTTCCCTGTTGACCAGTGATGATGAGCATTTCTTCATGTGTCTGTTGGCTGCATAAATGTCTTCTTTTGAGAAGTGTCTGTTCATATCCTTTGCCCTCCTTTTGATGAGGTGTTTTTTTTTTTTAATGAAAATTTGTTTGTGTTCTTTGTAGATTCTGATATTAGCCATTTGTAAGATGGGTAGATTGCAAAAATTTTCTCCCATTCTGTACGTTGCCTGTTCACTCTGATGGTAGTTTCTTTTGCCATTCAGAAGTTCTTTAGTTTAATTAGATCTTATTTGTCTATTTTGGCCTCTGTTGCCATTAATTTTGGTGTTTTAGTCATGAAGTACTTGCCCATGCCTATGTCCTGAATGGTATTGTCTATGTTTTCTTCTAGGGTTTTTACGGTTTTATATTTAATATTTAAGTCTTTAATTCATATTGAATTAGCTTTTATGTAAGGTGTAAGGAAGAGATCCAGTTTCAGCCTTCTAAAAATGGCCAGCCCCTTTTCCCAGCACCATTTACGACATAGGGAGTCAATTCCCCATTTCTTCTTTTTGTCAGATTCATCAGAGATAAGATGATTGCAGATGTGTGGTATTATTTCAGAGGCCTCTTTTCTGTTCCATTGGTCAATACATCTCTTTTGGTACAAGTACCATACTGTTTTGTTTACTGTAGGCTTGTAGTATAGTTTGAAGTCAGGTAGCATGATGTCTCCAGCTTTTTTTTTCTTCTTCTTCTTAGGATTATCTTAGCAATATGGCCTATTTTTGGGCTCCATATGAACTGTACCTTTTTTTTTCCAAATCTCTGAAGAAAGTCACTGGTGGCTTGATGGGAATGGCATTGCTTGTATAAATTACTTTGGACACTATGGCCATTTTCAAGGTATTCATTCTTCATACTCATTATCGTAGAATATCCTTCCATTTGTTTCTGTCCTTTTTGATTTCGTTGAGCAGTGTTTTGTAGTTTTTCCTGAAGAGGTCCTTCACATTCCTTGTAAGCTGGATTCCTAGGTATTTTATACTCTTTGAAGCACTTGTGAATGGGAGTTCACTTGTGATTTGGCTCTCTGTTTGTCTGTTAATGGTGTACAGGAGTGTTTGTGATTTTTGCACACTGATTTTGTATGCTGAGACTTTGCTGAAGTTGCTTATCAGCTTAAGTAGATTTTGGGCTGAGACAATGGGTTTTCTCAATATACAATCATGTTATCCGAAAACAGGGACAATTTGACTTCCTCTTTTCCTTATTGAATACCCTTTATTTCTTTCTCTTGCCTGATTGCCCTGGACAGAACTTCCAACACTATGTTGAATAGGAATGGTGAGAGAGGGCATCCTTGTCTTGTGCCGGTTTTCCAAAGGAATGCCTCCAGTATTTGTCCACTCTGTCGGATATTGTCTGTGGGTTTGTCAGTAGCTTTTATTATTTTGAGATATGTTCCATCAATACCTAGTTTATTGAGAGTTTTTAGCATGAAGGGTTGTTGAATTTTGTCAAAGGCCTTTCCTGCATCTATTGAGATAATCATGTGATTTTTGTCATTGGTTCAGTTTATATGATGGATTAGGTATATTGATTTACATAAATTGAACCACATTTGCATCCCAGGGATGAAGCTGATGTGATAGTAGTAGATAAGCTTTTTGTTGTGCTGATGGATTCAGTTTGCCAGTATTTTATTGAGGATGTTCGCATGGATGTTTATCTGGGCTATTGGTCTAAACTTCTCTTTTTGCTTGTGTGTCTCTGCCAGGCCTTGGTATCAGGATGAAGTTGTCCTCATAAAATGAGTTGGGGAGGATTCTCTCTTTTTTTTATTGATTGGAATAGTTTCAGAAGGAATGGTACCAGTCCCTCTTTGTACCTCTGGTAGAATTTGGGTGTGAATCCACCTGGTCCTGGGCTTTTTTTTGGTTGGTAAGCTATTAATTATTTACTCAATTTCAGAGGCTGTTGCTAGTCTATTCAGAGATTCAACTTCTTCCTGGTTTAGTTTTTGAAGGGTGTATGTGTCAGGAATTTATCCATTTCTTCTAGATTTTCTAGTTTATTTTGTTAGAGGTGTTTATAGTATTCTCTGAGGGTAGTTTGTACTTCTGTGGGATCGATGGTGATATCCCCTTTATCATTTTTTATAGCTTCTATTTTATTCTTCTCTCTTTGCTTCTTTATTAGCCTTGCTAGGGGTCTTTCAATTTTGTTGATCTTTTCAAAAAAAAAAAAAAAAAAAAAAAAACCCAGTTCCTGGATTCATTGATTTTTTGAAGGGTTTTTTGTGTCTCTATCTCTTTCCGTTCTGCTCTGCTCTGATCTTAGTTATTTCTTGCCTTCTGCTACCTTTCGAATTTGTTTGCTCTTGCCTCTCTATTTCTTTTAGTTCTGATGTTAGGTTGTCAATTTTATATCTTTCCTGCTATCTTTTGTGACATTTACTGCTATACATTTCCCTCTGCCGACTGCTTTAAATGTGTTTCAGAGATTGTGGCATGTTGTGTCTTTGTTCTCATTGGTTTCAAGGAATGTCTGTATATCTGCCTTCATTTTGTTATTTACCCAGCAATCATTCAGGAGCAAGTTGTTAAGTTCCCCTGTAGTTGTGCAGTTTTGAGTGAGTTTCTTAATGCTGAGTTCTAATTTGATTACACTGTGGTCTGAGAGACACTTTGTTGTGATTTCTGTTCTTTTACAATTGCTGAGGAGTGCTTTACTTCAGGTTATGTGGTCAATTTTAGAATAAGTGTGATGTGGTGCTGAGAAGAATGTATATGCTCTTGATTTAGGGTGGAGAGTTCTGTAGGTGTCTATTAGGCCGGTTTGTTACAGAGCTGAGTTTAAGTGCTGGATATCCTTGTTAACCTTCTGTCTCATTGATCTGTTGATTAATGAGACAACATTGACTGTGGGGTGTTGAAGTCTCCCATTATTATTGTGTGGGTGTCTAAGTCTCTTTGTAGGTCTCTAAGGACTTACTTTCTGAATCTGGGTTGTGTATTGGGTGAATATATATTTAGAATTCTTAGCTCTTCTTCATGAATTGATCCCTTTATCATTAGGTAATGGCCTTCTTTGTCTCTTTTGATCTTTGTTCGTTAAAAGTCTGTTTTATCAGAGGCTAGGATTGCAACTCCTACTTATATTTTTTTCTGCTTTCCATTTGCTTGGTATATCTTCTTCCATTCATTTATTGTGAGCTTATGTGCATCTTTGCATGTGAGATGGGTCTCCTGAATACAGCACACTGATGGATCTTGACTCTTTATCCAATTTACCCATCTGTGTCTTTGAACTGGGGCATGTAGCCTCTTTACACTTAAGGTTAATATTGTTATGTGTAAATTTGGTCCTGTCATTATGACGTTGGCTGTGTAGTTTGCCTGTTAATTGATACAGTCTCTTGATAGCATCGATGGTCTTTAAAATTTGCTTTTGCAGTTGCTGATACTGGTTGTTTTTTTCCATGTTTAGTGTTTCCTTCAGGAACTCTTGTAAGGCAGGCCTGGTCGTGACAGAATCTCTCAGAATTTCCTTATTTTTAAAGGATTTTATTTCTGCTTCACTTATAAAGCTTAGTTTGGCTGGATATGAAATTCTGTGCTGAAAATTCTTTTCTTTAAGAATGTTGAATATTCGCCCCCCACTCTCTTCTGGCTTGTAGGGTTTCTGCTAAGAGATCCAATGTTAGTCTGATGGGCTTCCCTTTGTGGGTAACTCAACCTTTCTCTCTGTCTGACCTTAACACTTTTTCCATCATGTCAACCTTGGTGAACCTGACAATTGTATGTCTTGTGGTTGCTTTTCTCAAGGAGTATCTTTGTGGCATTCTCTGTATTTCCTGAATTTGAATGTTGGCCTGCCTTGTTAGGTTGGGGAAGTTCTCCTGGATAATATCCTGAAGAGTGTTTTCTAAGTTGGTTCCATTCTTTCCATCACTTTCAGATACACCAATTAAACTTAGATTTGGTCTTTTCACTTAGTCCCATATTTCTCAGAGATTTTGTTTCTTTTTACTCTTTTTTCTCTAACCTTGTCTTCTCAGTTTCTTTTATTAATGAGATCTTCAGTCACTGATACCCTTTCTTCCACTTGATTGAATCAGCTACTGAAGCTTGTGCATGCATGACAAAGTTCTTGTGCCACAGTTTTCAGCTCCGTCAGGTCATTTAAAATCCTCTCTACACTATTTATTCTAGTTAGCCATTCATCTCATCTTTTTCCAAGGTTTTTAGCTTCCTTGTGATAGATTGGAACATGAAACTTTAGCTCAAATAGTTTTGTTATTACCAACCTCCTGAAGCCTACTTCTGTCAGCTCATCAGATTCATTCTCTGTCCAGTTTTGTTGCATTGCTTGTGAGGAATTGTGATCCATTGCAGAAGAAGCACTCAATTTTTAAAACTTTCAGCTTTTCTGCTGTAGTTTCTCTCCATCTTTGTGGTTTTATCTACCTTGTGTCTTTGATGTTGTTGACCTACAGATGGAGTTTTGGTGTAGATGAACTTTTTGCTTATGTTGATGCTCTTCCTTTCTATTTGTTAGTTTTCCTTCTAACACTTAGGTCCCTCAGCTGCAGGACTTTTGGGATTTGGTGTAGTCCACTGCAGATTGTGTTTGCCTGGGTGTCACCAGCAGAGGATGCAGAACAGCAAATATTTCAGAACAGCAAATATTGCTGCCTGATCCTTCCTCTGGAAGCTTCATCCCAGAGGGGCAGCTGCCTATATGAGGTGTCTGTCAGCCCCTACTGGGAGCTGTCTCCCAGATAGGTTACACAGGGGTCAGGGACAGATGAGAGGAGGCAGCCTGTCCATTCTCAGACTTCAAATGGCATGCTAGGAGAACCACTGCTCTCTTCAGAGCTGTCAGACAGGGACATTTAAGTCTGCCAAAGTTGTCTGCTGCCTTTATTTCAACTGTGCCCTGCCCACAGAGGTGTAGTCTACAGGCAGTAGGCCTTGTTGAGCTGTGGTGGGCTCCACCCAGTTTTAGCTTCCTGGGTGCTTTGTTTACCTGCTCAAGACTTAGCAATTGTGAACGCCTTTCTACCAGCCAGGCTGCCACATCAGAGCTTGATCTCAGACTGCTGAGCTAGCAGTGAGCAAGGCTCTGTGGGCATGGGACCCACCAAGCCAGGCATGGGACCCACCAAGCTAGGCATGGGAGAGAATTACTTTGTCTGCTGGATGCTAAGACCTTGGGTAAAGTGCAGTATTTGGGCAGGAGTGCTCCGTTTTTCCAGGTAGTCTGTCACAGCTTCCCTTGGCTAGGAAAGGGAAATTCCCCGACTGCTTGCACTTCACAGGAGGGGTGATGCCCTGCCCTGCTTCAGCTCATTCACTGTGGGCTGCACCCACTGCCCTGCCATTCCCAATGAGATGAACCAGATACCTCAGTGGGAAATGCAGAAATCACTGATCTTCTGCATTGATCATGCTGGGAGCTGCAGACTGGAGCTGTTCCTATTTGGCCATATTGGAACACCCTCAGAAAAAAATAGGATGCATTTTTAAAGGTTTTTTTTTTTTTTTTTTTTGAGATGGGGTCTCATTCTGTTGTCCAGGCTGCAGTGCAGTGGTGTGGAGAGTGCTTCCTCCACACACTTCCCTGTCCCTTTCAATCAACTGGCTGTGAGATCACTGAAACCAGAGATCTCAGGTTCAGAACAGGCCCAAGTGGGGTTGTGGCTGCCCCTCTGCATTTCAAGGTCACTGTGTGGCATAATGAGGTCTTTGGCTGCAGAAAAGGGCATTGCGTTTTCTGAGGAGGGCTTGGTGAGTTGATTTGAGAGACAACACAAGCACCAAGATTTGGAATGTCCCAGGTTAGTGTTGGGGAAACCAGCCACATAAGACCCAGTGGGTACCCCGAATCTGGAGGAGACAAAGGTGTTAGAAAGAGACAGAATAAGCACTTAAAAGGTAGGTCCAGGGCACCAGAGCATTGGAGACTTGCTCATGGCCTGGAGCTCTCAGGCTCCACCCAATTTATTGGTTTACAAATTCTTTGTCCTTAAGGAGATGGGAGGGGGAGGAAGGAATAAGGAAAAGGATTAAGCAGTGAAGGAGAACTCATCAGCCATTCAATAAGATGTATAGCACTGGTGGTTTCTGTGAATTTCCTTGAGCAAAGGCATGTGTCTAAACTACTTAAGATCTTCAACTTATCATGACTGAAATGGGTGGGAGTGGGTTTCAGGAGGAGCCAAGATGTTTTATTATATTCCACTGCTTCAAGGGAACGTTATCTTCCTGAGCAACCAGTGGAATGCCGCTGAGTGGTTATGCTCTGGGGGCATAAATACATGAAGGTAATAAGGAGATTTTTCTTCTCAGAGGCTGCCCATGGCTCCCCATGGGTGTCTCATACAGGGGAGACCAACTTAATTGGCACCCCAGAAACTTTGTTTCCCACAGTTAGTAATTATGGGTTGTTGGTTTAGACCAAAGATAGGGCCAGAGATGAACAAAGAATATTGGGGTGCCCCTGTGGTAACAGCATTTTCCAGCCAGCAGGCTTGCTTTACCTGCTGGGAAGAAGGATGTACCTCAGAGTCCCACAAAACCTCTTCTCCCATCTTATCTCTTTTAGAGAGACATGAATAAAATGGGCCTCAACAATCCCAAGAGACCACTCAAGGACAATGGGAGCCACTGGGCTTGGCTTTCTACTTTCCTGGAGACAAGACAATTTGAATGGCACTGACTGCCAGGTACTGTCATCATATGGGCCATGAGAACATCTCACCTGTTCAGTACCCCTCTACATTTTAGTGGGGACTAGGACATGGAATATGTGTAGGGATGATAGTGCCCTGTCACTGGGATCAGGACAGACCACAGGGAAGGGGAAGCTGCCAGCAAGGAGCCTGGGTCAGGGGCCAGGTTTGGGAAGCAGTTTCCTCTGACCCAACACTTGTTCCTGCAGCTGGACACATTACCTAAATTTATGTCTATTTTGGAGAATGGTGAAAACAGACTTAGAAAAAGACACTTGTAGGCCGGCCACCTAAAGACAAACTCAGCTGTCATTGTGGTGTGTTTATTTTTAGTATTTTGTTTCTTTTGCTTTTCTCATGTTTCTGCTACATATCAGTACTTTTTTGAGCAGCCTCCCTGCACTCTGTGATCTTTACTTGATGAGGAGGATCATTTAAGAATAAGAAAACTGGAGGCTGGCCTGCTGTGGATCTGTTCTACATTTAGGGCTGTCCTAAATCTTGTCTGGCCTTCACACCATGTGCACATTTGCTCCTCCTTTCCACATACCATTAGGATATTAGCATCTTTCTTGACACCTCTTGGGCCTGCTTCCATTTAGATCCTGCCCTGCCCAGGTATGTGTCCCTAAGCAGGTTCATGTGACCTTTCACCTGTAAAATAGAGATGGTGCCAGGATCTGCCATGGGGATTTTTGCAAAGCTTAAGTCAGGCTGGTTGTCAAAAGCCTAAGAGTACAATTGAGACACAGTGAGCATTCATGAAATACCAATGCTTTATTATCAAGTGCTGCCTAATAGTTCTTGAGGATCAACCATCATTTAATCCCATAACTATTAAGCTCTTGATAATTGTTTTCCTATTTTCAATACTGGAGGACAACACTTCATTGAAGGTCATTGTAAATAAAGTGCTAATATATTATCAGTTTCCAGTAATAAGCTTTATTAAGCGCCTCAAGGGGGCCAGGTAATTCAGAGCCTGACCCAAGTCTTTGCAGCCACAGGGAAAACGGTAAAGGCATGTAATTTGTTATATCCTGGGGTCCACAGCCACCAGTAGCCAAATTGAAACAGGAACCCACATTCCTGAGCTTGGCTTCAGTTTCTTTCCAGGTCCTACTGCTCTGGCCTGAGAGAGCCTCTGCCCACCAAAATACGGTGTTCTCTGTTTCCCACAGGCCACTGCAGGGTGGCAACATGTACCAGTAGGGGCCCAACCATGATGTCGCCACCCTCCCCCTCATCTTTCCTGCTCATTACCTCTGCCCTCTGGCTGCTTGCAGTAACATGATGGACCCCTCTATGGCTGCACCTGCATCATGGCTGGTTCCTCTAGCATTGGCATCCTCCAAGAAAATTTCCTTCCAGACTGTGCAGTTGGTCTACTGCTAGCGGCTGGACTTCATGATGCACTGCAGACACCTCTGTGGCTGTGTCTATTGATACCCTTGCTGATGGCTACACGTGGATCTGCTTTGGACAGATCTTGAGTTTTTGAGCTGGATGTGGTGATTACTTGAGTCTTGTTTGAGGGAGTGGAAGTGTGGGTAGAGCTAGGATTTTCTGCTGGAATCTGTGGTGTTTAATTAGATGTGGAACCCGTACCCTGGAACAGAGAATCTTCCTAGAGTCTCTGACACCACAAATTACTTCCCATATATTTTATTTTGAAAATAAAAATATATGCACATGACTGAAAAATACAGAGATGAGGCAAGGGTAACTCAGAAGGAACTGCCACCATGTGCACCTAACCCTAGTCCCCTGAATTACCTGTTAACACCTGGTACAACAGAGGAAGGCTGAGTTTCTTAGACCTCTGACCTTTCCTCCACCCTCACACAATGATAGAAATATCATGATTTTAGTTTCTTTCTTAGTTATCATTGATGTTGAAAGTAACTGTAGAGTATATGTATATTTATGTATATATTTTTTCAATCCAATGCAATAGAATCTTGTGACTTTCTTCTTGTAGGAAGTATATTGGCACTTTGAATTCACCTACATTTCTTGGTATTCTATAGGTATATACATATTTTTTCTTTAGCTTTCTCTTTTCTTGGAGTTTCTAATTGCCTTTTCTTCTTTCTTTCTATTTAAAATTAAATTAAAATTAAATTAAATTAAAATTAAATTAAATTTAAAATTAAATTAAATTAAGTTGGAACTAAATTAAAATTCAAATTAAATCTCCTTTTATCACATCCTTATCATCTTCCCTCATTTCTAACCTCCCACCTGAAAAATCACTGGTGGACACCTTCCGTTTTCCTGTTCCTATCCCACCAACATCTCTCTAGGCCTGGGGTGGAGCTGTCATTCCCAGAGCTTTTATAACTGCCTCCCTGGGTTTTTACATGTCAAATGCTATTTCGCTACTGCAACTATGGGACAAATCTCCCAGAGAGCTAACCACTTTTCTTAGGTTTATTTTGTTAATTGTATGTGGTTTTGAAATATTTTTTAGATTCTGTCTTCCAATTTTTGAGAGTTACACATTTTAAGAGAATTTCAAGCTGTTGTTCCTAATCTCTGAATTTTCCTATTATCTTCCTAAATTTTGTTATTTTTCAGGGATGCAATATTTTATACTTCTCTGAGACTACGGGGAGCATGTGTTCTGAACTTTCCTTGAACAGAGGTCTTGAGGCCAGAAGGAAGAAGGATCTTAAAGACTCATTTCTCTGGAGGTGAGTTGTCTGTTGATCATATTTGCCTTTGTTTGTTTTTTTTGTTTGTTTGCATTTTTTAAAAACTGTTGGTCTCTCACGTTTGCCTCTGTAATTAGCATTAAGGCTGAAATGGGGATTGTCACACGCTCATTTCACATTGGGACAAGAGGAACTGGCCTTCAAACCAGGGGCCTACAAATGGGAAGGATGATTTCCTCTGGGAATCCCTAAGCTTCCTTCTTTCCTCTGCAGAAACCTTCACCTTCAGTTGCCCTGCTGCTTCCTTGGCATGGCGATGTTCTTCCTCCACTTGCAACCTGATCACACAACTGTGGACATTGTTCTCATGGCTTTTCCCTTCTCTTTGTCGTGAAGAGAGAAGATGCAACCCGTTTCTCTACTATGATGGAACCAGAATGTCCATATTAGAACTTTAACATTATTTCCTCTACATCAGAGGCCACATTGGCTTCTGCCTGAAAGAGGAAATTGCAGAAAACAGACACAAGGATGGGAAGGTCACATTGACATATAAAGTTCCTGAGGGGCAGCTGGGTATTGTGTTAGGTGGTCACTCTTCTGTTCAGGAGGAAGGACTGTGTGAGCCTTTCCCAAAGGCCTGTTCAGTGTCTGAGCTCAGGGCCAACTTAATTTCAGTGTGCAGCCTTATAGATTAGGAAAAGAAAACAATCTGCCTCATCAGGTCTCCTGCCCAACCTTATTCCTTGCTCTGGATCATGATTGCTTATTTAAAAACAGCTTTGTTGGCATGTGATTGGCATATGGTAAACTGCACCTGTGTAGATGGAAGAACTGATGGTTTCTCCATGTGAGTATTTCATTCACCGCAAGGCCAGAAGTGTGATGAAGGTCATGAAAACACATCTTCCTCCCATCAATAACGATCACTCCCTGGCCACCCTAGGACCACAGATCTGCTTCTTTCACTAAAAACTTGTGGGTATTTTATAGAATTACAGGTAAATACAGTATGTACTTGGGTCTTTGTGCGTCGTTCTGATCTGGCTTCTTTTATTCAGCAGAACTACTTTCAGAGTCACTCTGTTCTGAGTGCATCAACAGTCCATTCCTTTTCATGCTGAGCCACATGCCATTGTATAGATGTGCCACAGCTTGTTCACCCTTCTTCTGTGTATGGGCATTTGGGCTCCTGGTTTGGGACCATTATGTGTAAGGATGTCATGAATATTTATTTATGTATGTAGCCTGTGAGCTTGCCTTCATTTCTCATGGTTCATTCCTAGGAGTGCAGTGGCCACATCATGTCATGGTAGGTCTGCATCGACCTTGTTAAGGAATCACTGTCCCTTGTGCTAAGTGTTTGGTCCATTGCCTGCTTTCTCTCTTGCTCCCTCTGATTTAGTCATACAAACCTCTTGTATCCTTCACCCTCCAGGGCAATAACTTCTTAGCATACCGCCTTTCTTTACACTTGGAATCACCAGCTCCTTCTTTATGTGCTGGCTCTGATTCCCTCACTAAATTTGCCCTTTGTGCCCCATGTGTGACCCATTCCCATTGATACACCCTATGTATGAGAGGGCTTTGGGATAAGAGACTGTTTCTGATGAGTATCGAGTACTACAATGGCTCTGAATGGAAGAAAGATGACTGGGTGGGTCTTGTCAACCATTGTCCCTGGAGCTCATCTTTGTTGTTACAAATAAGTCTGGGTGTGGCCTGGGCATATGTTCAAGTACTCGCAAACCTTTTCTAAATGACAACTGGAGACCAGGCCATGGGCTGGAATGTGAGTATGAAGTTACTTGGAAGCTGTGTGATTGAAAGTGAGTCACTCAGTCACTGGATCCTGGCATTTTTCTCTACATGTGGGACTACCCATACTTTGCAGAGTTGCTGTGAGTTCACCTGAGTAAGACACCTGCATGCACTTGTGATCAGAAAATGTTAATTTCCCTTTATTGAAATGGAACAACCCATGGATATTATGTGCTGAGGTCTGGATCAAAATAGAGCATGATACTGAAGACCTTGTAAACCCTGAGGAGGCATCACTGATCACTGGGTGTCCGGAAAGGCAGCAGAGAAAAACTGACCTGGAAGTGAAATTGGCCCGTGGGTTTGTTACAGTTGGTTAAACAGTCATGAGTGGGGCAAGAGCGGGTTCTCCACATCCGCATACCAGGAATGTCAGGCCATCGGGTGATGGTTGGACAGTTATCATATTGCTTCTCTAAAAATAATAATTTAGCGGCTGGGGCCAGGGATAGCCTGATACACAGCTGGTAACATTAAAGTGTTAATTAAACTCACATGCCAGAGAGGAGGAAAAAGGGCGTCCCATAAAATCTCAGACATTGGATGACTGAACCCAGGAGTGCACATTAAGAGACAAAATGGTGGAGTATGACTTTCTGGGGTCACCCCACCAATAAAAGGGAGGAAGCCTCAGATGGGCATACATATAACTGCTTAAACACACTGTCTATACTTACTTCCCAAGGGTAAGGAGGGCACTGTGCCTGTGGGCAGCCCATGCTAGGGGAAGAATCATGGGAAAGGGTGCACCAGATGCTGGCGGTAGGCCAGCCTAAAATGTCCCAGAAGGAAGGTTAATGGCCACACTTCTTCAAGTCACCCATTTGGATCTCTTTCGAGTGCAATTTTCATTCTTTCCTGCTCTAAAGCTTTTTAATAAACGTCCACTCCTGCTGTGAAACTTGCCATGGCATTTTCTTCCTTCTTCCTTCTTTATGCCCACCAGTTGAATTCTTTCACCTGAGGAGGCAAGAATTGATATTGCTAAAGACCCGGACGGATTTGCTGCCAGTAACTCAGATACTTTTCACCGGTAACAGGTCTAGGAGCTGGTGGACACAATGGCTGGAGTATGTGTCCAGAATGTGCCTGCTCAGGCCCCAGGCACTTCCGGACTGTGGGGGGACTTGAACCCCAGGTTAAGGGGACACCATGGAATGAGAGCTCAGCCTGCTGTTGGAATACTGGGGATAGGATATTTTTTACTGAAGTAAATCCCCTACCTATTAAGGAACTACTACCCAATCTGTCCTCTTTCTGACCCCTGACAATTAGCAAATCTGCTTTCTTTCTCTATGAAATTACTTATTCTGGACATTTATATACATAAAATCATACACTATGTGACTTTTGTGCTTAGCTTCTTTAAACACAATGGTTTTGCAGTATCTTCACATTGTAGTATGAGTGTCTCAATCTTTTTATGGCTAGATATTATGCCATTGTATAGGTATACTACATTTTGTTTTCCTATTATTTGTTTGTGGACATTTGGTTTGTTTCCACATTTTAGTTATTGTGAATAATTCTTCCATGAGTATATGTGCACACACAGTTTTGTTTGAATACCTGCTTTATATTTTTTGTGTATATACCTGAGGTGGGGGGGATTTGCTGGTTTCTATGATGGTTCCATGTTTAGCTTTTTGCAGAAACACCAAACTATTTTCCACAGCAGATGAACTATTTTACTTTTGTTTTTCTCCACTTCCACGTCAACCCTTGTTCGTTCATGGTTTTTAAATAATAATAATTACAATGGGTGAAAAGTGGTGTCTTCTTGTGGTTTTGATCTGCATTTCCCTGAAATAAGTGATGTTGAGCTAATTTTTATGTGTTTTTGTGTGTGTGTGTATCTTTGGAGAAAAGTATTTTCAATTTCTCTATCATTTTTTTAATTGGGTTGATTGTCTTTTTGTTCTTGAGTTGTAAGAATTTCTCCTATATCCTGGATACTAGGCCCTTACCCTTATATATGACTTGAAAATATTTTGTCCTATGCTGTTGGTTTTCTATTGACCATCCTGATAGTGCCCTTTGAAGCATGAAAGATTTTAGTTTTAATGAAGTTCAATTTATCTATTTTTTCTTTTGTTTTCTGTGCATTCTCTGTCATACCCAGGAAACCATTAACAAGTTCAGTGCCAATAAGCGCAGAAAGATATGTTCGACATCATTAGCCATTAGGTAAATGGATATCTAAATCACAATGAGATTATCACCTTAAACCCACTAGAATGTCTTTTTTTTTTTTTTTGAAAAAGGGAGAGTTGGGGAGTATGTGGAGAAAATGGAACCCTTGTGCATTGCTGGTGAGAATGTGAAATGGTGGTGATGGTTGCACAGTAACATGAACATACATAATGCCACTTACCTGTACACCTACAAATGTTTAGATTGGTAAATTTATGTTACGTTTCTTTTACCACATACCAAAAAGGCTTCCTGAGAACTAGTCCTGAGATAGTTCCATGTGGAAAGAAGAGGACCCTTCTCTCTCCTAGAGTGAGTAGAAGCCTTTGTTTTTTGTTGCTGTTGTTGTTTTGTGTTTGTTTTTGTTTTGAAACAGAGTCTTCCTTTGTGGCCTAGGTTGGTGTGCAGTGGTGTGGTCTCTGCTCACTGCAAGCTCCAACTCCCATATTCATGCCATTCTCCTTCATCAGCCTCCTGAGTAGCTGGGACTAAAGGTGCCCACCACCATGCCTGGCTAATTTTTGTATTTTTAGTAGAGGTAGGGTGTCACCGTGTTAGCCATGATGGTCTCAACCTCGTGACCTAGTGATCCACCCAACTCAGCCTCCCAAAGTGGTGGGACTGCAGATGTGGTGAGCCACCACATCTGGCTGAGTAGAAACCTTCTTATCATGCTTGTACTACACACTCCTGGCTCTTCCACACACCAAGCATGACCTCACGAACCAGAGGCAGTCTAAGTCTAACTGGCCCATTTGTACCCCCTTTCCAACATCCTATTCCCCTATTCAACTCACTCTCTTTCCCCTACAAACCACTGTACATCACAGGTCTGCTTACCTTCTCTGTAGACATTTCTATAATGTCATAGAAATATGATCATAAAATACATGATCTCTTCAGACTGGCACTTTTTGTTATTATTGTTTTCTCATTATTCTATAATTGCTGCCAAAAGAAGCAGGCATGTGTTGTGCCACAGAAAACTGATCATATTCTAAGCTCTACTTAGTAAAAACTAAAAAAAAAGAAAGAAAAAAATATGCTAGTACATATTGTCGCATTTATCCTGTTATTTTTTTAATTCATGATTTCTACAATGAATAAATGGATGAATAAAGCACACAGATATTATGCTTTGCCAGTCCAGCTGAACATCAAGCTGCTTACAGACTACAGGCAAATTATTGCAAACAGTTTTGACTGTGGCCCCAGCCAGCTAGTGAGACTTGCATTTATTCAGTAAGGATTAATTGACCAAGGCTCTAGTTAACACCACTAAAGGGTAATTGACAGTGTGGACTTCCCAGTTAGAAAGCAATTTAGCACTGTGCTAAGTCAAATATTAGTCTTAGGACCACATGACTAAGCAAGCTACTTAGGTAAACACCCCGCATTCCTTTGTTTCTACTCTAACTTATTTAACTAAAGGTAAAAGGCCATCCTGTCTAATATGGTGAAACCCCATTTCTACTAAAAATACAAAAAATTAGCTGGGCATGGTGGCGGGTGCCTGTAGTCAAAGGTACTTGGACTCAGGAGGCTGAGGCAGGAGAATGGCAGGAACCTGGGAGTTGGAGCTTGCAGTGAGCTGACATCGCAGCACTGCACTCCATACTGGCCAATAAAGCGAGACTCTGTCTCAGAAAACAAAACAACACAAAACAAAACCAGTATTCATCACTAAAAAAAGTAGCAAAATATAAAGACCAACAACACTAAGAAGAAAGTGGATCAATTAATATGCAAAATAACCAGCTAGTATTGCCATGCCAGGATCAAATTGACCCGTACAAATATTAACCTTAAATGTAAGTGAACTAAATTTGCCAATTAAAGTGCACAGACTGACAAATTGGATAGAATCAAGACCCTTTGGTGTGCTGTATTCAGGAGACTGATATCATGGGTGAAGACACACATAGGCTCAAAATAAAAGGATGGAGGAATATTTACAAAGCAAATGGAAAGTAAAAAAAAAAAAAAAAGCTGGGATTGAAATCCTGCTCTATCCTAAAATGACCATACTGCTTAAAGTAATTCACACATCTACAGTGATCTGATCTTTGACAAGCCTGACAAAAACAAGCAACTAGGGAAGGATTCCCTGGTCTGGGAAAACTGGCGAGCCATATGCAGAAACCTGAAACTGAATCCCTTTCTTACATCACATACAAAACTTAACTCAAGATGAATTAAAAGACTTAAATGTAAAACCTAAAACCCTAAAAACCCTAGAAGAAAATCTAGGCAATACCATTCAGGATATAGGCATGGGCAAAAACTTCATGACAAAAAGACCAAAAAACAATTGCAACAAAATCCGAAATTGACAAATGGGACCTAATTAATCTAAGGAGCTTCTCCACAGCAAAAGAAAATATCGTCAGAGTGAACAGGCAACATACAGAATGTGAAAACATTTTTTCAACCTATCTATCTGACAAAGGTCTAATATCCAAAAGCTACAAGGAACTTAAAAAATTTTATAAGAAAATAAAAAACAAACCCCAACAAAAAGTGGTAAAGGATATCAACAGACACTTCTCAAAAGAAGACATTTAATCAGCCAACAAATATATATAAAAAAAGCTCAGCATCACTGAGCATTAGAGAAATGCACATCAAAACCACAATGAGATACTGTCTCACATCGGTCAGAATGGTGACCATTAAAAAGTCAGGAAACCACAGATGCTGGCGAAGATGTGGAGAAAAAGGAATGCTCTATGCTGCTGGTGGGAGTATAAATTAGTTCAATCACTGTGGAAGACAGTGTGGTGATTCCTCAAGGATCTATAACCAGAAATACCATTTGACCCAGCAATCCCATTATGTGGTATACACCCAGAGTATTGTAAATCATTCTACTCTAAGGAAACTGCACATGTATGCTTATTGCAGCACTATTTACACACAAAAAAGACATGGCACAAACCCAGATGCCCATCAATTATAGACTGGATAAAGAAAATGTGGCACATATACACGATGGAATACTATGCAGCCACAAAAATGAATAAGTTCATGTCCTTTTCAGAGACATGAATGAAGTGGAAACCGTCATTCTCAGCAAGCTAACACAGGAACAGAAAAGCAAACACTACCTATTCTCATGCATAAGTGGGAATGGAACAATGAGGACACAATGGGGCCTGTCAGGGAGTAGGGGGTAAGTGGAAGGAGATCATTAGGACAAATACCTAATGCATTCAGGGCTTAAAACTTACATGATGGGTTGATGGGTGCAGCAAACCACCGTGGCACATGTACACCTATGTAACAAAACTGCCTGTTCTGCACATGTATCCTATAATTTAAATTACAATAAAAAAAGGCAGGTTAAATGAAAAACTAAATAGTATCCATGAATTTATGATGACTCCCTATTCGGTTTTTACTTAATGCTTTTTCTGTGTTTCGTGTCTGGAGGAAAGCAAAATAACAACATATTGAACCAAACATTTTAAAACAACTTAATACAAAGGGGTTGGAGCAAATTCTTTTATCTCTTTATGAAGACAAGTGTGAGTTAAAAACCACCTCTCCTAATGCTTCTCAGTGCCTCAAGGTGCTTAGGAAAAAAATAAAACTTCCAACTTAAGGATACTTGGCAGCTTCCAGAACTTTAAGGAAAGCCGAGAAATAAAGTATCCAGCTTCCGGTTCTTTCTAGGAGAGTATGCCTAGTGCCTTCAGGACCCTTGGACCTTGGAGGAAGAGCGGAGGTGGGGTAGGTGGGGGCGGTCTCTGGAGCCACTTGCCGCTCTGGCAGCCACTGCTGCTCCCCATGGGACGGCTTAGAGTCAGCCTTCAGCAGAAGCAGCAGGCTTTCCGCAAGCAGTGTTTGGTGTGTCTGCCTGTTTTCCATCTCTGTATCTTCCTTAGTGATGTATCTACTCAGGTTTTTACCTTGGAATTGGGTTGCTTATCTTTTTGAGTTTTAGAGTTTCTGCATATGTTGTGCATACAAGTCACTTTTCAGATAAGTTTGCTAAATTTTTCTATCTATGGCTGTGGCTGGTTCTTTGGTTCTTTTTTTTTTTTTTTCTGAAACGGGGTCTCACTCTGTCACCTAGGCTGGAGTGCAGTGGCGCGATCCTGGCTCATTGCAAGCTCCGCCTCCCGGGTTCACGCCATTCTCCTGCCTCAGCCTCCCGAGTAGCTGGAGGTGGAGTCTCATTTTGTCACCCAGGCTGGGGTGCAATGACCCTATATGGCCTTACCGCAATCCCCACCGCCCAAGTTCAAGGGATTCAAACTCCTGGCTCAGACTCCTGAGCAGCTAGGATTACAGGTGCACGCCAGAACTCACAGTTAAATTTTTGAATTTTTCCTAGAGACGGGGTTTCACCATGTTTACCATGCTGATCTGGAATCCCTGTCCTCAGGTGATCTGGCCGCTTCGACCTCCAAAAGTGCTGAGATTACAAGCTTGAACTGCCATGCCCAATGGTAACAGAGTGTTTTACAGAGTAGACATTTCAACTTTCAATAAAGTTCATATTATCCGTTTTTTTTTCTTTCATGGACTTGATAATAACTCATCACTAAACCCAAGCTCATGAAGATATTTTCCAATTACAACTTTGCACTGAAAAAATTTAATGTGTGGGTATTTTTGACTAATTTTTTTAACTGTAAAATTTGTGTCTATGTTCATTTGTTTCCGTATAGTTTCCAGCTGTTTTCTTGCCACTTGTGAAAGAGACTTATTGTTTCCAAAGGACATTCTTTGCATTTTCGACAAAATCATTTGACTTGGGCCTGTTTTGGGGCTGACTATTCTGTTCCACTTATCTGCTTGTCTATTAAATCATGAATGACACACTCTTGTTTATTACATTAGCTTTAGTGTAAGTATTCATATCACATCTGGCATTGCACTTCTTCAGTCTTATTTCATCTATTCTAGGTTTAGGAAAAGTTGTTGATATATTTACCTGGAATTTGATTGGAATATAGCTGAAATAATAATAAATGTGCTTCTCCAGAACAAGAAACATCTATTTATTTACTTTGTGAGAAGGAGTTGTGTCACCCAGGTTGGTGTGCGGTGGCATGATCTCAGCTCACAGATTCTCCCACTTCAACGACCCAAGTAGCTGGGACCACAGGCATGCACCACCAAGCTCAGCTTATTTTTTTTGTATTTTGGGCAGAGATGGGCTTTCACCGTGTTCCCCAGGGTGGTCTCCAATTCATGGGCTCAAGGTATCTGCCTGCTGCAGACTCCCGAGGTGCTGGGATTACAGGCGTGTGACAACGTGCCTAGCCTGTCTGCATTTGCTAACATTTCCTTTGATTTCTCCCAATGGTGACTCATTGTTTTCTGAATGAATTCTGCATATTTTGTTACAGTTATACTTAATGGATTCAATTTTGCAGGTAGTATTGTAAATGGTGTTTTAATATTTCAAAATCCAATTATTTATATTCATTATTGCTGATATAGAGAAAATCAATTGAGTTTTGTATATTGACCGTCTTCTTTGCTTCCTTTTATCTCCATTCTAGATATGGGAAGGTTGGCTGTATCTCACTTCCACTTCGTGAGATGACCGCCTGGATTAACCCACCCCAAATTTCAGAGATTTTCCAAGGCTACCACCAGAGGGTGCACGGAGCTGATGCACTGAGCCTGCAAACCAACTCTCTGAGAAGCAGGTTATCTTCACAGTGCCTCGGACAGAGCTTCCTTCTCAGGACACTCGAGAGAGGCCGTGGTTTCAGGGCACTTGGGGACATCTGTGGCCACGTTCATGAAGAAGACTAAGCCTACTTCATCTCAGGACCCGCCCAAGAGTGGCCGCGGCTTTGGGACACCTGGGGTCGGGTCCACCATGAGGATAAAACCTCCTTCTCTTCTGGACATGTCCAGGAGTGGCCGTTGCTACAAGTCACCTGGTGCTACGACCAGGGTGAGAATAAAGACGTCTCCTCAGGACCCTCCCAGGAGAGTACATGGCATTGAGACATCTGGCGGCCAAGTGAGGAAAAGACACCCTGTCTGCAGCACCCAGAACTGAGGAGGGGCACTGCCCTGGGCCTTACTTCCCAGCCCTGGCCTCCAATTCTGACCTTACAAAAGTGTCCCTTGAGTGAGGCAGTGACCACGCATTGTCACAGCTACCAAAGTGTGGTTTGCAGATGATCTGGGCTTGTTTCTGGCGGAGATTCTGGTACAGAGAAAGGAGAGGCGCTGAGTGGAACCACGATGGGCTGAGGCCAGGGGAGACATCGCAACCTCCAACAACACTTTTTTTCATGCTTTAATAACTCATTTTTCTTAGAGAACTAAAGTAGTTGAAACAATATAGAAACATTTTTTAAGTAGGCATATTAGAACTTGAATTATTATGTAAGTTTAAATATATGATATATGCCTGGTTAGCAACATTTTTTCTTTTCCTGAGACAGTCACAGTTTAACTGAGAGTGCATTTGTAATGGTAATGTAAATGTCTGCTTTATACATATTGACATCCTACATTAGCTGAGATATACTAACAATATCAAACTTTGATATTATGCCATAAAATTAGTTGAAGAATTCTGATCCAGATATGAGTGACAAATGGTCCATGACACATCCCTACTCAGGAGATCCTGAGAACATGTGCCCCAGGTGGTATGTTCACAGCCTACATTTATGCATTTTAGAGAGACCTGAGACATCAATCAAACACATGTAAGATGTACATTGGTTTGGTCCAGGAAGGATGGACAACTTGAAAATAGTGATGGTGTGGGGCTGGGCTTTCAAGTTACAGGTAGATATAAATATGTTTTAATTGGCAGTTGGCTGAAAGAGTTAAATTATTATCTAAAAACATAAAATCAATAGACAGGAATGACTGGGTTACAATAAATAATAAGGGCTGTAGAGACCAAAGTTTTATTATGATGATGAAGCCTCCATGTAGCAGGCTCGAGAAAATAGGTGGTAAATATTCCTTATCAGATTTAAGGTATGTGTTGCTGTTAGTGGTGGTCAGCTTTTTCTAAAGTTCAAAAGGGAATAGTATGTAATGAAGCATGTGTGTCCCTCTTTCTTGTCAGGAAGTGAAGCAATTTTGGAATGCTCTTGATCAAAAGGAGGGGTCCATTCAGATGGCTGTGGTTGGCGGGGGGACAGGAGAGTTAATTTTTTTTAACAAGTGTTTCATTTCTGTTTACAAAAGTATAACCTATTAAAGTGTTATAAATTATAATTATCTAAGAGAAAAAAGGGATTTCTTAAATCTAAAAACATAGAAAATAACCTAACCCATCAAACCTTATGGATTTTTTTTTCTTTCTGTTTTTAAAGTTGCCAAGGATGCTTTGCTTGTAAGTCATATATTTGACCTGTTGACCATCTGGGTATAGTTCTGTTGCTTCTTCAAAAATTGTACCCAGCAACCTTCCAAAAGTGTTTTTAAGTAAATTTCTTAAATTGTAGCAATAAACAAAATGAAAAGACAATATTAAACATTACTGAGGTTTATCAAAGGACATACAAAATTTCAACTCTTATTCCTTTCCTTCTTCTTCTCCTTTTATTTTTATTTTGAGACAGGGTCTCATTCTTTTTCCCAGCCTGGAGTGCAGAAGTGCTATGATGGCTCACTGCAGCCTCTAACTGCTGAGCTCAACTGATCTTCTGCCTTAGCTTCAGTTATCATATCTGGCTAACTTTTTGTATTTTTTGAGAGAGACAAAGACTTGCCATGTTGCCTGGACCTGTCTTAAATGCCTGGACTCACATTATCTGCCTGCCTTGGCCTCCAAAAGTGCTGAGATTACAGGCATTAACATAACATTTATGTTAGGGTTAGATAAAAATCAATCTTTTGGCTAAGTTATGAACATGCATATTATGCAATTATATATGTCTAATTTTCATCATTTTCTATGTCAACATTACTCATTTTAAAGTCATATTCAAGGGGTAAGGCAAAACCGCCTATGAATTGGCATATTTGTTTATTTCTCTGTTTGTGAAAATGTCCATAGTTTTTTCAGAATACAAATAAATTTCAACTCTGTTATGCAAAAAAACAGAATAGAATCTTCTTTGCAATTAATTTTTTTCTTTTATTACTATACTTTAAGTTTTAGGGTACATGTGCACATTGTGCAGGTTAGTTACATATGTATACATGTGCCATGCTGGTGCGCTGCACCCACTAACTCATCATCTAGCATTAGATATATCTCCCAGTGCTATCCCTCCCCCCTCCCCCCACCCCACAACAGTCCCCAGAGTGTGATGTTCCCCTTCCTGTGTCCATGTGATCTCATTGTTCAATTCCGACCTATGAGTGAGAATATGCGGTGTTGGGTTTTTTGTTCTTGTGATAGTTTACTGAGAACAATGATTTCCAATTTCATCCATGTCCCTACAAAGGACATGAACTCATCATTTCTTATGGCTGTATAGTATTCCATGGTGTATATGTGCCACATTTCCTTAATCCAGTCTATCATTGTTGGATATTTGGGTTGGTTCCAAGTCTTTGCTATTGTGAATAATGCCGCAATAAACATATGTGTGCATGTGTCTTTATAGCAGCATGATTTATAGTCCTTTGGGTATATACCCAGTAATGGGATGGCTGGGTCAAATGGTATTTCTAGTTCTAGATCCCTGAGGAATCGCCACGCTGACTTCCACAATGGTTGAACTAGTTCACAGTCCCACCAACAGTGTAAAAGTGTTCCTATTTCTCCACATCCTCTCCAGCACCTGTTGTTTCCTGACTTTTCAATGATTGCCATTCTAACTGGTGTGAGATGGTATCTCATTGTGGTTTTGATTTCTGCGATTAATTTTATAGTTACCTTGCATACAGGGAATGTGCTGCCTATAAAAAATATGAACTGAACCACAGGCCTTAAACACTAAAAAAAATTTAAGAGTTTATTCTAATTTATTTTATCCTATAAATCAATTGTATTTATATACAATATAGAAAGTTCACAGCCATCAACAGTTCTACTGCAGTTTCAGGTGAAATGGGAATTTAGGAATTTCTGTGGAACTGTAGGCGCAGTGAAACATTTAGGTAAAATATGTGTATGCCTTTAGCAGCACTTGTGAAGGGACGTCTCTCAAATTAAACTCAATGCATTTCTTCTCAGCAAAATGACCTGGGCCACTCTCCCTGGCTTTCACTGTTGTTGATGTTCATGCATGTTCTCTTTTTATCATTAATTTATGACTCTGAAGATATCCATTTGACGTCGTGGCATGAGGGCTTTCAAAACCACTGTAGATTTTCTACTCTTCATCCATTATGTACTTAAGTATTTCTACTTTGACTCCCCAGGAACTTGAGTAGTTTCTGCTTAGCCCATGGACAGTGCAGCCCAGGTCCCAATAAAGCAGCACAGACCCCACTCCAAGGCCACCCCCAACCCCAGCTGCCTGCTCCTGTGTGTTCAAGGGAAGTTGGAGAACATGCAGCTTGTTGTTTTTACAAATAAAATTGTTGTGTTAATTTCATTTTCATATCATTTATTGCTAGTGTATACAAATAGATTTTAGTGTATTGATATATATACTGTATGTTTGTTTAATTTGTTTATTAGATTTTATTATTTCTTGTTGATTTCTTATGATTTTCTGTATATGAGATCATGAGATCCATGAGTAGGTAGTTTTATTTTATTTTTTGACATATGAATGGCTTCATATATATTTTTCTTTTCCAATTATTTCGGATGGAACTTCTAATACAGTATCAAATGCAATGATGAAAGTGAGCATCAGTGCTGTGTTCTTCATCTTAAAGCTTTTGTTCCCAACAATTCAGACGCTGATTGTTATGGGTTTTGTATAAAGACGTGTTATCATGTGAAAGACATTTTAATCACAGTTTATTGGATGTTGTTATCAGTAAACATGTTGACTAACTTTAAGTATTTTCTGTAACAGTTGAGATATACATGTACTGTTTTCCCAGCATTTAATTTACATGGTATATTGAAGAGGGATGGCTTCAGAATGTTAAAACAAGCCTCAATTTTCTAGAAAAAAAACGTAATCACATAGGTGCATAATGTCTTCCTCGTGTAGTTAATTCCATGTACTATTATTTGGTTACATAATCTAATGTCTCTAATTATCATATTTGTTAACATTTAGTGTTTTGTCCCAGTGACATCATCTGTTTAATTCAATTTTCAATTGGAGTTAAGAGGTAAGGTTAAGTGTACTCTTATGGGCATTAGGGGTTAGAGTCATAGATGATATATTTAAAATTCTTTGAAGGGTGATATGATAATATTAAGAATGGGATAGAAGTTTGGGATTAGGAATAGGGGTTTACAATTGCAGAAAAAAGTTTAGATTGAGGGTTAGATCTGGGGTTGGGTTAGAGGTCAGTGTTGTGGTAGGATTAGGGTTATGATTAGGATTAGGATTAGGGACAGGGTTAAAGTTTAGTGTTATGTTTAGGGCTACAGTTAGAATCAAGATTAGATGTTAGTTTTAGGGTCAGGTTATGTTTAGGTTTAGGGTAAGAAATAGGCCTACAGTTAGAGGTTGTTGTTAGTGTAGGGTTAGGTTCTGGCTTAACTTCATGGTGAGGGTTAGAGTTAGTGCTTAGGGTGAGAGTTAAGGTGACGGTGAGGGTTAGGGTAAGAGGGTTAGTGCATTAGCGTTAGGGTTTGGGTTTAGGGTTTGTGTTAGGATAAGAATAAGGATTCGGTTTAGGGTTTCAGGTTAGCATTAGGGTTAGTGTTTAGGGTGCAGTGTTATTTTTAGGGTTATTGTTTAGCATTTAGGTTAGGGTTAGGGTCACTTTAGGGTTAGGATGAGGGGTTAGTGTTTGGCCTAGTGTTAAGCTTTAGGGTTAGCGTTAGGGTGGGTTTAGTTTTAGGGTTAGAGTTCAGGGTTACAGTTGGGATTGGGTTTATTATATGTGATTATAGTTAGCATTTAAGTTTTAGTGTTAGAGCTATGGTTGCAGTTGCATTTGAGGTTGTGGGTTAGAGTTAGGGTTAGGGTTAGTGTCAGGATTAAGTTTAGGGATATGGTCAGCGTATTTTTAGAATTAGGGTTGGGGTAGGAATTTGGATTAGGGATGTTGGTTATGTGTTATGCTTATGTTTTTAAGGTTAGAATTTTAATTTTCAGGTTAGAGTTAAGGGTGCTTTTAGGGTTAGGTTTGAAGGAGCTTTAGGGGTCAGAGTTAGAGTTAGGGGTTAGGGTTCAGTGTTTAGAGGTAGTGTTAGAGTTAGGGTTTGGTTTAGTATTTCTGTTAGTGTTTTTCTGAGTGTTATGTTTAAGGGTAGATTTAGGGTTTGGGGTAGATTTAGGGTTAGGGGTAGGTGTAGGTGTATGTTTAGGGTTATGGGTTGCGGTAGGGTTATATTTATGGATAGGGATATGTTTTGTTAATGGTTCAGGTTGGGTTTATGTGGAGATTAGGGTTAGGGCTTGAGGGTTATTGTTAGTGTTTTAGTGTTAGTAATAGGGGTTATATTTAGGGTTAGACATCTTTTTCACCCATCTTCACCCGACTAATCAGCACTCTCTTTCTGACTTCTGAGGTTCATATGCATTCCATACGTATTTAGATTATTTATTTGTTTATTTGTTTGTTTGTTTATATATGTTTGTTTATTTATTTATTGGAGACGGAGTTTCACTCTTGTTGACGTGACTGGAGTAGTATGGTTTGACCTCAACTCACACAACCTCCGCCTCCCAGGTTGAAGTGATTATCCTACCTCAGCTCCTGAGTAGCTGAGATTAAAGGCATCCACCATCACACCTAACTAATTTTGTATTTTTATTAGAGACACGGTTTCTCCATGTTTGTCAGGCTGGTCTCAAACTTTCAACTGCAAGTGATCCATCTGCCTTGGCCTCCTGAATTGCTGGTATTATCGACAAAAGCCACCATGCCCTGCATCAGACTTTGAAATAACCTGACTTAAAGTGGATCTACCAACAATGTGCCACCTCTTCACTGTGAGTTGTACACTTCTTGGGATTGCACGGCTGCAAATGGATATGTCTTCTCCAAACTTAAAGCTGCAGATACATCTCAACAACCTTCCTGCAGATAGACGCTACCCACTCTGAAACTTCTCTCCACTGAAGCCTTCAGTGATGTTTTAACAACCTGCTTCTTCATCTTGTCTCTCTTGGCCCTGTCTTCACTGAGTGTTGCAGAGATGCAGGTATTTCCTGTTTTTGAAATGGACTTACCCACTTTCTGTCTCCTGAAAGCTGCGCCATCACTCAATAAAGCATCTATTTACCCTAATTATTCTCCTGTTTTCCACATACATAATTCTCCCTGGATATGCATCAAGAATTCAAGACCCACTTAATGGAGAACCTGAAGATTAGTAACAGAAACAAGGCTGAAACACAGAAACCCACACTTAACATCAACACAGATTCTATTCCTTGTGCTGAGATTCAGATTTTTTTCGGCACACCACACTCTCTCATTGACCTGTTTTAACTTCATCTTTAACTTTACAGTAAATAAGGGCATTACTTTTCTCTAGCACAACTGAATTATATGAGGCAAAGTCCTTAATTTGAGTCATAACCACTTGGGGGAAAAGTTGCAGTCCAAGACACCTGAGAGACCAGGTCTCTGGCACATGCCTCCCATGCTTTCAGCTTTCTCCCACCAATCAACATTACATTGGCCTATGCTTCACCCATCATCTTGGGAAATTTAATGGTAAAACAGCAACCTGGACTCTGTCCAAAGGTCATAGAAGCAGTTTAAAACCAAGCCTTTTTGTTAGCCTAAACCAAATCACAAAGAGGAAGTATGGATGCATCTAGTCAAATGGCTGGGCTATTGGCTGATACAACAATAGGCTTCTTAAACTGAATGAAACTATTCACAATGTTCTTTACAGTATCCACTCTTACAATGCTTTCTCTGTTTCTGTCATTTCTTAAATGCAAACAAAATCAAGACCTCAGCAAGGGACGCAGCCATCTGCACTAGGCAGCATAAGCTTCCTGTCATCTGCAGCAGCCCTATACAGAGCATTCTTGATTTTTTTTCATTACTTCAATATTTAGTGAGTTGTTCTCTGTCAATCTCATTGATAGCACTTTCTGGGTAAAGCCATCATTTTCCCTCACCAAAATGTTTCTGAGTCTACTGGCACTTTCTATTAGCCTTATGGTTAAATACATCCTTTTGATAAAAGGCTGGTCTTTTTCATCATCAATAATCTCTCTTTTCCCCCCTCTCATGCTTGGAACAAATGTATGGATTTTTTTTCTTCCATTGGCTGTTTATGGAATTGCTAATACCAGTGTACCTTCCTTGTTAGCTGAGCCCGTAACCATGGAAGCAGTAACCGAGCCAGACCCCTGAGACATTAGTGGGTGTATCTTGCACCTGTTCTCTCCTCCAGTCTGTTCTGCATCAGGATATTTATCTTTACCTTAATCTTTGTTTATTTGTACTGCTGTTCGGTGTCCTTTCATTTTACCCTGGAATAATACATAAGGCATTTATTAAATGGTTGTCTACTGGCAAAAGAATGTGGCTTTTATTTGGGAATTTCATAATTTCTCCCTCATTTTTGATGGACACTTTGTTTAAACATAACATTTGTTTGAATTTTTTTTTCTTAGTGCATTTGGAATATATGAGTCTACCCTGAGTTTTCAGATAAGAAATTCCCTGATTATTTATGAGGGGTTCTTTCATACATTACTGGTCAAAATTTCTTTGGCTGCTTTCAAGATTCTCTTTGTCTTTATTTTAGACAGTTTAACTATCATGTATGTTTGAATGTGCCTCTTTGAGTTTATTTTACTTGGAGTTTGTTCAGTTTCTTCGGTATTTATTATCTTAAATTTGTGACAGGTTTGACCACATTTTTTTAGTTTCCCTATTTCTTTGTTTCTTTTCCTTGAACTTCCAAAATGGATAAGTGGGTCTGCTTGATGGTGTCACACTGGTTTCTAGACTGTTTTCACATTTATTTATTTATTTTTTCTCTTCCTGACTTAATAATTTCAATTGCCCCTTTTATTCAATTTGGTGACATTTTCTTCTGTATGCTCAAGTCTCCTTTTAAATGTCTGTAGTACTTATTTAGTTAGTTATTTATACAATTTTTTTTGAGATGGAGTCTTGCTTTGTCACCAGGCTGGAGTACAGTGCACAATCTTGGCTCACTGCAACCTCTGCCTCTCGGGTTCAACTGATTCTCCTGCCTCAGTCTCTTGAGTAGCTGGAACTATAGATATGTGTCACCACACCCAGCTAATTTGTGTGTTTTTAGTAAAGATGGGGTTTCATCATGTTGGCTTGGATAGTCACAACTTCTTGACCTTATGATCTGTACCTTGGCATCCCAAAGTGCTGGAATTGCAGGCCTCTAGTCAATTTTAATGTCAATTGTTTTACTTTTCATCTCCAGAATATTTTTTTTTCTGAGAGCCACTGGAACTGGCCCAGAATTTTTTTTTTTAATGTTTGAAAATAAGTTGTCATGCTTTTCCAAGAAACTGTATTATTTTAGTTTCAATCCCTGTTTCTTTGAACCTAAAGTAAGACTTGCATAGAAATCACGAGTGAATTGTTCTTTTAAAGGTGCATTTGTGCCAGTCTGTGTGTTTTTATGTAAGAGCTCACATTTAAAGTTATTACAAGTAAAAAATTACTCTGACATTTTACTTTTTTTCTATATGTTCTTTATTTTATTGGATCCTCAATTTCTCCTTTGTCCATTAAAAATGTTAACTTTTTAAAACTTTTTTCTGTATTTTTATGTTATAATTCATTATATTTGGGACTTTAATTGTATTCTAAACTTAATAGAGCCTTCTTTGAATAATATTAACTTATTTGAATAATCTAAATTTTAATTTCAACAATATAAATATATGCTGCTCTTATACTTTTCTTTCTCAATTTATATTATTGTCTCAGATTTTATCTGCACACACTGAGTGTCCATTAAAGTAAATTTGTAATTTTTTATGTAATAGCTGCCTACCAGAGCTGTAATAGTAATAGCTAACTTTGCCAGAATTGTAATAGTAATAGCATTTCTTTTTTTTTTAGAGAAAGGTTAACCACACATTGAATACATTCCATTAGCATTATGAATAAGAGTGATATATAAACTATTATTTTTTAAATACTGGATCTGTATTAACAAATCTGTTATATTGTCTATTGTAGGAAATAACTGTATTCTTTGCTTTCAACAACTTAAAATTTTGTTTGTGACCAATTCCTGGCATTTTCAACCAAGAGTGACTTCTGAGTTTGGCAAAACAGTAATAAATATGTTTCATCAATTGTTTATTTATCTTCTAGAAAGACTAGAACAAACACAATAAATTAACACACAAGTGCTTCTTCACTCCTCCCAGAATTAGGAACCAGGGTTTAAAATGGAAAATGTGGATTTCAATTTTGAAGGCTTCATCTGTGCCTGGGAGGCAGTATGGCAATCCAAAAAAAATTTACTACTTTAAAATTGTCTCTTTGGATGGATTCCTTGGTTGATACAAACAATTGATTTACAGGGTTCAGACAGTGTTTGATTGGTGTGATGTTTCTTTGAATGGTTCAAAGCTGCCAGGCCTGCAGTTTTGCCTGCGTTTTTATTTGGGAAGCACTGATTGTTTTGTAATCTCAGAGTTTATTTTTATTTAGGAGATCTATGTTTTTGTCCCATGAAAATGTTGTTTAAAACACTTAAATTGAAAGTTACACTTTTAATTTATGTTTCCAGTTGTTAGGTTTTTGTTTTAGTGGTTACGGTATGAAGTTTGTTGTTTGCTTTCTATTGATTGATATTATCAATTTAGTATAAAGGGCAAGGGGCAATATTCTCTTATGTAGTACATCTTGGTTTTATGTAAAACATGTATATATGTAACAAACCTGCACGTTGTGCACATGTACCCGAAAACTTAAAGTATAATAAAAAATAAAAACAAACAAAAAGTATAAAATAATTTGTTTCCAAAGTGACTTTCAAGTACATATCTAAATAAAACAATAAGGGAATAATTATGTAAGCATGCAGCAAGATCTACAAGTGTGATGATCTCTGGCAGAAGCCTGTATAAACAGTTTGAAAAACGACCAGGTCACTGTGGATGGAGCAGACTGTGGAAGGAAAACGATTGCAGACAATGAGCTCATGGGGGTAACACAAAGTCCATGTGATTGTCTAGGGTTTCTACAGGTCAGTAGATTTTACTTGAGTTTTACTCTAAGCCAAGTTCATGACTGGAAGTGGAATTGGTAAGGTTGTTACTAGCATCTAGTGCCAAGAGGCTAGAAATGCTGTTGAATATCTTAAAATCTACTGTCAGGCACCTTTGAGCAATTAACAGTATTGAACCATCTCTCCAGAAAATTGTAAACAAAAAAATAGGAGCACACTTTTAGAACAATTTGATTTTGTATATTCACAGTCACTTAACTCAAAATCCCTGGTTTCTGTAAATCGGAAGGATTTTAAGAAGCTCTTTTAAAGTTCAGTTGATTCAAGTTAGGGTAAGCGTTAGTAAAGTAAAGTCAGTTCAGTTAATCAATAATTAGAAATTAAACTATAGGCCGGGTGCGGTGGCTCACGCCTGTAATCCCAGCACTTTGGGAGGCCAAGGCTGTCCAATCACCAGGTCAGGAGATGGGGACCATCCAGGCTAACTTGGTGAAACCCCGTCTCTACTAAAAATACAAAAAAAAAAAAAGAAAGAAAAAAAATTAGCGGGACATGGTGGCGGGAGCCAGTAGTCCCAGCTCCTCCGGAAGCTGAGGCAGAATGGCGTGAACACCCGGGAGGCAGAGTTTGCAGCAAGCTGAGATCGCGCCACTGCACTCCAGCCTGGGCAACAGAGCGAGACTCCGTTTCCAAAAAAACAAATAAAAACAAAAAGGTAAACTAAATATTTCCTTTTTCTCCCCTTTTCTTTTCCATTATTTTTAAATATTTATGTAAAACGCTAATATAGCAAAATAAAACCCTAGGCACACTCTATTTTTGAGATACCATGGAGAAAACTGAATCAAAGCCTTTTGGGATAGAGCTAATCCGGAATACGACTGGAAGGCATACAGAATACAGATGCACACATGTGCATTGGTACACTACATTATGCATACCCATCGAGCGTAATGATTGCCATAAGACAAATATTAAATGTCTCTTATGACAGAAAAGTTGTGAAGATTTTACAATAACCAAGCCAAATGAAAACCAAGATTTCAAGGATTATAGCCAGGGCTAGATAATTCTAGGTGTTGAGTAGAATGAATACTCAAGCATCTTCTAGGGGAGGCCATCACTGTTGCCATAACCAGCGCAGGGATTATCTCTACAGACACAGGTGGAAGGGCTCATGGCAGCATGAACTTCGTTTTTCCTGGATGCAGGAAAATAATATGAGATCACCTGAATGGCAGGGCTGAATGACCTGGAACACAAACGGGTAGAAAACATTCCCCTTGCTTATCACATTGTGGTAGACAAAAATAAAACGAGAGCTGTGGCCCTTCAGGGCGCACAGACCAGGGAGCTCTCAAAGCCAGGGAGGGCTGTCACACCTTCCTTGGGGCTTTGCCTTTTCTGGCATCTCCAAGCTTCTGGGCATCACTACATTCCCCAGTATCAGCTGTGGAGGCTGCTTGCAGTAGGCCTGGCCCAGTTGCAGCTTTTCAGTGATCTAGCAGTTCTGTTGGCACCTAAAACTTCCTGACCTGACACAGCTGGCATGACTGACCATGTCTAGAGGCTGGAAGCCACACTTGCTCATACACCTCTCACCACTCATCCATGTTTGCCCTTGGCAGGTGATAACTCCAGTAACTCCAGCTGGGTGTAGCCTGCCAGGTAGTGTGGGTAGAACAAATTTAGCAGGCTTGATTAAAGCTCAGGGAAAGGCCCCACTGGCCACAGAGGATTTCATCTGACAAAGTGACTCCCCTAAAATCCCATTGCAAAAGCAGCATAGCTGGTTGTGTTTAAATGACTTACTTCTTTTAGTTCTTGAAATACTGAAAATTCAGTGTCCTACATTTTGGATTTTTTTAACCTTATTTGGAAATGATTATATTTCAAAATTTTTACAAAATCAAATTTGAAAGATTATTATTTGCATTGAACCACCTGATCCATCTTATGTACACTGCATTTTTTTTTTAAAGATGGACTTTCACTTTTGTAGTCCATGCTGGAGTGCAATGGCATGGTCTCAGCTCAGTGCACCTCTGCCTCCCAAGCAGCTGGGATTACAGGCACCCACCATGGTGCCTAGCATGGCATTGGGCTTCAGATTAGCATTCTTTTAGTAGATTATGAAGCTTGCTTATGAAACAATATTTCTAATTCCTGGACTTTGACATTTTGTACTTATGTAGTTTCTGTTTGGGAGGCACTTTTGCTGGGCATTGTAAGATGATGAGTGCATTTCTGGCATTTTCTGTTAAATGCAATAGTAACATCATTTTTCTGTGGTTGAAATACCCTAATACGTTTGTGTCTCATGGAATCTAAATTGTTGACATTCACTATTCTAGAGAGTTCTGAAGAATAAATTAAAAACCACTTTTTAAAATGTTGCAGATGCCAGGAGGGGTGGTTCACACCTGTAATCCCAGCACCTTGGGAGGCTGAGGCAGTGGGATCACCTGAGGTTAGGAGTTCTAGACCAGCCTGGTCAATAGGGTGAAACCTCTTTTTCACTAAAATTACACACACGCACGCACACACACACACACACACACACACATAGAGAAAGAAAAATTAGGTGGGCATGGTGGTGGACAGCTGGAATCCCGGCTACTTGGGATATTGAGGCAGGAAAATTGCTTAAATCCAGGAGGTGGAGGTTGCAGTGAGCTGAGATCACACCATTGCACTGCAGCCTGTATGACAAGAGCAAAGCTCTGTCTTAAAAAAAAAATTGCTGAAATTTTATATGAGATCTCATTTTTCTCTAACTTTTGGCTATTCTGCCATCCTGACATTTTCTCTAACTTGCTGCTGTTCTAACATTCTGTCATTTGTGAAATAAACCAGGATGTCCTGCATGTACTGTGGAACTTAATATAAAACAAAATTAAATTAATTAAATAAAAATAAAACATTTTTTTCTGGATGTGGGGTTGTAGTAACTTTGAAATGTGTGCACACTTTATTTAAAACATTTTGTAATTAAAAATCAGAGTTGTCACAAACTGCATTGAAAAGTTAAATAAGTAGTACATCTCAATTTTTAATTGATTGAATTTGTTTTCTTTTAATTTTAGAATGATATCTCACATTGCCTCTTTGGCTGGAGTGCACTGGTGCAATCTTAGCACACTGCAGCACCCTGCTTCCCAGCTTCAAGTATTTATTCTTCCTCGGCTTCTTGAATAGCTGAGATTACAGGTGTGCACCACCACACCTCATGTGTTTTTACCATATTGGTCATGCTTGTCTCAATATTCAGACCTCAAGTACTCTGCCTGCCTTGGCTTCCAAAAGTACTGGAATTACACGTGTGAATCGCCATGCCTGGCCCCTGATTGAATTTCTAATTGAATAAAAAAGTCCATCTTGCAAAACCTTATTTTCTACATCATATTTTTGATGAGTTTCTTTATATGTCTCATAATTCAAGAAAAATAATATAATTTTAATGTATTATACTTGGAAATTAATTTATTTTTATTAATATGTAACTAAAATAGTAGGTATATTTAGAATGTTATTTTGCTTTGGTGTAAAGTTCTGAAGTTTTAGAAATTTCTGTAAAAATCTAATTTGGATAATTAGTTACATTAGTTGATTGCACTCAGTTTTTTTTCCTCAGGATTTTCTTTTGTAAGAAAATTCAAAATTGTTTCAAGATACATTGAGATGTTTAATTATGTGAAATAGACTTAAAGGTATTTTCTTTGAAAATAAAGTTTTTATAACCTGTCTTTTCTACTAATAATATGTGATTACTTCTTCTAACTTACTAGAAATTAATTCGTTTTCATCTTGCCTTCATCTAAAGTTCACCTGCAATACATAAGAAGTGAATAACTGCTAGCAGAGAAGGCTGTTCTTGTCTGTAACTGACCCACTACCATCAACCCTGGTTTTGAGCTGCTTGCAGCACCAGCTATTGGCTGTGTAAAAAATCTCACAATGATGCTAGACTGTTTGACTGAAACATATTACAAAGACAAAGCAATAACTAGTGAATATTTTAAATTATAAAGAAGTTTTTGTTCATTAATCACACTTTAGTTTAAAATTCTATTATTTCATTTGCAAAAATTAACTTATGGGTTTTTTCTTTTTGATTAACTAGTTTACCATTTTGTAGCCATCAGGTATATAATTAAAACCATGTAAGTAAGAGAACATTATTTTTCAAAATAAGCATGTATTTCTTAACTTCTCTCCTATAGCTGGTTTTGGTAATTTACCACAGTGGGTTTTATTTAGTTGTATGTGAAAAAAAAATACTAACCCTTTAGAATACAAGAAGCCAAATTTAATGCTACAAAAACTTTATATTTAAACTGTATGCATTAAAAAGATTTTCATAACCCAAACTTTGAAGTTGTTTCATGGTATTTTAGTTATATTATAAGAGAGGTATTGTTTTAAAAATCATAATGTGAGAAGAGAACATTTGAGTGCATTTTATTACTTTTAAATGTCCATATTAGTTAAGCAAAATAGGTAGCAATGTTGAAATCTTACACAAAACTGAAACTCAGAGTGGGAGCCAATGTAAGTAAATTAACAAGTAATAACATGAAATTTAGTTGATTTCAAGAGAAATCTGAGGGTTAAGTACATAATTAACAACAGCATTCTGTACAGATATTTAATTGGAAAATGTGAAATTATATTTATGTTTTTCTCTGTGTGAGTATATTTTTTAGTACATTGTAGGAGTTTCTAGCTAAACTCATTACTTAAAAGGTCAGATCATTCTGTGTCCTGTGGGATCTATGTAGAGAGAAGAGTTTCCTTTTTGAAAACACTTTTTTTTTTGTTAATTTGTTTAACTATTGTATTGGAATAGTAAATTTGTATTTTCAAAAGAGATTTTTTAAAATAAACAGTATTGTTGTTAAACTAGCCAATGTTTTCTTGTGATTAATATATATTTTCAAATATACAAGAGGACATGCACTAAAAACTATTATCTTGCCACCAATATTATATTTCTGGTACAGAGATTTTCTTTGAGATATATGCACATCTTCATACAATTAGCTATTTTTTTTTCTTACAGAAATGATCATATTTCTGATCAAAGTAAAAAAATCTTTTGAAAATATATATTTACTATTCTAATACAATAGTTAAACAAATTAACAAAAAAAAAGTGTTTTCAAAAAGGAAACTCTTCTCTCTACATAGATCCCACAGGACACAGAATGATCTGACTTTTTAAGTAATGAGTTTATATACAATATGGTTAACCTTGTTTTGTACTTAGTCACACGCCTGTCAATACAACAAGATCTATTTAATTCTGTTTTGTAGCTACATAACTTGCAGTTCAATGTGCTCTAATTTATGTAATCCATCTCTAAGTTGGATTTATGTGTAAGTCATATTCAGTTTTACAAAAAGTAGCATTTACAATTTTCACAGGTATTTTAAAGACAACTTCTAATTGACTTCATCTCACAATAAAACTATGAACATAGATAAAACAATTATCACTATTAGCTGAGGAAGAAAGTGATATTTATGTGAAGATTATAGTTTTTATGAATCAGAACAATAATGTAAATGTAGTGCTCAATTAAAACTGAGAAAACTCTAAAGTTCTATTTATGTAAAGTTCTGATTAAAATGTATTGAATACACTTAAGTGCAAAAGTTTTTTAATATGTAAATTTGTAATGATTAATGCTAAGTCTGTGTAACACATTAGAATTTAATATTATACCATCATGCATGACCTTTTCTAAGAAAATTGTTACAGAAGCAATGTCATTAAAAATGTGGACTTAAGAAGTCTGTGGTTAATAATTCTGTGATCCAGCAACTATACATAATCCCAGTCATCAGAAACAGTATTTCTACAATTGAAAACACAGTTAGTGATGAACTCGATGATCGTTCAAAGATGAGAAACAAAATTGTGAGGTAAGTTTTAATTATCATTTTTTGAATATTCTCATAGTAGATACTGTTGTTCTTCCTCAAATTAGTATAGTTTCATGAGGTTTTATCAGGACTGCATTTTGATGATATGGCTATAATATCTGAGATACTATGACTGGCATATTTATTGTGATCACTATCTAGTAAGTTGAAATTTTAGTTAATAATATTTATCAATGTTTTTTGTTGTTTTCAAAGCATGGTTGATATAATCACATTTGCACAACATGGTAAATGCAATTCATTCTTTGGATAATGAGAAATTTTTGTTTTTAATAATTATATTCTCATCTTGTTTTATAAAGTAGGCTTTTTTACTGTTCTATCTGTGTTATATAAGTTGTGCTTATTTTTAGGATTCTCTAAATATTTTTCTCAAATTAGGGTTTTTTCTGCTAAGGAAAAAAATTGATTTTCAGATAATGCTACATGGACCTGTTAGCAACATGACGTAACTATTACAATCAGGCTGCTAAGGGTATAAAACATCTGGTTGAAAATAAAAAGTATCTGGTTGAAAATAAAGCAGCAAAAATATTAGGTTTTAGTGGCAGATTACATATTTAAGATATAGCTATTAAATAAGTGAATACCAAAAACTTGAATTTTGGAAATGTTTGTACTCAAGTAGTTCCTTTACTTTTTGCATAGGTATTGATAGAAACTAAATAAAGAAATTAGAATATTTTAATTGTAATAAATCTTAAATTTCTACATTTCTCTTCCTCAGTAATCAGAAATAGTTTGGTTTTCAAATAGCATCTCAGCATTTATCATTTATGGAGATTAAAAACACACTTGCCTCTCCCTTTCTAGATCTGATAGATCACACCACGCAGGCATTAAAACCTTGGTAGCATTTCTTTTAGTAGAATGTCCATATGGGACGTTCGCTAACACTTGGTTAATAGTCACTAATAAACAACAACAACAACAAAAAGTAAAATTTAGTTCCTTGTACTGTAATCAGTTTTACCCCTAGGGTTTTGAATTTAAAACAGATAGAGATGGTTAATTACACTGGCAAGAAGTGAATGAGGCAGACAGAATATAAAATTCAAATTAAATCCCCACCTTTGTGCTTCATTGCTTGTGCTTTATGATGTCTTAGCGCTTTACTGTGGCTGCATGTCTGCCTAGCTGCTTTTTCTATACAATGAACTTCATCAGGGCACAAACTGGATATTGTTCATTATTGTATCAAAAACCTCAGATGTAGAGAAAAACATACAGAAACATGAGAGATATGTGTAAAACAACTGTATTTTGCTCTGTAGCTATAAGGAAATTATGACCTTTGGCGTTCCTGTGTGTGCTCTCATTCCTTCCACAACTACTCTTAATAGCTGTACTTATTGTGCAGTAATAATTCCAAATACATCACATAAATTATATCATGAAATCTGTAAAAATGCATTAAAATCACAAGAAGACACTGAATTCTAGGAGAACAAAGTATCTTATTCCTCATATGGCAGAGCACTGATTTGTTTTTAATCTGTCTACTCAACAACACTGTAGTATATTTTATTACCTGCAATATATGCTATTGTTTTATTATTGCTAAGGATAATTTTTCTGTGATCTCTTTCTGATGGTCCCCCTGTGAAATAATCACTAATCCTAAACATTAAAAACAATAAGTTCTTTGAAAATAATATTAAAACATGCATATCATCTTATTAACTAAGTTTTGGTATTTATTTCAACTTCTTTTATTATATTTTAACGTTAGATTAGTGCATCACCAATGTATTTTGGTTTCTATAGCAATGCTCATCTCCAAAATGATGTACGTAGTTAACGTCATAAATTTAAAGATGAGCCCACATTAAACAAGATAGAAGATAGGAAAGAGAACAATATTCGTGTCCAAAGACACCTTCAAGCCTCTTTTACATTTAGTTGCCTTCTGACTAAAATACTATGTACTGAAAATTTTTTGGAAACACTTCAGGTAAATTATGGGTGATTTATCAATTTAATTTTGATAAAATCGTCTGTACATTAAATTTTTTAAATAGATCTTTAAAATACATAGTTTATTTGGCATGTAATATTTAAAAAATAGTAATATCCTAGCTGCATTTCTTGATCATTTTTATTATTGTCATACTAATAGAAAAAGGTTAAAATTGTCACAGCAAAGACAGGCCACTGTATTCTTTCATCTCTTAAGGTATAATTGACTTCTTATAGGAAGATTTGTAATCTATATAATCAAAATATTAAAATGAAGTCATCTCCTTGATTTAACAGTTCTCAAATGAAGCAAATGTCAAGTACATTTTTTAAGTGTACAGATATTTTAATACATCCCTAAAGTTTTTTCAAAAATATATGACCAGGGTACTGTTATCACACATAATACAAATTATTTTACAACCTTGGGCAACGTAGAAAACCCTGCCTCTATGAAAACAAAACAAAAATTATTCAGGTGTGGATATATGAGCCTGTAGTATCAGCTACTTGGAAAGATAAAATACCATTTATTTGACTAACTTTGATATTTGATTACACTTTCCTCATTATACTGTTCAATTTAGACTAGCACATCAATGATGTCTTTTAGTTTCTAGAGTAATGTTTATGCCTGAGATTATGTATAATAATCACCTCAGAAATCCATATTACTCATCATCAAATAAGCATTTTTATTATCAAATAAACCTTTTAATCACTGACAAAAAAGTACTGCTTCCTAGTCCTGCAAGATAAAATATATATGATATACTTTTATATAAATATATAATCTATAACTTCATGTAATATACACATAATTTTTGCAAGCCTGAATGTAATCTCATAGATTTTGAGCCTCTTACAAAAGTGACCAATAACACTTGGTCCGTGTTTAGATTTGAAAAATCTCAACTAGGCCAGGCCCTGTCACTCACATGGATAGCCTTAGCACTTTGGGAAGCCAAGGGAGTCAGATTACTTGATTTCAGGAGTTCAAAACCAGCCTGTGCAACATGGTGATATCCCATCTCTACTAAGATGCAATAAATTAGCTGAGTGTAATTGTCTGCACTAGTCCCATCTATCCGGGACACTAAGGCGAAAACATCACCTGAGCTGTAACCGTGTTGCTGCATTGCAGACTGAGTAATGAAGAGAAGCTGTGCCACACAAACACACACAACCACACATGCACACAAAACCACACACACACACAGAGAAAGAGTTTAGTGTTCTTTCAAGAAGGTATTTCTTAGATAGCTCAGAGGTAGGAAGAAAAAGGGATCTTCTGATTTCTGGGCTGTCTTCTGTTTTACTCACAGTAGTTCCCTTTCTATGTATTAGCATATCACTTAGATTTCCTTTAAAAGTCTTTAGTGCACGTGTAATTAACTGACTGCCCATTATAGCTTTCAGTAAAAGTTTCCAAATTTCATAGCTAAACTGTAAACCTAGGTTATAAATATGATTTGCATATATAATTCTAATTTACATATTTCAATTCTTTATCTGCACACGTCCCTCACTCTCATTTTTTCTTGTGTCAACAATTTATTTTCATTAGCTTTCTCTACTCAAAACATTTCTTTTTCTGCAATCTAGTCAACATTTCTGTTCTTGTTCTCTCAAATTATTATAACTCTTTGAGCTTCTGTCTTCAAAACTTTCACTCAATAATTTATGTGTGCATGCATCTATATGTGATCATCTGCTATCACTTGGCACCAGGGCCTGTTTTTGTGAAAGACAAGATTTTCATCAACTGGGGTTGTGGAGACAGTTTTTGGAAGATTTGAGTACCCTCCATTGATTTTGCGCTTTATTTGTCTTATTATTACATTATAATATTTAACAAAATAATTATACATCTCACCATAATGTAGACTCGGTGGGAGCCCTAAACTTATTTTCCTGTAGCTAGATGGTTCTATCTGTGGGTGATGGGAGACTGTTGCAGGTGATCAGTTGTTTTGATTCTTATAAAGAGTGCAAAACGTAAATTTCTCTCAAGTGCAGTAAATAGTAGTTCCCTCGCTTCTATAAAAATCGGATGCTGCCACTGATCTTCAGAAAGCGGATCTCAGGCAGTACTGTGAACCATACTTAGTGTTTTAAATAGAGATAAGGTTTCCATGCTTGGCCACCACTCACCTGTTGATGTGTAGCCCCAGTTCATAACAAGACGCAGATGGATACTGATTAGGGAAACCCCAGCTCAAGCCAAAGAGTTTGAGACCACAGTGAACTGGAATTGTGCCACTGCATTTTAGCTTCAGTGACAAAGAACCTGTCTTCACAAATAAAAGTAAAAAATACATTTTATAATTTGTATTTTAAATAATATCTTTTGATACAAATGTGAGAAATCTTTTACAACTTTAAATGTGGACATGAACAGTCTTCAAAATCTTCTTCATTCTGTGGAACAGTGTATCAAATTGAATGTGCAAATGCACATCATTGTAAAATGTGATAAAAAGTTTGTTTTGTTCAGTTTTGAAAAAAATAATTATCTCATTGAAAACAACCAGAAGACAATTAGAAGTGTTTGTGCTCATCCACAAAATTAACTTCTGCTTTCTCTTTAGTATTTGCACGGTATCAGAGAGGTAGTCAAGATGATAACTGGCTTAAAGGAGAATGTTATTGACAAAATCGAATGACTGACTAGGAAAAAAAAAGTTATTCTCATTAGGTGAATAATTTGAGATGTAAAATAATCTCCCAGATTGTTTTCATCTCTACTCTAAAATAAATTGCATTTTAATGATTGAATCTTGAAGAGTTGGTAGAAGAAAGCATTATTCTTTTTCTACTATAAAAATCTCTTGAAGCAAAAATGTTCCTTCATTTTATGGGCTTCCAACAGATTTTAACGACCACTTGTAGTTTCACAAACAGGTCTCTTTCTTTAGGCCTAACCAGCTAATTTTATTTCTTTGCAATTTGACTAGGATATATAATGGTAAAATGTCTTTGAAGATATTATATATTAAATGACAGGTATGTCTTTCTTGACCTTCATAACATCTCACCTCCAAGCTGTCTGCATTATCTTGCACTTAGCTGCCATTTAAATTGTGGTTTATTTTTAACAGCATACTGCCTGCTATTTTCACCTCTGAGACTTGGAACAATTTCTTTTCACCCTGCCTGCCACTCTTAATTCACACCGTTTAAAGTATTATGTATAGGTTTTACCTTTTCATAAGACAGAGAGTCCAGCTTTGCCAACAGGGTGAAGCCCCATCTCTACTAAAAATATGAAAATTAGCCAGGCGTGGCGGCAGATGCCTGTAATACTAGCTACTGGGGAGGCTGGGACAGGTGAATCGCTTGAATCTGGGAGGTCTAGGTTGCAGTGAGCCTAGATCCTGCCATTGCACTGCATTCTAGGTGAAGAGAGTGAAACTGTCACACAAAAAGAAAGGACAGTGAGGATTAAATTTATTAATATGTGTGCAGCTCTTAGTGTATTACCTTGACTTTAAGCACTATAAGTATTAACTGCTATCATTATTGCTTACTTTGTATCTTCAGTTTACTCACACCAAATTCTGCTTAATTGCATAAAAGAAAATATTAGAGAAGTAACACAGATAGTAGTGGCTATATGGAACCACATAGCCATCACTCTCTGTGTCAGTAATGTTTTCTGATTTGCAACAAATAAGAGACCTTTTGCATATAAAGGTTCTGCAAACAGATTTCCCTAGACATATATTAAAGTGTTTGAAAACAAAAACAAAAAAATCAATACTATGGTAAAATGTAACAAATTTAAAGTCATTAGAGTAAAATATCTGTCTACATAGCATTTACATTTTATTAATTATTTATGTAGAGATAAAGTAAACTACACAGGAGGATGGGTGTGCATTATACTTATGTACTGCATCATTATAAAGCAGAAGCTTGAGCAGACATACATTTTGGTATTTGAGATGTTTCTGGAGCCAATCCCCTACAGATACCAAAGGATTGCTATATATAAATATGTTAAGCTTTGATAAGAAAGTATTGCTTAAGTTAGTTATGGCATAATTACCATGATGATGTTAATGATTATTTACTTACCTTTTTATAAATAAATTAAAAAGATTATAAGCTTTAAAATTATCATTACATTGTTTTTGATATTTGCTGGGGAAATGAGAACATTTGTACATGGGGACACATTCTCTGTTTATGGTATGGTAACACAATTAAGCACTTGCTATTTAAATAATTTCCTTTTTTTGTTTTGTTTTGCAATTACCTATGCTCCTGTCACCAATCTAGTAAGTGTGTGTGTCAGGGAGAAAATTACATTTATTTCTGGGATTGAGGACACTATTTTCTTGTTTATTTAAATCATGCTGAAGGGATGAGATTTTTGCAGCTGACACTGTGTAAGTTAGCAGTGTATATTTGATTTTCAATGGATACATTTCTCAGACTGGGAAGGAAGCACTTTTGGTCAGATTTTTTGTTGGTTGCTAGGAGACCAAAATCCTCTTGTGATGTCATTGCTACTCACCTTGGGAACATCGTGATGGTCTAGATTTCTTTACCTGCCTAGGCCTTCTGAAGCAGCATTTGAAGCCGCAGTCTTGAAAACCATGCAGGCTGGAAGAGTAGCTAAAGAAATGTTTATTTGAGATGGCACATGTTTCTTCAGAAATTCAAGATGTTTCTCCCAAAGATTAGTTAACTGGTTCAGAAGCCTCCAGTAGGTCTCCGTTGCGACAGAATTTTCATTTTTTTTTTTTTTTTGAGACGGAGTCTCGCTCTGTCGCCCAGGCTGGAGTGCAGTGGCGCGATCTCGGCTCACTGCAAGCTCCGCCTCCCGGGTTCACGCCATTCTCCTGCCTCAGCCTCCCAAGTAGCTGGGACTACAGGCGCCCGCCGCTACGCCCGGCTAATTTTTTGTATTTTTAGTAGAGACGGGGTTTCACCGTTTTAGCCGGGATGGTCTCGATCTCCTGACCTCGTGATCCACCCGCCTCGGCCTCCCAAAGTGCTGGGATTACAGGCGTGAGCCACCGCGCCCGGCCTTTTAAGAAATGTTTATTTGAGATGGCACATGTTTCTTCAGAAATTCAAGATGTTTCTCCCAAAGATTAGTTAACTGGTTCAGAAGCCTCCAGTAGGTCTCCGTTGCGACAGAATTTTCAAAGATCTGCCTTTCTAGCCACCTTTCTGGCAGAAGAGAAAGAATCCGATGCCTTAAGCAAAGCATTTAACATATTTCAGTTACCACTCTATGTAAAGTATGTATGTAATTTTACTTTGAACATCAGTAAATATGTTAATACATGCAACAAGACCAGATGTTGAAAATTATATAAAATATTAAGGTAGAAATTATTTATTTTTTTGAAATTATTGAGTTCAGCTTGAGCATCAACCTTTCAGAGTTTTCAGAAATGTTGCTAAAACTTTGAATCTTACCAGTGAACTCCAAATAAATGTATCAAAGCCACTTAATGTAATGTTGCTATTAATATATAACATGTTTTCACCTGAGGGCTTAACAATTTGAGTGCTTTTTTTTCCCAACAAGCACTTTCTTAAAAATAGCAAATAATGTTCATGAATTATTTGATGTCATTAAGTTTGTGTGACGAAAGAGAAATCTGATATTTTATGTGTTATGTTTGTTATTGTCACTTGTCTCCCGGTTTAAAATGGCACTGAATTACCTTTTTCTTTGGTTTTAGTTAAAGTTTTATTATAATCCAAATTTCAAACGTGGCTGTCCCCAGCATTTAGTAAGGGTGAAAAGAAGAATTGGTGTTAAAAATGCTTCACTTATACCTACTTTATTCAATGAAGATTTCAACAAGAAGCATTTTAGATCAGGAGCTAACATTAACAGTACACACTTTTGATCTTACATTAAAGGATTCCAACATGTTTGTGCCTTTCATTACCTCCTGTTAGAGTCCATGTTTCATGTTTTCTAATGCACATTTCCTTGCTTCTTCTTTTCTTTGAGATAGTCTTACTGTGTTACCCTGGCTGGAGAGCAGTGGCATTATTTCAGCTCACTGCAACCTCAGCCTCTGGGTTCAAGTAATTACTGTGCCTCAAACTTTTGAGTAGGTAAAATTATATATGCCCACCAAGCTGGGCTAATTTTTGTATTTTTCGTAGAAACGGAGTTTCACCAAATTGGCCAGGATGGTCTTGAATTCCTGGCCTCACGTGATCCACCCACCCTGGCCCCTAAAAGTGCTGGAATTACAAGGTTGAGCCACCAAACCCCTCCTCTAATACAGATGTTCATCACATTGGTTTCATCTATACAAAGTCAGATTTCATGGCTTTTGTCAGGATTTGATACCTTTTAGATTCTGAATCCATATCCTCAGCATGGCTGAACAAATCCCTTCCAGACCTAATATTTATTTTCCTGTCAGCTTCATGTCTTTCTGTTTCACCACAGTCCAGTTGGAGCAACATCTGGACAACTCCACTTTCAGCCATGCCCTTTCCTATCTTGTAACTTGGGCCCCATTTTTTCTTGGAGATAAATGCTCTCTCCCGATTTGCCTACTTAAGACTCCTACAACACAGACATCACTCCTTCCAGGAGGTGCTTCTTATCTGTCACATTAGTTTTCTTGTCTGTCTGTCTGTGTCTCCTGGACACCCAGCACTGATGTCACACAGTACCTAATACATATATGTACATTTTTGTATTTATATATACACACACACACACACACACACACACACACACACATATGTATGTGAATTTGTGAATGTTGACTGTGGACATACAACCATAAAATCTATTTTCATTGTCAAAAATGAACATTATTGGTGTTGTGGTATTACTTGTTATTCTTCATTACTCACCACAACTTTTCATAAAAGGGTAGGTCAGAGTTTTGTTCACTAGAGGTGCAATAATTTTGACTTACTGAGATTAACATCCCTGGTTATCATTTCAACTATCACGCTTTCTTTTTCGGTATAGGTATGTTTTTTTATATATGTATATATTTGTATATTTTTTGTATATGTATTTTTTATATTTGTATATGTTTTATATTTGTATATTTTTGTTTGTATATTTTTGTATATTTATTTGTATATGTTTGTTATATTTTACATTTTTGTAAAAAATTTATTTATATATTTATATTTATATATATTGTAAAAAATATTTATATATTTATATATTATATTATTCATATATTATATATTTGTATAATGTGTATATATTATTTACATATTTGTATATTTTATTTTTTTATATTTGTATATTTTTATATTTGTATATTTTTTGTATATTTATTTGCATATTTTTCTAAATATATTGTATATATTTTTATATATATTTGTATATTTTATTATACTTTAAGTTCTAGGTTACATGTGCACAACGTTCAGGTCTGTTACATATGTATACATGTGCCATGTTGGTGTGTTGCACCTGTTAACTCGTCATTTACATTAGATATATCTCCTAATGCTATACCTCCCCCACCATTCCACAACAGGCCCCAGTGTGTGATGTTCCCTTTCCTGTGTCCAAGTGTTCTCAATGTTCAATTCCCACCTATGAGTGACAACATGAGGTGTTTGGTTTTTTTGTCCTTGCAATAGTTCCCTGAGAAGGATGATTTCCAGCTTCATCCATGTCCCTACAAAGGACATGAACTCATCACTTTTTATAGCTGCATAGTATTCCATGGTGTGTATGTGCCACATTTTCTTAATCCAGTCTGTCATTCATGGACATTTTGGGTTGGTTCGAAGTCTTTGCTATTGTGAACAGTGCCACAGTGAATACACACGTGTGTGTGTTTTTATAAAAGCATGATTTATAATCCTTTGGGTATATACCCAGTAATGGGATGGCTGGGTGAAATGATATTTCTAGTTCTAGATCCTTGAGGAATCACCACACTGTCTTCCACATGGTTGAAGTAGTTTACACTCCCATCAATTATGTAAAACTGTTCCTATTTCTCCACATTCTCTTGAGCACCAGTTGTTTCCTGACTTTTTCATGATTGCTATTATAGCTGGTGTGAGATGGTACCTCATTGTGGTTTTGATTTGCATTTCTATGATGGCTAGTGATGACAAGCATTTTTTCATGTGTCTGTTGGCTGCATAAATGTCTTGTTTTGAGAAAGTCTCTGTTCATATCCTTCACCCACTTTTGGATGGGGTTGTTTGTTTTTTCCTTGTAAATTTGTTTGAGTTCTTTGTAGATTTTGGGTATTAGCCCTTTGTCAGATGAGTAGATTGCAAAAATGTTCTGCCAGTCGTGTAGGTTGCCTATTCGCTTTGCTGGTACTTTTTTTTTTTTTTTTTTTTTTGGTCTGCAGAAGCTCTTTAGTTTAATTAGGTCTCATTTGTATTTTGGCTTTTGTTGCCATGCTTTTTTTGTTTTTGACATGAAGTCCTTGCCCATGCCTACATCCTAATGGTATTGCCTAGGATTTCTTCCAGGGTTTTTATGGTTTTAGGTCTAACATTTAAGTCTTTAATACATCTTGAATTAATTTTTGTGTAAGGTGTAAGGAAGGGATCCAGTTTCAGCTTTCTGCATATGGCTATCCAGTTTTCCCAGCACCATTTATTAAATAGGGAATCCTTTCCTCATTTCTTGTTTTTGTCAGGTTTGGCAAAGATCAGATGGTTGTAGATATGTCGTATCATTTCTGAGGGCTCTGTTCTGCTCCATTGGTCTATATCTCTGTTTTGGTACCAGTACCATGCTGTTTTGATTACTGTAACTTTGTAGTATAGTTTGAAGTCAGATAGCGCAATGCCTCCATCTTTGTTCTTTTAGCTTAGGATTGACTTGGCAATGAGAGCTCTTTTTTGGTTCCATATGAACTTTAAAGTAGTTTTTTCCAATGCTGTGAAGAAAGTCATTGGTAGCTTGATGGGGATGGCATTGAATCTATAAATTACCTTGAGCAGTATGGCCATTTTCACAATATTGATTCTTCCTATCCATGAGCATGGAATAAACTTCCATTTGTATGTTTCCTCTTTTATTTTATTGAGCAGTGGTTTGTAGTTCTCCTTGAAGAGGTCCTTCACATCCCTTGTAAGTTGGATTCCTAGGTATTTTATTCTCTTTGAAGCAATTTTACATGGGAGTTCACTCATGATGTGGCTCTCTGTTTGTCTGTTATTGGTGTATAAGAATGCTTGTGATTTTTGCACATTGACTTTGTATCCTGAGACTTTGCTGAAGTTGCTTATCAGCTTAAGGAGATTTTGGGCTGAGATGATGGGGTTTTCTAGATATGCAATCATGTCATTTGCGAACAGGGACAATTTGACTTCAGCTTTTCCTAATTGAATACCATTTCTTTCTTTCTCTTGCCTGATAGCCCTGGTCAGAACTTCCAACAGTATGTTGAATAGGAGTGGTGAGAGAGGGCATCCCTGTCTTGTGCCAGTTTTCAAAGGGAATGCTTCCAGTTTTTGCCCATTCAGTATGATATTGGCAGTGGGTTTGTCATACATAGCTCTTATTATTTTGAGATACATCCCATGAACACCTAATTTATTGAGAGTTTTTAGCATGAAGGCTGTTGAATTTTGTCAAAGGCCTTTTCTGCATCTATTGAGACAATCATGTGGTTTTTGTCTTTTTTTCTGTTTATATGCTGGATTGCATTTATTGATTTGTGTACATTGAACCAGCCTTGCATCCCAGGGATGAAACCAGCTTGGTCATGGTGGATAAGGTTTTTGATGTGTTTCTGGATTTAGTTTGTCAGTATTTTATTGAGGATTTTTGCATCAATGTTCATGTGGGATATTGGTCTAAAATTCTCTTTTTTTGTGTGTCTTTGCCAGGCTTTGGTATCAGGATGATGCTGGCTGCATACAATGAGCTAGAGAGGATTCCCTCTTTTTCTGTGGATTGGAACAGTTTCAGATGGAATGGTACCAGCTCCTCCTTGTACCTCTTGTAGAATTCGGTCGTGAATCCATCTGGTCCTGCACTTTTTTTGGTTGGTAAGCTACTAATTATTGCCTCAATTTCAGAGCCTGCTATTGGTCTATTCAGAGGTTCAACTTCTTCCTGGTTTAGTCTTGGGAGGATGTGTGTGTCAAGGAATTTATCCATTTCTTCTAGATTTTCTAGTTTATTTGCATAGAGGTGTTTATAGTATTCTATGATGGTAGTTTGTACTTCTGTGAGATCAGTGGTGATATCCCCTTTATCATTCTTTATTGCGTTTATTTGATTCTTCTCTCTTTTCTTCTTTGTTAGTCTTGGTAGCGGTCTATCAATTTTGTTGATCTTTTCCAAAAACCAGCTCCTGGATTCATTGATTTTTTGAAGGGTTTTTGGGTCTCAATTTCCTTCAGTTCTGCTCTGATATTAGTTATTTCTTGCCTTCTGCTAGCTTTTGAATATGTTTCCTCATGCTTCTCTAGTTCTTTTAATTGTGATGTTAGGGTGTGAATTTTGGATCTTTCCTGCTTTCTCTTGTGGGCATTTAGTGCTATAAATTTCCCTCTACACACTGTTTTAAATGTGTCGCAGAGATTCTGGTATGTTGTGTCTTTCTTCTCATTGGTTTCAAAGAACATCTTTATTTGTGCCTTCATTTTGTTATGTACCCAAGTAGTCATTCAGGAGCATGATGTTCAGTTTCCATGTAGTTGAGTGGTTTTGAGTGAGTTTCTTAATCCTAAGTTCTAGTTTGATTGCACCATGGTCTGACAGACAGTTTGCTATAATGTCTGTTCTTCTACATTTGCTGAGGAGTGCTTTACTTCCAACTATGTGGTCAATTTTGGAATAAGTGAGATGTGGTGCTGAGAGGAATGTATATTATGTTGATTTGTGGTGGAGAGTTCTGTAGATGTCTATTAGGTCTGCTTGGTGCAGAGCTGAGTTCAATTCCTGGATGTCATTGTTAACTTTCTGTCTCATTGATCTGTCTAATGTAGACAGTGGGGTGTTAAAGCCTCCCATTATTATTCTGTGGGAGTCCAAGTCTCTTTGTAGGTCTCTAAGAACTTGCTTTATGAATTTGGGTGCTCCTGTATTGGGCGCATATATATTTAGGATAGTTAGCTCTTCTTGTTGTATTTATCCCTTTACCATTATGTAATGGCCTTCTTTTTCTCTTTTGTTCTTGTTGGTTTAAAGCCTGTTTTATCAGAGACTAGGATTGCAACCGCTGCCTCTTTTTGTTTTCCATTTGCTTGGTAGATCTTCCTCCATCCCTTTATTTTAAGCCTATGTGTGTCTCTGCATGTGAGATGGGTTTCCTGAATACAGCACACTGATGGATCTTGATTCTTTATCCGATTTGCCAGTCTGCATCTTTTAATTGGAGCATTTGGCCCATTTATATTTAAGGTTAATGGTGTTATGTGTGAATTTGATCCTGTCATTATGATATTAGCTGGTTATTTTGCTCGTTAGTTGATGCAGTTTCTTCCTAGCATTGATGGTCTTTAAAATTTGGCACATTTTTACAGTGGCTGGTACCAGTTTTTCCTTTCCATGTTTAGTGCTTCCTTCAGGAGCTCTTGTAGGGCAGGCCTTGTTGTGACAAAATCTCTCAGCATTTGCTTGTCTGTAAAGGATTTTTTTTTCTTCTTCACTTATGAAGCTTAGTGTGGCTCGATATGAAATTCTGGGTTGAAAAATATTTTCTTTATGAATGTTAAATATTGGCCCCCACTCTCTTCTGGCTTTCAGAGTTTCTTTTGAGAGATCCACTGTTAGTCTAACGGGGTTCCCTTTGTGGGTAACCCGACCTTTCTCCCTGGCTGCCCTTAACATTTTTTCCTTCTTTTCAACTTTGGTGAATCTGAAAATTTTGTGTCTTGCAGTTGCTCTTCTCGAGGAATATCTTTGTTGCATTATCTGTATTTAATGAATTTGAAAGTTGGCCTGCCTTTCTAAGTTGGGGAAGTTCTCCTGGATAATATCCTGCAGAGTGTTTTCCAATTTGGTTCCATTCTCAACTTCACTTTCAGGTACACCAATCAGACGTAGATTTGGTCTTTTCACATAGTCCCATATTTCTTGGAGGCTTTGTTCATTTCTTTTTATTCATTTTTTCTCTAAACTTCTCTTCTCACTTCATTTCATTCATTTTATCTTCAATCTCTGATACCCTTTCTTCCAGTTGATTGGATTAGTTAATGAAGCTTGTGCATTCATCATGTAGTTCTCGTGCCATGGTTTTCACCTCCCTCAGGTTATTTAAGGACTTCTGCACATTGGTTATTCTAATTAGCCATTCAGCTAAACTTTTTTCAAGGTTTTTAGCTTCTTTGTGATGGGTTTGAACTTCCTCCTTTATCTTGGAGAAGTTTGATTGTCTGAAGCCTTCTTCTCTCAACTCATCAAAGTCATTGTCCGTCCAGCTTTGTTCCATTGCTGCTGAGGAGTTGTGTTCCTTTGGCGAGTGAGAGGTGCCCTGATTTTTAGAATTTTCAGGTTTTCTGCTCTGTTTTTTCCCCATCTTTGTGGTTTCATCTTCCTTTGGTCTTTCATGATGGTGATGTACAAATGGGGTTTTGGTATGGATGTCCTTTCTGTTTGTTAGTTTTCCTTCTAACAATCAGGACCCTCAGCTGCACATCTGCTGGAGTTTGCTGGAGGTCCACTCCAGACCCTGTTTGCCTGGTTATCAGCAGTGGAGGCTGCAAAACAGTGAATATTGCTGAACAGCAAATGTTGCTGCCTGATCATTCCTCTGAAAGTTTCATCTCAGATAGGTACCCAGCCATGTGAGGTGTCAGTCTGCCCCTACTGGGGCATGCCTCCCAGTTAGGTTACTTGGGGGTCAGGGACCCATGTGAGGAGGCACTCTGTCTGTTGTCAGATCTGAAACTTCGTGCTGGGAGAACCACTACTCTCTTGAAAGCTGTCTGACAGGGACATTTAAGTCTGCAGAGGTTTCTGCTGCCTTTTGTTTGGCTATGTCCTGCCTCCAGATGTGGAGTCTGTAGAAGCAGGCAGGCCTCCTTGAGCTGGGGTGGGCTCCACCCAGTTCGAGCTTCCTGTCCACTCTGTTTACCTACTCAGGCCTCAGCAATGGTGGGTGCCATTCCCCCAGCCTCACTGCCACCTTGCAGGTGGATCTCCAACTGCTGTGCTAGCAATGAGTGAGGCTCTGTGGGCATGGGATCCTCCGAGCCATGTGTGGGATCTAATCTCCTGGTGTCCTGTTTGCTAAGACCATTGGAAAAGTGCAGTATTAGGGTGAGAGTGACCTGATTTTCCAGGTGCCATCTGTCACAGCTTTCCTTGGCTAGGAAAGGGAATTCCCTGACCCCTTGTGCTTCCTGGGTGAGGTGATGCCTTGCCCTGCTTTGGCTCATGCTCAGTGCGCTGAACCCACTGTCCTGCACCCACTGTCTGACAAGTCCCAGTGATGTGAACCCCGTACCTCAGTGGGAAATGCAGAAATTACCCATCGTCTGCATCAGTCTTACTGGGAGATGTAGATTGGAGCTGTTCCTATTCCACCATTTTGGAAAAAAAGGTCTGGTTGTGATTTTTCCCAGCTTCTTCTAAAAATTATTTTTCATCTTCTGCTTTGACTGGCAGGTCCTTGCCTGAAAGAATAGCTTTATCTTTGCCACTCCTTCCTTTATTTGCTGTAGAGATTCTCAGTTGTTGTGCTGAAATGGCTTACACTGGGGATCCAGCTGCACAATTGTTCAGAAGGAGCATTCACTGTGGATTTGGTATATTATGCAACATTTGGTGTCACCAGCTAAGGCCTGACAAGATTCATCACTCAGTTTTCTGGGACAACTGAAATTGGAATGGAGTATGGATTTGGTCAGACAGATTCCTCAGTATGGAAACCTAGTGGTGCCATCTTACCCTATGCCTATATTTTCAGATTGTGCATAAGTAGAAGAAATTTAGAATCAATGCTATAAAAAGGGAATCCTGATTTCCTTTCCTGGCAGAGCATGACACAAGACAAAGATCATTTCACCTATGTCCACATACTATTAACTTTTTAGTTCTCACGCTGGATTTTCAGAGGGTAGTGCGATGGACATGGTTAAATAGTTAATATGAAGAATGTTTAAAAAAATTAGGCCAGTGGTGATGGCTCAGGCCTGTAATCTCAGCATTTTGGGAGGCTAAGATGGGTAGAACACCTGAGGTCAGTGGTTCAAGGCCAACATGGTGCAACCATATCTTTTCTAAAAAATCAACAATTGTGAAGCCTGGTGATGTGTGCCTGTAATCCAAGCTAGTTAGGAGGCTGAGGCAGGAGAATCACTTGAGCCTGGGAGGTGGAGGTTGCAGTGAGCTGAGATCCTGCCTTTGCACTCCAGCCTGTGTGATAGAGTAAGACTTCATCTCAAAAGAATGGACAACAATAAAATGGATAATGCCAAATAAATAAAAAGTGAAAAGATTAACTTGGGTGAACCCCAAGACAACAAAGAAAAAAGAAAATGATATTTTAGAAAGTGAGGATAAAGTAATGAAAGATGGACTGAGACAGATTAAAATGAGGAATACATTATTGTAAATTTAAGGCCAGAATAATGCAAGTGTCAAAAAAACAACAAAAGCAACAATAAAACAAGCACAGGGAGGGGTAGAGAGAGGGTGAATGAGGAAAAAGAGAAAGCAAATGCAAAATGTAAAGTAATCAGCATGATTAGAATATCTGTTCATTCCCACTCTCTGCAAATTCTTTGTATTTTGAGGAACATCCTGACAAGATTTTAATGTAATCAATCACGGAGTAGTCTAACCCAGAAAATATCCTAGCTTCCTCTAGGATTCAAAGACCTTGTACCTTCTTAGGTATTCTCTCTCCATCTAGGTTAAACTAAACTGTTTCAACAACAAAAACTACTTTGAATTTTCTGCCCAAAAGGAACATCACGGACGTTCTTCATCTTGGGTCATCACTTGAGTAATGAAGTAGATGGAGCAAATGTACTTTCCCCCTTACATAAATACAATTAATAGCACCACATAATGTATATAAAGCAAACATAAGACTGAAGGATGGAGCAAGAAGATAAACGGGTGAGGAAATTTAAGATGCAACAAGTGATAAGATGGTTGAGTTTCCTGGATTCTTTTTGCCTGGTGTTATCACAGACTTGATCCTAATGGAGCTGGTACCCAAAAATGTAAATAAGTACAGGCAAAAAGTTCTCCCAAAACCCAACTTCTATAGCCACATGGCTAGGAAAGGGACACCTTACAAAGAGAAAAATATTTTTACAATAGCCTTCCTACTTTAGTCAAACATTACAACAGAAAACAAAGCAAACCAAAAAAGCTAGCCAGGACAACAATGTTTAAGTTGAAACATAGAGAGCACCAGGCAGTAATGAGGCACCCCAACCCTCTGCTGGAGTGGAATCACATAAGGGAAAGTAGAGAGTTAGAGTTTTCAATGCTGCCATATGGGGACACCCTTCTGCTTCTAGCCAGGGAGGTACAAGTAACACCCAGGTTGAAGCTGGAATCTGCATATTTTTTTATCAGTAGCTAGAAGGGCTGCCTTGGATGTCAAAGGAAGTGAAGAAGAGAATTTGGAATTGTGCCCTTCCTTTACAAGCATACACTTTCCTTTGTTATGGTGGTATCAGACAAAGCCAGCTACAAATGAACAAATAGGATGTCATAATATGGTTCAGAGTTTCCTAACATTTCCTCAAATGTTTAACTTTCAAATAAAAATCTCACACAGAAATGTTAGTGCTACTGTTAAAGGATCACTATGGTGTCAGTTTTTCTTGCCAGAAACTTCTGTGGCCATGATGCCTTTGCTTGACTTCTTGTCCTGTTTGCAGGAAGAATGAGGTACACAGACAGGTGAAGGGTAAAGAAGAAGCAGAGTTCTATTTGGCATTAAAACGGTTCAAAGTGTTGGGATTCCTTCAGTACGGTGGCAGAAATATGAAATGGAAATATTATGGAAAGGTATAGGGAATAGTCACAAACTTTTTGGAAGGCCGAAAGATTACATAGCTTGTAATAATTGAACAATTATTCAATTGGAGGGAGGTCGACCAAGGATATTGCCCCATACTGTAATTTACTTTAGACCACGGTACCTGAGCTTTAATCATTCATAGGTCTACTCTCTCAGCCAGGTTAATTATCCACAAGTGTGCTGACTCAAAGCTTCTGTTGTTAATTGTATACTAAATAAATGCCTGGAGTGCGAGCTGCTCAGGGCCGGCCTCAGTAACAAACTTTTCTTGTCATGCAGGTGCTCAGACATTCAGCTAGACTGGCAAAACAGAGTATCTATGTGCTAGTGTGTGGTTTATCCATCTGCAATTTGGGTCAGGGTCTGCGGGCAGACCCCTGAAGCTAGTGCCCTCTTGTGAGGAGCAATACCTCACAAAGGAGTGGGTAGCTCTCCTCTATAGGCAGGTCTTCCTATGGTGTGTTCACTCTAGAGAGAGAGGCTCCTCTCTGTCGGCAAGTCATTTAGATGTCTCTGCAGGTCTGTGAAGCTCTCTGTTGCAGCTGCTGCTCTCAGCGGAGAGGGTACTGCTCTCCTCCCGTTGTCTACAGCAATCAGCAAGAAGGGTACTCCTTTCTTTAGCAGACTGGCTTTTGAATGTCTTCATAAGATCCTTCACAGAGCAGCAGTTTTTAATTTTGATTTGATACAGTTAATCTTTTTTTTTACTTTTATGGCTTATGCATTTGGTATCAAATATAATAACATTTTGCTACAACTAAGAAGCTTGAATTTTTTTACGTTCTTTTTTTCTGAAAACGTTTTATAAAATGTGTTGTAATTTTATATTACATTGAAATTCATGAGACATTTTGAGTTAATTTCTGTAGTATAAGATTTATGTTATGGCTTTATTTCTTAAATTTATAAATATCCACGTGCCCTGGCACCATTTGTTTAAAGGCTGTTTTTCCTCCACTGATTTCTGCTTGCCAGATTTGTGTCATATCACTTGGTCATATCCACACCAGTGTGGCTCTATTCCTGGGCCTTCTCTTCTGCTCCATTTTTATATGAATCTATTTCTATGCCAATACCAAACTGTTATGTTCATTTTAGCTGTGTAATAAGTCTTAGAAATGTTGATGAATTTCTCCCACTATATACTTGTATACTCATAATTGTCTTAGCTATCATGGTGAGTAAGTTTGCTTTGTCTGCAAAAATTCTTGCTGAGATACTGATAGGAATTTCACCAAATATATAGATCAAGCTGGGGAAAATTAACAGGATATATTGTCTTCATATCCATGAACACAGTGTATCTCTCATTATCTCTATTTGATTTCTTTCACCAGTGTTTTACATGTTTCAGCACATAGATCTCATACATGTTTTCTTTTGTTTAAATGCATATCAAAACATTTGATGTTCTTTGGAGCAGTTGTAGATCATACAGTTGCTAATTTGGGGTCCTGTTGACCTGCAGTGTGGGAAAATAGCAGAGTGCTAATTAGTTTGGATTTACTTCAGTTGTTCAGTTCCTAGGAGGGTGGGTGGTGGTAGATGGTTAACTCTCCACTAAAGCCCACTGACAGGATAGAATAGAGGAGGGTGGTGCGGAGACAGTCAAACCACACAGTGCAATCAGTCCTAATCAGCTCTAGCCCTTTAAAAATTGTTGTTGTTGAGTCAACCTAGATGATCAGCTTGCTACCAGAGACTCCTGACATAAGGGAATTGGAATGCTCTCCTCTGCTTTCTCCGGGAGGGTGATAGAAGATTCCCTCTGGCCAGATGTGGTGGCTCACGCCTGTAATCTCAGCATTCTGGGAGGACGAGGCAGGTGGATCACCTGAGGTCAGGAGTTCAAAACCAGGCTAACATGGAGAAACCCCGACTCTACAAAAAATGGAAAATTAGCTCAGTGTGGAGGCACATTCCTGTTATCTCAGCTAGTCAGGGAGCTGAGGCAGGAGAATTGCTTCAACCCAGGAGGTGAAGCTTGCAGTGAACTGAGATTGCATACCATCGCACTCCAGCCTGGTCAACAAAAAAGAAACTCCAGCTCAAAAAAAAAAAAAAATTGCTGCCTACTTTGACTTTATGGAGAATCAAGCATTACTGCCCCGTGAGAAGATTGTCTTTGTATATGGCTCCACACAAATGGCAATACTAGCTTTTTTTTTTTTTTTTCTCGTAGCGTTTGTCTGGAATAGCTTGGTTATTACCCCTAGAAATGTTTTGTGTGATTGTGTATGGTTAGGCCATCCTCTCCTGGTCCTTTGGCTGAGAGAGAACAGGATTTGCTTGAAGTCCTTTTTATCTGTGCCTATTGGAGATTCTGTGTTGGAAGCTTCTACAGTCCATCATCTGTGATATATGGAAGAAAATAGGAAAACCCAGAAAAGTGACAATGTTATCAATCTTTAAGTCCTAAAGTCCCTAGACAAACTGCCTTCCTCTTTCTGCCTTTCAGAGCCTGTCCTTGTTTTTTTCTCGTTATATCCATGGTGTTTTAGTTGTTTAGAGGAAACACTGGGCTGTTGCATCGTAACTGGAAATCCTAGGAAGTGAATGGTTGAGAACGGCTTTGAAAGTTCCATGCAAACCAAATCTCATAACGCAAAACATGGGAAGATATGATTATAGAGAATGACATGATATGATTTACCTACAATAAAGTGGTTTTATAAAATAAAGTCTTCACCAAAATTAAATATTCTTAGAGAAGTCTGCTGAGATCAGCTAGGTCGTGAAGACCTTAACCCAGTGGCACTAGAGGAATTAAAGACACACACACAGAAATCTAAAGTGCAGAGTGGGATCAGTGGGCTGACAGCCTTCAGAGCTGACAGCCATGAACAGAGTTTTACCCACATATTTCTTGACAGCAAGCCAGAGATCAGCGTTGTTTCTATAGATTATAGATTCAGTAAAATGGAAGACAAAGGGAGGGGTTCTCGTTAGTTATCTGCAGCAGGAACATGTCGTTGAGGCACAGATCACCCATGATATTATTTGTGGTTCAAGAACACCTTAAGTGGTTTTCTGCCCTGGGTGGGCCAGGTGTTCCTTGCCCACATTCTGGTAAACCCACAACCTTCAGTGTAGACGTCATATCTATTTTGAGCATGTCATAGTGCTTCAGAGATTTTGCTTATGGCCAGTTTTGGGGCCTGTCGATGGCCAAATTTGGGGGCCTTTTCCCAACATGTCTTCTTTTTTTGTTTTTCTAAGACAATAAAAGCAAATGCAGCTTTACTACTCTGAGCTACTTCTCGCAGGAGTCGGGATCTGCATCTGCAGACTATACAAAGACAAACAACAGAGGCTAAAAGCACAATCATCATTAAAATCACAGAACCTCCAAGAGTTCTTATCCATTTTATTGGATTAGTAGCTGCTAATCCATCTGCAGCTCCTTCAAGTACCCCTGTTCCTGGCATTAAGGTTAAGTGTGCCTGGGATACTTCAAATAATTGTTATTTTAATTTACAATATCCAAAGACATGTTCATAGAGTGTCCTTCTAGATGCTTTTTTATTCTTTCTCAAATGTTTATACTACGAAGAGCCATTAATAGGTTCCACAAATCCTTATTTTTAGCTCCTAGAGCGAGCCATATCATTTGAGGTTGAGGTGCCATTATACCGCCATGTTTCCAGAGGAACTCTTGCGGTACTTCTTACCATTTTTACCATCTGATGGCTTTGTTCAGACCAGCTGAACATAATGTGGCTGTGGCACATAGACTGAGAGTTGCAATTTAAGGTAAACATCCCCTTAGGGGGCCAAACAATAAGGATTCCCTAGGAATTGTTACACAGCACCTCAGTCTGTTCTGCAATGCAATTTTCCCAAACAAGTACATTCATTTTCTCTGGCCACGTCCAGCTCTGTTTACAAACAGGTTTTTAAGGGTGGTATGCCTCAATTATAGGAGCAGATTTATTATGAAATATACTGAGACCAGAAAGCATGTGTGTCAGCATGGACAGGACTGTGTCAGTTCTGTTAAAGAAATACTCATGGCAATGGTGATCACCGCTTTGATAGCTATCATTAAATTACTCACTGGGACTGGTTGTCCCACCTCAGATTTTCTCTCACCATCTGTGACAGCTTCTTGATCTGTCCTCAGGTGGGTGGCTGCTTTTGATGGGTGTTGCTCATGATATTTGGGGTCCTCCTCAGGGTCAACTTAGACAAGACTGCCACCGATGTGTCTTTGGAATCCTCTCAAAACCACTTTCTTGGTATCTGGCTCATAGCAGGGCTTTAGATGTCTCAATGGCATGCACATTGGCAGTTGATTTGGTACTGGAGAAACACAAGCATAACCTCCACTCGATGTTATTATTTTACCTATTTCCCAACTTTCCATTATTGGATCTCTCAACCAAACCAGTTTTTCTGCTTCTATCTTTGCAGCTGGCTTCTGTAGATGCTGTTTGGCTGCAGATAGCATCTGGTCCTAGACAAGCTCAAAAAATTTAGAGTAAATCATGCTAGATTCAATTTCATATGTGGCATCCCACAGTCCCTGTTTCCACCTTTTGCTTTTGCAACTGTTGTTTAAGGAAGAGATTCATTCTTTCCACTATGGCTTGTCCTTGAAAATTATATGAGATACCAGTAATGTGTTTAATATTCCATATAGAGAAAAATGTAGCTAGAACTTGGCTACTATAGCCTGGGTCACTGTCCTTTTTAAAGAAGCTGGAATGCCCATCACCACAAAACACTGCAAAAGGTGACATTTAACACAGGCAGAAGACTCTCTTGATTGGCAAGTAGCTCAGACAAAGTGAGAAAATGTGTCCACACATACATGTATATAAGCTAGTCTCCCAAACAAGGGAAAATGTGTGACATTCATTTGCCAAAGAGAATTAGGTCCCAATCCTCGAGGATTAACTCCTCCTGTAAAAGATGAGGAATGCACCATTTGGCAAGTTGGGTATCGCTGGATAATAGCTTTCACTTCTTTCCAGATAATGCTGTACTGTGTTTGAGACCAAAAACATTAACATGGGTTGAATTGTGAAAGTGTCTGGCATTAGATATTGTAGTAGCAACTGGCGGATCAGCCATTTGATTCCCTGCAGTCAAATGTCCTGGAGGAGGTTTATGAGCTCTAATATGAGTAATGCAAAAAGGGTTCATTCTACTTCTAGCTGCTGTGTGTAATTGGGTAAATAAAGTCATCAGTTGCTCATCTGTGTGGAATCATAGCTGAGCATTTTCAAGTAACTGTGTAGAATGAACCACATATGAAGAATCAGAAATCACATTTATAGGCATACTAAAACAAGTCCATACCTCAATTACAGCTGCAAACTCCACCTTTTGAGATGAAATATAGGGCATTTCCTGAGCTGGAAATGCCCTGGTTTAGAAAGCGGACTGGGACGGCCCCTCCTGGCATTTCCCAAAATCAGGTTTCCATCTTTATCAAACTTAGAGTGACACTGATTATCCGAGTAATTTTCTTTTTGCATTTTGGACATATTCCAGGCTCAGCAGTTTTCCTTTTATCCCTCAACTTGTGGCCTGACTCACTGATTTTTTTCACATTCTTTTCCAGTGTGACCATGCTTCCCACAGTTAAAACAAGCTCCAGGAAATGGAGTATTTCCTTTACCCACTTTCAGTCCTGTCATGGCTTGCACCACCAAAGTAGCTTTATGCAGATTACCTCTGATACCATCACAGGCCTTGATATAGTCAATTAAATGTGCTTTCCCTCTAATAGGTCACAGAGCCACCTGGAAATATGGATTTTCATTGTCGAAAGCTCATAACTGCAACACTATATCCTCAGCAGCTAAATCTGCAGTCATTTTTTAAGAGACTCTTATAACCAAGCTATAAAATCTGCATATGGTTCTTTTGGTCCCTGTTTTATAGCACTAAAGGAAAGATATTGTTCTCCTCCTGAAGTTATTTTTCCAAACTCTAATGCATACTCCTCTAAGCTGTTCTATGGCATCACCCAGCATGACCACTTGTGCATCCAAACCAACGCAGCTGCCTACCCCCAAAAGATGGTCTGTAGTTATATTAATTTGAGGTTGGGCCTGCGCATTGTGAGAAGGCTGAAAAAAGCTTCTTCTCCTCACCAAGTTTTAAACTGTAAAAAGTGAGCGAGAGTCAGGCAAGCTCACGTAAGAGCATCCCATTCAGTAGGAATCATCTGACTGGGGACAGCAACATTCTTTAACAGTACCATTACCAAAGAAGAACCTGGTCCATATTGATTAATAGCTGGTTTAAATTCTTTGAGTAATTTAAAAGGAAAAGGCTCAAAAGTAGTGATAATATTTCCCTGTTGACCTGGGGCATGTATCCTAACAGGGAGCTGCCAAGCCTCTATATCACCCTCTCGTCTAGGTTGCTGAATTCCTGCCTGAATAGAACGAAGAGCAATTGCTCATGGCACTGCTTGAACAATCATGGGGCAACTAGTTTTTGGTCAGTGGGTTCCAGAAAAGAAAGATCTACAGGGTCAGACCACTCTTTTTCTTCAAAATAGTGAGGGAGTGAAGAAGGGCAGAGACAAACCTCTCTCTCCTTTGCCACTTTAGCTTTAGCTGGCAAACAAACCTGTTCTGTCACCTCTTCTGTTACTTTGCTATACTCTCCTTCCTCCTAATCATCAATGTGAAAATGTTCCAAGGTGGAACAAACCAGAACCTGGACTTGTCCCATTGTTAACCTGATGCTTCCAAACTCCCCTTCTAACTCACTATGGCGATTGCTTAAGAGTAGCCAGATGTCCTCCAGTGTAGTCCTACATTCTCCAACCATTGCTCCTGTGACCTTTGACCTGGATTTGAGACCCCGTATAGTCACCACTTGCCGAGGCCAGCTCGGTCATGGAAACCATAACCCAATGGCACTAGCGGCATTAAAGACACACACACACACACACACACACAAATATAGTGTGCACAGTGAGAATCAGGGGGCTAACAGCCTTCAGAGCTGAGAGCCATAAACAGAGTTTAACACACATATTTATTGACAGCAAGCCAGTGATAAGCATTGTTTCTATAGATTACAGGTTAACTAAAACAGGAGACAAAGGATGGGCTCTGGCTAGTTATCTGCAGTGGGAAAGTGTCTTTGAGGCACAGATCGTTCATGGTATTATTTGTGGTTCAGGAATACCTTCAGTGATTTTCTGCCCTGGGTGTGCCAGGTGTCCTTGGCCTTCATTCTGATAAACAACCTTCATTGTAGTCATCATAGCAATCAGAAGCATGTCACAGTGCTATAGAGATATTGCTTATGGCCAGTTTTGGGGCCAATCTATGACCAGATTTTGGGGCCTGTTCCCAACAAAGCCTTTATAATATATGTAAAATAGCCAATGATTTAGAGCATATTAATAATATAGATCAATGAAAAAATTATAAAATACATATCCTACCCTTCAAAATAAAACAAAATTGGGAAGACTTCCAGAAAATATAAGCAAAAATGTGTTCTTCCTCAAATGCTGAAGGGTTATAGTAGAAAGACCTTTGTCAGAGATTTTATTTGTTAAGTGACAAATGATTTAATAGAAATCAAGCGTTTATTTTTCAGTTCACTGGAGCAAAGTTAAAAGCTGCAAAAACAACTCCTATGAAAGCCAGAGCTTCTAAGTGTAAGATAAAATTTTAAAAAAGAATAACACACTGACTATCAAGAAAAGAAACATCCCTGAGGTTTGGACTCCAGCAATATTAGTGTGAGAATAAACCTGACAGTTCATTGATACAGTAAACTGAGGAGTAAATTTAGATATATTTTCAGGAAAGAGACCATTTCTGTGTCCAGTGGGGTTGGGCACCCTGCCTAAATAATTGGTGGAAGAAAGCATGATTCAGACATTTTGGTAAAATACTTAAGTCAGTACAGAGAGTCATGTCTCACAGATACTAGGATCTAACACAGAATGAGGTTTGTATTCAAATACATGAGAGAAAGATTTATATCTCAACCTCTATCCTGTGGTATATTCAAGACTGAGGTTAGATTGTTTCATGTTGCCTACAAAATATAAGGTCCCCAAAGGCAGAAATGGGTATACAATACTAGATTGAACAATTAAGTTCCTAAAAACCTAAAAAGGTTAACACAAAACTGCCCCACTAAGAATCACTTTACACTCAAGAACTAAAGATTGCTTTATCACTTCACAGACGACATTAACAATTCACAGATGGATGTTCCATGTCCTAAGGGGTAGCAAAGGAAGACACACTTAATGGTCATACTCAAGGATAAAAAGTTGAATCAAAAAAGTCTTCATAATGAGTAGGTTTAGGAGTTCTCTGAGATGAAGAAATGGAATCTAAAGGAAAAAAGATGTGGGTAGGAGGAAAAAAATAATCTTTTTTAAATAGACAATTATACATTATTGAAAAATCAACCATATATTAAAGGAACTCAAATAATATTTTGTTTGTTTGTTTCTTCTGCAGTAGACCCCGAACAAGTACAGTAGGAAAAGTACTTTCCTATGTTGATCTGTAGTAAGTTTGCCAGGTGCAGGGACATAACATTTCAATTTAAAATTTGATTACTTTTTGACAAACAATAAAGAATTTGTTTTCAGTATGAGCCTGTCCCATGAGATAACGAGAATTTTAGTAAGTTACTAGAATATTGAGAATTATACTAAAATGCTATTTGCTTATTTAAAATGAAAATATAACTGGTAATCCTGTATTATACCTGGTGACCGTAAATGAAACAGAAGTCAGGAAAGTGGAACTCAGTGGTGGAAGGTTTTATATACATTTACAAGAAACAAAAGAAGACAAAAATATACAGAAAGGGAAACACACAGATTTTGAAAATAATCTCTACAGAAAATATTTATCCACATAAAATATCATTTACTAGAAACATATTTTTAACTCTCAAAGATTATGCCAATATTAAAGACTTATCAAAAGACCAAGAGAAAGAAACATAAAGCTTATTTTATTTTAGCAAAGAGAAAAATAAATCTCAAAATAAAAGAGGTAGGCAGGAAGTTTTTGTTTGTTTGTTTGTTTTGTTTTCTGAACGGGGCTAGACATAGGTTTTACTTTGTTTAAAAAATGCTATTGAATTTTTTTAATTTGATTCTTTAATTTTTTTAATTTGATTTTCTGATTTTTTTAATTTGATTTTTGAATTTGATTAACTACAGAAACTGTAGAAATTTGGTGATTAATGTCAAAAGCACAAAAAGAAAAAAATACGAGTAAGAAAAGTAAATGAATACAATTAGAAAAACAGGTGACGGGTGGGGAAAGGGAGAGAAGAACAAAGGCAGATAGGAGGCAAAGGCAGAGCCAAAGAAAATCTAGGGTAAATGAAAAACTGACTGAGCAGGTGTTAGTTATTTAGATAAGAGAGTAACCATATTAGATGTAAGCTGTTTAAACTCATGTGTTAAAATATAAAATACTCTACCGTTAGATTGATAAAAATTTGCTTTCACCTAGGAATAATCACACTGAAATATTGAAAATAAGGATTTAGAAAAAATTAACAAGTATTTATCCAAAAAAATTAGGCCACTGTTATTATATAAGGAAAATGAGAATTTTAGAAAAAATGCAAGGAATAAAGATGGAGAACTATAGATGCAAGGCAACAGACAAAATATGAAACATCAAAATATTAAAAAATTTTAAAGATAATATAACAGTCACAAACATAAATTCCTCAGTAGCATTATCACAATATACATCTGAGGCAAATTTTATGAATATCTATTTATATAGACAAGCCCCAATTGTAGTGAGATGTGTTATATATGTGACTCATCTAGACTAATGAGTATACAGACATTTAGTCATCAATAGAAACACTTTGCAATGTTTGTGTACTTACTTTTCTTCAGTTTCAAAATGTGAAGCCAAGTAGTAGAGCATGTTTTCAGAATTTCACAGCTCTGCAATAGAGCAAATATTAATACAGAATAACACTTTTCCCCTTCAACGTCAACTCCATCTAACCTAACTAGCATGATGCTTTGCCTTCTCACATGCTCTCTAGACATCCTACTCACCCTTCTTTTCTAGATCCACATTCTCATGATACTGTCTTCTAACAGAGCTTACTTGGATGCCAACACAATGCAGGCTTGTGAAGATATCCAAGCAAAGAAGGAACAGGAACTGCAAGATATCAAGTCGTAGTAAAATGAATAACTCAATTCTTACACATAAATATTTGGCAGAGTGTTTCAGCTGAAGCATTTACAGCTCTGACAAATCATCACATGGCTGCTCTGCAGTAAACATATGTATTCCACCAAACTAATGTAAATGTTCAAATACCTCACTTTCTATCTCAAGCTACTGGGATGTATCTCCAAGGAAAACTTCCCAGTGGTTAAATCTTTTTATTCAGAAAAAATATGAGAGGTTTTAAGTTAGCAATTTTAAAAGGCAACCCTTTGTTAAAATGATTGTTCATACTCCGGAAATTTGTGGCATGTTCACATTTGTTGCTAGAGCAGTTCTATTAAGACACTCATTGGAATATGTGATGCTTCTTGATAGGGACCTGTAACATGCCAGCTTTCAAGGGATGAGACCACGAATTCACATATACGCCATCTATCCTCAAATAACTGCTATCTACATAGGAAATAAAATGGAATAGGGGTGAAGTTTCAATTCTTAGAGCTGGCATTTATTAAACTTTGCCTCAAAGATAATGTGATTTTTATGACTGACTTTTCAAATTAGCTTTTCTTCCCAAGTCCAGGCTCCCTTAATTTCCTCAGCCAATAAGAAAATATTTTTCAAAAATGCAAAAATTAGCAACAATTATGCTGACTCCACTACAGAAGAATTTGGATTCTGACTCATTGATTAGCTTTCCAAATGCAATTTTATAATCTACTCCTAACAGATCTGGATTAAGACTCATTCACAAGATTTCCAAAAGCAATTTTTTAATAGGTTATATTCCAACAACATACTCATCCATTTTTCATTATCCTTGGGATAAAAATGTCAGCTCCATCTTAAGGAGGATATGTTTAAATTTCTAAGAATTTGTATCACAACCACAGACCCAAATATGTTTCATGTAATTTTGCTCCATAAATATTTTTCTTAAATAGAAAATGTTACTTTATTAAAATGACCCCCCAATTTTAACCATTTCAGTGGTCTAGTTAAACAGTTTCATACCAACTCTCTAAAACCTAAATTTAAACTGACCATAGGCCACTAATCTCTTACTTTTATAGACTCGAAGACAGAATTTAAATTAGGTTTAGTATTTATTTGTTTAATCTAAATCTTAGTTTCCTGGAATAATAAAGTTTGATGTTTAGCAAGAAAAGTACTTGAGTTTAAGCCAGTTTCAATACAAGCTTGCCTTCTGCATTATTATTGAGTAGCAGACATTAAGTGACTATAGTTACTGGGTATTAGTGATGGTAAACTTTGTGTTTTTCATTATGAAATAATCTGTGTAACTGTTGGGTATATCAGTGCTTTCAAATGTGCTGCTTAGAATAGGATTAACTGTAAATTCATGTCAAGAATTAACTTGTGATTTGGCTGTTTCCTGAATTTTATAATATACATGTGCAGAAATGTATTCAAAATTGAGTAAGGAAGCACACCTCTATCAGCATGCTATTAAACTTGAACATCAAGTATCATATATCGGTAGAGTTTTGGGGGTTTTTTTATTATTTGGGATTTTTTTTTTAATTGAGAGAAGCTCTCTTCTGTGCAGAATGGCTATTTCAAAGTATCTCACTGTTTGTTTTCCTGTTCCATGACTATTTTTTCCAGCAGTGGTGATGCATTGAAGTCCAGTTTTCTAGAAGGGGAGTGTCTCAACCCTAATTTTACTTTTCTAATTCTGGTAGCTGCAGGAATTTTTGAAAGTTTTGTTTAAGTAGTCTAATATTTTTTATGTAAAGAGCATTAAATTTTGCTGTGTATAAATTGTCATAATCTAAAAGTGAATCAACATTTTCAGTCCTTGAATCCTAGAACTTTTGGGAGGCCGAGGCATGTGGATCATGAGATCAGGAGATTGGGCCCATCCTGACTAACACGGTAAAACGCAGTCTCTACTAAAAACACAAAAAATTAGCCGGGCGTTGTGGCAGGTGCCTGCAGTCCCAGCTACTCCAGACGCTGAGGCCAGAGGATGGCGTGAACCCGGGAGGCAAAGCTTGCAGTGAGCCAAGATTGCACCAATGCTCTCCAACCTGGGCAACAGGGCAGACTCCATCTCAAAAAAAACAAAAAAAAAAAAAAAAGAAAAAACTTCCGTCAGTGCCCAAGTGCCAAGCGCTTCCTATAGTTCTAATCAAGCGTTACAATAAATACTTGTAGAAAATAGTCAATATTTATGCATGCTTATTTTGCTGACATCCATAAGTGGAAATAGTTGTAGATGTACTAAGAGTAATGAAGTAATATTATAGCTTCATTTACTTGCCTTTTTACTATATATAAATCTATCTTTGTCCCCAGTATGGTGTCACATTTGAATAATGTGCATAGTAAAGATTTCATGTTGTTATAAAAATCAAGTCTGTGAGTGCTACTTGTTTTATTTTTGGCAAAAATCTCTTCAGCAATTTAAGAAAATATTATAATCCACTGGGCTGTATTGGGCATAAAAGTGCCACTAACACTTCTGTAGTTCTCTGTATAAAGTTATACGTTTTATGACCAGTTTTGCAACAAATAAAATCTATCTACCAGTAAGATTAACAAGGCTTAAACTTGGGCAAAGTACAACAATAAGTTTCCCTGTGTAGTTGGTTATTTTTTCAAATCAATAGTACAAAATTCTATGGAAAGGTTTACTCAGGAATATATAAAAAAAAAAAACCTGGTTCTAACAGTTACTCTCTAGAATAGCAGAGCTAAATATGTTACTCAGGATTTTATTTAATAATCTGTTTGAACTCCTTATCTGTCAACATGATTCTAAATTTGGGTTCTCTGCATCTGACATTTCTTAGTGCCTCATAGTCTTTATCACTATTGACACATGGCCATCTCTAATTCAGGTTCTGACTCTGGATCATCTCCTTTCATTCATGCATGGCAGGAGAAGAGTACACAGTTCAATTGGTGTACTATTTGTCACACTACATACTACCTTCTGTTTAAGTAACAATTTGTGCAATTATTTAATTCACACAAATCAACAGAGGAAAGTGTAAGTAATAGATAGGATCACCAGAAGTCTCTAAATTGTCAAAAGTGATCTTGCCACCTGGGAAGGAACCCTATATTTATAAACTAATGAAATACTTGAAGCCAATTCATGAAGTATTATGACCAAAGTTTCCACAATAAAGATGCTATCTCAGTATCTTCCTGTTCCTATAACACAATACCTTAGACTGGGTAAGTTATGAAACCAGAAATATGTTTCTTACAGTTTTAGAGGTTGGGAAGCCCAAGGTAAAGGCACTGGCAGGTTCAATGCCTGGCGTAGGCCTAGTTTCTGCTTCCAAGATGGTATCTTGTTGCTGTGTTCTCCAGAGAGGACAAATAAAGTATCCTTAAATGGTGGAAGGGCAAAAGGGCCCAGTTATTTCCATTAAGCCCTTTTATAGGGTTGCTAATTGCACTCTTAATTGCCTCCAGAAGCCCCCACCTTTTAATTCTATCACACTGGAGGGTTTAACTTCCAACATATGAACTCTGGAGGGACACACACATTCAAACCACAGGTATTAAATGTAAAGATCAGAGGCAATATTGTACTATTCATAAAGCCTAGGAATTTCTGTGTGTTTTTATGTTCCGGGAGAAAACTGAAATGTGCCGGCAAAAGATGACCTCATTTTACAGATGGCAGTCCTTCACTGGAGAGGAAAGAAAATAGCTTAATCTTTAAAGAGTAGGCCTGGAGTTAATCAATATGATAGGTTATACTCATTTAAAATTTAGGAAATATAAGCTTAGAAAAACAGCTCTTTTTAGTGTAATGAATGAGAAATTCTGTGACTGGAGAAGCTGTCAAACATCTTCATTGATTCCAGAATCATCTTCTCTAAAACAGATGGGCATGAAAGCACAAAATACACAAACACATTTATAAAACATTTTAAGTGTTTAAAAATGCAGTACTATAATTCCATCGTGTATGCCAGTGAACTAATTTTTAAAATTGGAATCATTGCTATCATCAATGGAAAACAAATAGGTCATCTCAATGAAGGAAGTGATTAATTTCCCTCAAGTGTCCTGTGCTTCAGATTTGAATTAACCAGGAATCTAAGGAACATTCATATGTTGCTGTAATTCAAGCAAGACTTAGCAGGTCTATTAATTGGACAGATAAATTTATCTGCTAGGCCAGAATCAGAATATAGAAGGGAAGCAGAGAACCAGAGGAAGGAGGGAGGCAATGTATGCCCCTGGAAGCAACCTTGGACTGGCAGCCACCTTCACTGTTTGGTTCTTCTACAGCCAACTAGCTGACATTGACAGCCTCTTATTTCAGCTCTTTCTTAAATTTATTATTATTCTTAATTTTTTGTTTGTGTTGAAACTGAGTCTTGCAAATGGACGGCAGCCCTTCTTAGAGTTTCAGCGATTACTCTGATGTGGATCCTTTCCATATCTTTTACTCCACTCCTGATCTCTATACCTAGCCTCCCATCCACATTTCTGATAGTTTCTTTCCATACACATGTAGAAACTCCACAGCACCAGCTTCATCCCAGGAGTGATCATCCCAGTCCTTCGCTCATGAGCCATCTTCCATCCACCCAGTAACTAGCCCTGGCACATTCACACTCTCTGTCCTGTGGCTGCAAGAGGGGTCTTCCTCATCATCTGCCTGGAATACTGAAACAGCCCTGTCAAGGCTCTCTGTGAATTCAGTCTCTGCCTGCGAGAAACCTGTGGTCATCTGCACCAGGCATTCCCTGAGGGGAAGATTGTATCTCATGTACAGTGTCTCTGCTCTGGTAGAGTCCAATGCCATGGTATTCTGGGCTCTGATAATCTGCCTTTTTCTTTCCAGATTGATTTCACATAACACCACCAACATTGTACTACAAATGTTTCATCTGTACCAACCCATTTTCTGGGGTCTGACTATGGCTGTAGCTTCCTTGCTTGGCATTTGCCTTCACTATCTCCTCAGCTGGTGACATTTCCATTCTGTCATAAAGGGTGATATGCTGTTGGAGACCAAACTGAAATTCCAACTCTTCCTTATTTCTGAAGTGAAAAGTAATCACTCCAGCACATTAATTGTGCAATATCTTGTACCTGCTTCTTGAAAATATACACATACTTGTTTCTTCTGTTTCTATCTCTTCCAGGGAAGGCCCATATTTCAACAAATTGTCTGTTCCCTCTGCATCATGGCACGGGTCCCTACATCTCAAATGTTTAAATAGACCTCATTCTCAGAAACAATTATGCTGACCTTTCTCTTCCAGTTCTACCCATAACCTATTTTTTTATGAGTAAGCAATGCAAATATACAGAAGAATTTATAGGTTCACCAGAGGGTCATGAACCTTTTTGCTCTGCCTTGTTCTAAAGTCATCAGCAGGGACTGAGTTAGTTTCAAAAACAGGAGAAAAGCAACACAGTTTTTTCTCTGTCTCCACCCACCATCTCTTCTCAATCCTTCTCATGAAATTAAAATACCTTAAGAGACAGTTAATCATTTCTGCAAGTAGAAAGGCAACTTTCTGTGTGCTAGAAGAACAAGAAGAAAAAAGTTACTTATAAATGAGATTGCTTTCTTATATGAAATAGTAATTTCAAGATAGTAATATTATTTAAGCACCTCTTTATTAAGGAAGAAAGGAAGCAAAACTACTTCACTGCTCTGGTTTATATTTTGTACCTACGTGGTGGAATACTGAAACCTCTTTGGACACAACGGAAAGAAATGAAGTATGTCCATTGTGCCCCTTGCATCAGAGAGAGCATATTTCAGCCTTTTCAATTTCCATTGAGGCTAGAAGAAGTGAAATGATGAATATAAAAAATTCTCAGTAACACCAATGTTACTCACTATGCTGCTTAATAATGTTTTTTTATATTATTATTATTATTATTATTATTATTATTATTATTATTATTGAATCTCACTCTTTCACCTAGGCTGGAGTGCAGTTGAGCAGTCAGCTTAATGCAACCTCCACCCCCTGGGTTCAATTGATTCTCCTTCCTCAGCCTCACAAGTAGGTGGGATTACAAGCCCATGACACCATGCCTGGCTAATTTTTGTATTTTTAGTAGAGATGGTGTTTCACCACGTTAGCCAGGATGGTCTCAATCTCCTGACCTCATGATGCACTCATCTCAGCCTCCAAAAGAGCCACTGCACCCAGTAAATAATTTCTAAATCCAGTATTATAATCTACATTCCACCTCAGAGGCAGAACACCAAGTTATTCAGTTGAATTCCTTTATCTTATTACCTTGTTTCAGTCCCTTTCCCAGGTCTGTGACAAATGGCTGCCGGTCAAAACTCCCTCTTGTAGCCATGGCCCCTACTCATCTGCTTCAGCCCAACTCTACTACAGTCTTGGGTAATGGTTTGCTGACCATCTGCCTCAGTGTCTAGAAATTCAGGATGACACGAGCTTGGTTTGATTCACTGTTGTATGATCAGCCCCAAGGAAACTGCCCAGCAGAGACAGGCTCTAGATCAGGTCTTACAGAGTGGTTTCCAAAACGCATTTATTCTGGAATAAGCAAAATCAAACTTCTCAAAATCCCTTGCCTCTTTAAGTAATTCTATATGTTACTGAATGCCATGACTATACCCAAGAAACTGCTAACCAGACATTTTGGAAATATTTTTAAGATGTATTTCCAATGTTTGGGAGGGAGTAAGAGGTGGCTTTCCTTGAGAAAATTACTTTCATATTTGAGGATGAAATACTTTGGTCCCAAAAGAAAAGAGCCTGGCTGTTTGCTCATCCCTGAAACAAAGGACAAAGCTCCCACTCTTGTGGGAATTAAGGGACAGGAGAGACCAATGGGTGGAACAGGAGGATTTTATTGGGCGTACGTTGACTTAGCGGAATAACATTTAAAGACTGAGCCCTGAACAAAGATAGGGCTTGACTTTCATACATGCAACTGAAGAGGGTTGGCAGCTAATGGCATGAAATCTGCAGGATGGGCAAGCAAGCTTATAGGAGTAGAATGAAGAGAGTTTTTAAAAAAAAGTGACAGGTGTTATAACTCAGGCATGTATCATGACTTTCAATAATATATGGATGGGAAAACAGAAACCTACAAAATTTTTGTCAACTTCCAGAAGTAGTTATAAAAGTATATGTGAGAGCACATCAAAGAATAATGGTATTGGGTGAGAGTACTAGAGAGGGGAAACAGATAAGAACGTGTTATTTTCACTCCTGCTCCTGGAACCCATTCTTTACAGGCCCCATCTCTGCTGATAGTGCTATCAGAGCCCCAACAGGGCCTGGCTTATCCCTGGGTTTTTGGAGTGAGTCAGCTCAGTACACAGAATATGTTTTTTTTTTTTAACATTCCCTGTTTCATTTCCACCTTTCATGCTTTTTGTAAATGAGGATTAATAGAGAGAATCACCTAGTAATTCTTCAAGGGGGAGCAGTTCCCTATTTGGCAGGGGTTGATGTTTAGTTAGAGCCATTAGTTGAGTAGTCGTGTGTTTGTTTACAAGAGCCTCTATGGCTGCTTGAATGTTTTTAACAAGGAGGGTAAGAGACAAATTAGAACAAGGCAGAATCCTAGTATGGCTAGAACTATTTTTACTAAGATCTTAAATTCTTCAAAGGATGAAAATAAGCCCCCAAAGAGGGAAACTGGAGACTACCCTTTAAAAGGCTGGACTGTAACATGGGCCAATTTTTGGATTTTGGAAGTTGTATTCTTAATGATCTTTCTAGGCAGCATTTAGTTAGATTGAACTTTCCACATACCCTTCCTTCCTGGACTAGGAAGTAGTTTAAAGACAGTCTATTTCGATGAATAGCATTCTTCATTTTTGTGGCTTGTTGGGCCTGCAGATTTAGGGTCTTTGCAGTGTTATTAGTAATAATTTTCAGCACTGCCTGTAACCTTATGTTGTGGTAGAATATGTAAATAGGAGTGCAGTATCCCCAAATTCCATTTTCTGTCCAGGTGGCTGAGCCATGGTGTTGGAATTTTTAGGGGGTCATTAATTGTTTTACCAATTTCTTATGGTTATGTCTTTTGTTTGTTTGTTCTGTATTTGTTTTATAATAGACCGGATACCCTAAAGGTCCTCCCTGTCCTAAGGCGATTAGAAAGGAGACAGCCTAATTTTTTCCAGTACACTGGCCCCTGACCATTTAGCCAGCAATGGGCAATATGCCCATGGCCCACAGATCCAGTAGAGCTCAGAGGGCACCTGACGGGTATTAGGAGCGTTAAGTTGGTACAAAGAATGCTTTAAAGAAGGGAATCAGGAGAATGGGCCTGGTTGGGGCAGTTTGGAATTATTTTTACCACAACATACAGTTTTTCCTACTGTTTTATTGTAATATTATTGTTCTAGGCAAGTTGACTTTCCTACTGGGCCTATAAGGTTTTTCTCCAACAAGAAATGCATAATATTCTGATAATGGAGGTCTTTAAGAATCAGATGCTCTGGCTTGTGAACACAGGTTCAGGGGAAGAGACAGTAAGAGTGAAGTTATCTTGGGGCATTAGCTTTCTTGCCTCCCATGGCCATTGGTGTCCCATGTTGGTCCAACCACAAACATAGCATGAGGAGATATGTAGGCTGCTGGCTATGTTTTCAGCCAGTTGAATATACATCAACTGAATAGGCTTCCATATACTTCAACTGAATAGGCTTCTGGCTAAGAGAGAGGGTTCAAACAGTTCCTGGTTGAAATTTTTACAGAATGATTTTAAAACAGAGTTTTCAGGTGTAACCATCCGAGATTTCTTGATAATATGTAAATAGGCTTTTGAGTCTGTTTTCTGGCCACTAACTTGTATTCCTAGAGGAGCCTTTAAACTTGTAGCCCATACAGCCAGATACGGTTTTAAGGTACTGAGATTTTCCAGGTAGCAAGTGCTTGCCTTACAGTTTGTTTTTGCTGTAAGTATGACTCACCCCAGTGATTGCAGGTTACAGGACTGAATTATGCAGTTCCAGCAAATTGTCTCTGAGAAACTGGCAAAGAAAGCAAGGGGTGAACATATATTTTTGTGGCAACTATTATAGTGCTCTTCAGAATTAGAGATTATGGGAAAGGTTGAGCCCATGGATGTTAACTGGCATATATTAAAGGATAAGGACATAACTCCCCAATGGGAGGATGAGACCTTGGTTTGGTGTAGCAGGTTTCCTTCTATTGACCCATGAATTTTAAAAGAGGTCTCAGGTAGGAATTTGGGGTTATAACACATATAAGTCTAGCCATTTCCTGGGTCACAGACTGAGTAGTTTCGTTGTGAGTACAAGTTTCTAGGTGGGTCCCTGTACACTTTTAATAAGTGTGATATAACAGGGTTTTGGTTATGGTGCTCCCTGACCATATTGTTAGTGCAGTGTGGGCACTCTTCTCTGGTCTCCTTTTCTGAAACAAATAAGGGGAGTATTATAGTTAGGAGGAAAAGAAGTGGGCTTAGCTTTCCTATTGCCTGGAATAGGAAATAAGTAAAGAGTAACATGTTTATACCAGGGAGGAAAAGAAGAAGTTTTTACACAGGGGAGGAGGTTGAGCAAAGTGAGAGAACAATAGTAAAACAATGATTGGATTTAAGATTTTTATCACTATTTTATTATATTTTACTCCAGCTTCAAACGTACGTACAGTAGTCAGCTTCCAGGATGACTACAGCAGGGCTGTTGACTCCTCAAGTTTTAGCTGAGAACAGACTAGTCAGCTTTCGGAATGACCAGAGTAGGGCTTCATCATTTCTCAGGGCAAATAGGTCATAGGATTAGCCAGCTCAGATGGTCTGGGTCATGTTTGCTGGTCCACTTGTCTTGGGCTGCAAGTTTTAGTTGACTGTGGTGGATCCAACGCACAATTTCTGCAATGTTAACAGCAGTGGAAGTGGACAAGGTTGCAGGATGGGGCCCATCCCATATGGGTTCTAGAGTGGTTGGATTTTATTTCTGACCTACACAGAGTCCCCAGGTCTAAAGTGGTGTGCTGTGTTTGTTGGGCTTATGGACAATCTTTCCCATACCCAGCCATGGACCTCTTGCATGGCTCTCTTTAACGCCTGCCTTTGCCTTCTTAAAGTTAATTCCCTAGTTTGCAAAGTTCACCCCTAATTTGAGCTATGATTGGGGATGGCCAGTGGAAAATAGTCCCTGAACTGTCTCGGTCACAAATTTCAGTCCATTTTCTGACCCTAGAGTTAGAGGCATTCTCAATCTGGGGATATCGTCTCTTAACAGTACTTCTGTTACTTCTCATGATTTCTCTGTTAGGGTGGGGAAAGCCTCAACTCATCCTGAAAAGGTACAGAAAATCACCAGTATGTACTTACAGCCCACTGATTGGGGCATCTCAGTGAAGTTTCTAAGAAGGTTTTCACAGGGTGTGGCTCCCATTTCCTGAATTCCCAGGGGCCAAGTGGGCCCTTGTCATGGAATGTTCTGGGCACAAGTTAGACATTGTTTGCAGACAGATCAAGTGATGACAGTGAGCTGTGGCACATAGAAATGGTGTCCTAGCAGTGTTTTCAGTGACATTTTTCCCATGTGGGTTCCTTGATGGAATTGTTTTACAAATTTTGGGGCCAGCATTTCGTGGTTGGCTAGCCTCCTATTGGAGAATTTTCACCGTCCCTTTTTATATATTTTCCAGACCCTTGGGAAAAGCAGAGCTTCTCATTTGGAGGTAACTTGAAACCTCTGAGAGGTGCATATTTGGGAGGAGAGTCAGCTATGGCTGTCTGTCTGTCTATGGGTAGTCATTGCTGCCCCTTTTGCATACCTGTCTACCTTTTTGTTCCTTTTGGCCTCCAGTGATCCTGGCTTTTGGTGCCCCTTGCAGTGCATAGCAGCTGTCTTCTTTGGAGTCCATACAGCATCTAAGAGTTGCAGAATTTTTTCTTTGTACTTTTTTTTCTTTTTGGCCCACCACAGTTAAGAATCCTTTTTCTTTATATATAGCCCCATTATCAGGCAGCGTGGCAAAAGTATACTTGGAATCAGTATAAACATTGGCCATTTTACGTTTTGTCAGCAGAACGCTCTCATTAGGGCTATTAGCTCTGCCTTTTGGGCTGATGTTCTGGTGGGCTGAGCTTCTACCACTGAATCTAATGTTATCACTGCATACCCAGTTTCACGGACCCCTTTCAGTATATAGTATTTACCATCTGGGTCCCAGAGGGGTTGCTCTATAAGGTCTTTCTGGCTTGAGAATACATCATCTACTGTTTCCACAGAGTCATGAAGGAGGACCCCTGGTTTGACTGGGACTAAGGTAGCCAGGTTAAGGGTGTTTATTATTTCCAAAGTTATGTCGGGATTTTTGCATATGAGCCCCTGGTACTGAGTCACTCTTGGATTTGATAACTAATAGTGCGCTGTCTAATCCATTAAAGTTAGAACTGACTGTGGTATACCCAGATGGTCAGCTGTTGTCTTAGAGCTAGTTTTCTATCTTGTTGTTCCAATAGGGTGGTGTCAGCTAGTGCCCTAAGGCAAGGAGGCTATGCTAGGGCCAAGGAGTTCAATTGTGTGGATAAGTACATCACCGGGCGAATTCATGATTTCACAACTTGGGTCAGGACACCTATAGCCAATCCCTTTTATTCATGGACATGTGGAAAGAAAGGCTTACTTATATTTGGCAGTCCTATGGCTTGGGCCTGTGTTAAGGCTTCTTTGGCTTGTTTAAACACCTTCTTTTCCTGGACAGCCTCTCAAAGGAGGGGTTTCCTTTCCCCTCTCTTTGTGCCTTTATATAAGGGCTTGGCAATTAGTGAGAAATTTGGGACCCAGATACAGCAGAACCCTGCATTCCCCAAGAATTTTCCCATTTGGCACTGGGTGGTTTGAGTTGAGAGTGCATAAAGACATGGCTTTTGCTCACTGCTGAGCTGGTGTTCCCATTGGCTTACTATGAAGTCCAGATATTTGACACTTTCTTGGCAAATTTGGCCTTCTTTCTGAATACGTTATAACCAGTTTTCCATAAAGGAGATGGAGGAAGTCTTGGATTCCTTGGTATCTGCCCCCTGGGGTTGGGGCTGCTAGGAGAAGGTCGTTTATGTATTGTAGCAAGGTGTAGTTGTCATTTGGTGTGGTGAAGGCCTTGATGTCTGAGGCCAGTGTGTCTCCAAAGATTGTAGGAGTGTTTTTGAATCTTTGTGGGAGTCTAGTCCATGTGAGCTGCTCCCCTGTGCCTGTGACTCAATCGTCCCATTGAAATGCAAAGATGGGCTGACTAATTGGTGCCAGGCACAGATAGAAGAAAATATTCTTTAAGTCTAGTCAAGTAAATCAGGCAGCACTTGCCAGAATGAATCTTATTAGCATGTACGGATTTGGTATCACCAGGTGGAAGGTTACAGTAGCCTGGTTCATTTCATGTAAGTTTTGCACTGGTTTAGATTTACCAGACTCTGTATTTTGTTTTGGTAGCAGTGGAGTGTTCCAGGGTGACTCACACCAGACTACCAGACTAAGATTCTGTGTTTGAAGGGTCACTTTAAATGTTTGTGAATACCCCGCGTGTCTTCTCAGAGAAATAGGTATTGGTGAACCTGAACTGGAGTTGCTCCTGGTTTTAGCTTTACTATTATCCGTGCCTGATTTACAGCCTTTACAGCCAGGCTCAGTGGGTTATTGTTAGCCCATACTCCAAAAATTTTACCCAGTAGTGTAAACACTTTCTCCAGCCCTGGCTTATGAGACAGTTCTGGTGACTGTTTTGTCTATACTCTTCATTCCTCAGCCTGCAGAATAATGAGGGTTAACACCATGACCTTTGGGTGAGTTAGGCTTAAAGTTATATCCTCGTGTGGCCCAAAAGAAATCTGTGCTGTCAGTTTCTGGAGCAGATCTCTTCCATGTAGGGGATCTGAGCAACTTGGGAGGTATAGGAATTCATGTTGGACTTCTTGTCCCTCTATGACATACCTTCTAGGCCAGCAAGATGGCCTCCTTTCTGGATCCCTTGTAGCCCCAATAATAGTTGTATCATGTTTAGATAGTGGCCCTATGGGCTGTGTCACTACTGAGTGTTTAGAGCTGGTGTTCACCATAAAGTCCATCTGTTGCTCCCCTACTTCTACTGTGATCATGGGCTCCTGGGGACTTGGGAGATGGAGCCCGGTCTTGCATAGTCTTCCTATTTTTCGGTCTCTGCCAGCCCAATTAAGTTGATGCCTGGCTCCCTCATGGTGTGGTGGTCCTTGGCTGGCTGTTTGATAGTTTTGTGTCCTCTGTTATTTCTTTTACTACCCTCTAAACACTTATTTTTCCAGGGACCCCCTTTTTTTGCAGTGCAAATATTGATCTCTATCTAGTCTCAGCTGACTTTTGGGTCTCTGCCCTGCTTGGCCCCTTCCACATCTGAGTCTGCATCTGCATCTGCTTGTGATGATAGCTTCCCTTTCCATGAGGGCTGCCACTAGTAGATCGGCCTTCTTCCTGAGTCTCCAATCAGCCTCACTTTGTGCTTTCTGGTCACAGTTAACATACACCTTCGTGGCCAATTCTGAAAGCTGGGTGGCATTCATGCCTGCAAAACCATCTAGCTTTTGCACTTTTCATCTTATGTCCCCCTGGGCTTGTCCTACAAATGCTGCATTTACTATCTGCTGGTTCTTATCCTTGGGGTCAAATGGAGTGTAAAGCCAGAATGCCTCAAACAGTTTCTAATAAAACTTGCTAGGGCTCTCGTCAGTTTCTTGAAGCACTTCTGAGATTTTTTCTATATTGATTACCTGTTTTCTGCCTTCCTTTAGCCTTTGCAAGAGTGGTTTTCAGTATGCCTGCAGATGCTGAAACTGGTCAAATCATCTGGGTCCCAGTGGGAGTGTGCTTCTGGGAACTGGACCTGAGAGTATGCCTGGAAATTAAATGTGCCTTCTGGCACATGGGCTTCTGGCCAGTTGAGGGCTGAATGAGCCATCCTTCCATGCTCTTTGGTGTTAAACAGCATCAGGAGAAGATGTTTACTATCTGGACAAATTGAATTATGTGTCTGGAAAATGGACTGTATCAGATCTATGAGGGCCAGGGGCTTCTTCATGTAGGAGAGAATATGGTGTTTCCAGTTAGGGGATCAGTGATTGAAATAGGCTGGTAGATAAGGGTCCATTTCCCCCCTTACGTATGGCCATATTCATCAAAGTAGAGGCCTCCCCAAGTCTCCTTGAAAGGCATCTGCAGAACCAGGGCATGGCCATAGCAGAGGCAGCTCACTTGATTATTCTGACACTCCTCCTTGACCTCCTGGGGCAGGGGCTCTGATTTCTCCCTTTGGGGTGAAACCCAGGGTGTGTCACCATCTGAATTTGACTCCTCATGGGCCATTGGCCTTGGTAAAAGGGGGCTAATTGGGGTATAGGGAGGAGGGATTTCTGTCTCTTCTGGTGGTTTCCACAAAGCCAGTTTTTCTTGCCCTTCTTATGGCTTTCCCTTTTTCTCCATTGCTGCTGGTGAAGCTGATTCCTCTTTCACTTTAGGCTCAGCTTGAGCAACAAGCGTTTTGCAGTAAGCCATCAGGAAAGACTGTAGCCATGCTGGTTGGGATGATATTTAGCCATAAGTCAATATAAAAAAATTGGTCTGGATACCCTGGCTATTCTCTGACCCCAGTCACCACTTGATGTGCATGGTCAATTATTCCCCATCTATTGTTCCTTCAGCTGGCCACCCAACACTAAAATAGGGCTTCTCTATTTTACAAAGACTCTTTTACCTCTGGGGAGTCGACTTGATACTACAATTCCCAGTGTAACATTTCTTAAACTTTTTAACGTGTATTCTAATATGGTGGGTTTTGACAACTTCCCTCACATCTCCTCCCAGTTATAGTGTCATACACTTACTCTTTTACTTTTGCTTCAGAATGATTAGACCACCTCTCCTGTGGGAGTATTTCAGATGATGCTTAGCTTTAATGGATGGTTTGTATAACCCCTGAACCCAGACCACCACAATCACTAAATTGTGTGGTGCCTGACTAAGCCATATGTGGTAGTTCCGGAGGACATATGCCAGTAATCCTGGTTGGTCCCACACTTCACTTGGGACATATGGTCTATGCTAAGAGACTTGCAGCCCCACATACATCGCCCTACTCTTGCACATGCATTCACACAGTTTCCACTCTCAGTTCCTCTTCAGAGGTTATGGTGTAGGTTTCATCTGAATTAGAGAGCAAATCTTGTGTCCTGATTTGGATAACTAGATACGCACTGGGAGGTGATCAGACTCCCATTCCATCTTTATGGTATGGGTCCTTCCTTGGGCCCCAAACCTTCCCATGGTTCAGCAGCATGCTGTCCCTGGAATTGTCCTGTAGCCCCTTAAGTTCCATTGTGCTTTCGGGGGGTGCACAGGGTCACAGGACATCTGGCCTCTCTTTCAGGTTGAAGTTCTTCTGATGGTGCACCTGGGGTCACAGGTCTTTCCTGGCCTGGAGCTCCAGTCTGACAGGCAAAAGAAACAGCATACCTGTTGTCTCCAATCCTGGATGAGCTCCCAGAAAATGTTGCAGGAATTAAGGAATAGTAGAGACCAGTGGGTGGAAAAGAAGAATTGTATTGTGTGCACCCTGATTTAACAGATTAACATTTAAACACTGAGCCCCAAACAAAGACAGGGCTTGACTTTTGAGTAGCTTGGATATTCTCTCTAGAAGTGTTCTTTGGATTTGTGTGTTGGTAGGTCATCCTCTTCTGGTTCATTGACTGGGAGAAAACAGTATTTCCTTGAAGCCCTTTTTATCTGTGCCTATTGGACTTTGTCAATTAGAAGCTTCTACAGTCCATCATCTGGGATACATGAAAGACCTAAAAATCCCAGTAAATTTACATACTGTCACTCTTCAAGTTGTGAAGTCCCTAGAGAAAATGTCTTTCTCTTTCTACTTTTCAGAGTCTGTGTTTCCCTTCTGACATTATGTCAGAAACATTGGTGTGTTGCAGTGTAACTGGGAATTCTAAAAAGTGAAAGTTATAGAAAGGCTTTTAAAGTATCATGCAAAGAAATCATAGGAAGATAATATTACAGAGAATGGCATGATTAGATATACCTACAATGAACTGATTGTATAAAATAAAGTTTTCACCAAAATTAAATAATCTCAAAGAAGTTTTTATAATATATGTGAAATATATGTGAAATAGCCAATGATTTATAGCATATAAATAATATAGGACAGTGAAGAAAAGATAGAATACCTTCCATACACTTGGAAAAATAATACCATTGGCAATGTTTTCAGAAAATGTAAGCAAAAATATGTCTTGCTTCAACTGCAGAAGGGATATAGTAATAACACCTTTCTCAGAGGTTTTCTTTGTTAAGTAACAAGTGATTTGATAGAAATCAAGCACTTATTTCTAGCTCTCTGGAGCAAAGTGAAAATTTGCAAAAGCAACTCTCATGACACCCAGAGACTATAAGTGTAAGACAAAATTATTTTTTAAAAATTCAAACTCACTATCAAGAAAAACATCATTTCTGAGGTTTGGACTCCAATAATATTGGTTGAGATTAACCTTAGTAGTTTGTTGAAGTAGTCAATTGAAGAGTAAAGTTGGATATACTCCCAGGAAAGAAACCATTTCTTTGTTCAAGAGGGCTGGACCCCCTGCCTAAATCATTGGTGAAAGTTCATATTGCTCAGACATTTAGTGGGAACATTTGAGTCAATACTGAAAGCCATGCCCACAGATACTGGGATCTAACACAGAATGAGGTTTTTACTCAAAGCCATGACTTAAAATTTCATATCTCAACCTCTATCCAGTGTGATATTCTAGACTGAAGAGATGATTTTCATATTACCTGAAAGATACAACTACCTTAAAATAAGAAACTGGAATAAAATACTAGATTGAACAATTAAGTTCTTAAAAACCTGAAAAGATTAACATAAAACTGCCCACCCACCAATAATAACTTTACATTTAAAAGGTTAACTTTCATTTACCACTTCAAAGACAACATTGCAAAATCAATGTTGGAAGTTCCATGCCCTAAGAGATAGTCAAGATGCTTAGGGGTCACCCTCAAAAATGAAAAGTTAAATCAAAAGAGTCTTCATAATAACTAGGGTTAGGTGTTTTTGGGGATGAAGAAATGGAATCTAAGGGAAAAACAAGTGGGTAACAGGATACAAATTTTTTAAATAGACAATTATTCATCATTGTCTAAATGAAGCATATATTAAGGGAAATCAAATAATTTTTTTTTTTTTTTTGACGTGGAGTCTCGTTCAGTCACCCAGGCTGGAGTACAGTGGCACGATCTCGGCTCACTGCAAGCTCCGCCTCCCGGGTTCATGCCATTCTCTTGCCTCAGCCTCCCAAGTAGCTGGGACTACAGGCGCCCGCCACTATGCCTGGCTAATGTTTTTTGTATTTTTAGTAGAGACGGGGTTTCGCCGTGTTAGCCCGGATGGTCTTGATCTCCTGATCTTGTGATCCACCCGCCTTGGCCTCCCAAAGTGCTGGGATTACAGGCGTGAGCCACCGCGCCTGGCCTGTTTGTTTTTTATACAGAAGATTCAGCATAAATATAGCAAGAATAAGTAATTTCCTAAGTAGATGTGAAAGTAAGGTTGCCAGATGTAGGGGGAAAATACAGGAATTTAAATATCACATTTTAATTTGAAATTTGGCAATGTATTGACAAACAACAAAGAATTATATTTCAGTATAAGTCTGTCCATGCAATATTGAGAATATTACTAAATTACAAAGCTATTGAGAATTATACTAAAATGCTGTTTGTTGTTTATTTAAAATGAAAATGTAACTGGGAATCCTTCATTTTATCTGGTGGCCATACATGAAAGGGAAGTTATGAAAGTTGAGCTCAGATTAGGAAACTTTCATCTGCATTTAAAAAAAACACCATGAGACAAAAATGTTTAGAAAGGGCAACAGGCAGAATACAAAAATTATCTCTACACAGAATATTATTCCACATATGTTTTTGTTACTTAGAGATACATTTTTCAACTTATGAAGACTATGCAAATATCAAAGACCTATCAAAACACCAAGGAAAAGAAGAATAAAGGTTTCCTTGTTTCCTTTTTTTAGCAAGAAGAATAAATATCCAAATGAAAGAGGTATTACAAGAATTTTTTATGAGGCTAATAAATGTGTTACTTTGTTAGAAAAAAGTTAACTAACTGGGTTCTACTGATAAGCTAAGAAAGTTTAGAAATATCGTGACAAATGTCAAAAGCAGGAAAAGAAATAAATATGAGTAAGAAAATTAAATCAACACAATTAGGAAAATAGGTGGCAGGTGGGGAAGGGGAGAGAAGAACTAAGGCAGATATGCCAAAGCAGAGACAAAGAAAATCTAGGGTAGAACAACTCTCTAATCAGATATTAGTTAGAGAGCTATGAGAGTAACCATATTAGATGTAAACGGTTTATATTTCTGTGTTAAAATATAAAGTACTCTAATATTAGATTGAGAAAAAATTGCTTTTACCTAGAAATAATCACCCTGAAATATTGAAAATAAAGGTTTAGAGAAAATCAACAGGTATTTATCAAAAAAGTAAGGTCACTGATATTATACAAGGCAAAGGAGAGTTTTAAGGAAAATACAAACAATAAAGAGGGATAATAAAATATAATTTATAAGGTAACAGACAAAATAAGAAATATCAAAATATGAAAATATATTTTAAAGATAATATAACAGTCACAAATTTAAATGTCTCAGCAGCATTGTCTCAACCTACACCTGAGGCAAATTTTATGAATATCTATTTATGTAGACAAATCCCAATTGTAGTGAGAGGTGTTTAATATATTACTCACTTAGACTGATGAGTATACAGAAATTTAATAGTTAATAGATATACTTTGCAATGTTTATGTACTTACTTTTCTTCAGTTTTTTAAAGTGAAGCCTAGTAGTAGAGCACATTTTCAGGATTTGACAGCTCTGCTAGTAGAGAAAGAATTAATACAGAATAACCCTCATCCCCTTTAACATCAAGTCTATCTAATCTAAGTAGCACCTTGCTTTACCTTCTGACATGCTTACTAGTCATCATGCTCAACCTTCTTTTCCAGATCCACTTTCTCATGATACTGTCTTCTAACTGGCTTACATGGATGCCAGCAAAATGCAGGCTTACCAGGGTATCAAAGCAAAGAAAGAACACGAACTGCAAGATATCCAGTTTCTCTAAAAGGAGTAACTCACTTCTTACACATAAATGTTTGCCAGAGTGTTTCAGCCAACACATTGACAGCTCTGACAAATTATCAGACAACTGCTCTGCATTACAGATGTATATCCCACCAAACTAAAGTAGACGTTCAAACACCTTTCTGTCTCAAGCTGCTGAGATGTAGCTCCCGGAATACCTTCCAGTGAGTACATCTTTTTCTTTAGAGCAAATATTGCAGGTTATATGTTAGCAATTTTAAAAGGTAACACTTTGACAAAATGACCTTTCACTCTGGAAATTTGTGGCACATTCACATTTGCTGCTAGAACATTTCTCTCAAGACACTCAATGGAATATGTGATACTCTTTGATAAGGACCTGTGACATGCCAGCATCAAAAGATGAGATGATAAATTCATATATATGCTATCTATTCTCAAATAAGTGTTACCTACATAGGAAATAAAGTGAAATTGGTGTGAAGTTTCAATTCTGACAGCTGGCACTTATTAAACTTTGGCGCATAAGTAACGTGATTCATCTCATGACTTTTTAAATTAGCTTTCTCTCCGAAGTCCGTGTCCCATTAATTTCCTCAGCCAAGAAGAAAATATTTTTCAATAATCCTAAAAGTAGGTACAATTCTGCTGACTCTACTAGATACTCTAAAAAATCTAGATTCAGACTCATTGACAAGAATTCCAGAAGCACTTTTATAATAGGTTTTATTTCAACAAAATACTGATCTAGTTTTTATTATCCTTGAGAAATAAATGTCATCTCTGCCTTAAAGAGTATTTGGTATACATTTTTCAGAATTTATATCAAAACCAATGACCTAAATATCTTTCACAGAATTTCGTTCTATGTATTTTTTTAAATTAAGAATTTTTACCTCACCAAAACAACCACCAGTTTAAACTATTTTTCAGTGCTCTGGGTAAACAGTTTCACATCCACTATCTAAAACCTAATTTCAAATTGGCCAAAGATCTGTAACCTTTGACTTCTATAGACTTGAAGATGTAAGTAATTTAAATTAGGGTTGGTATTTCATTTTCTTCTTATCTAAATCTTAATTCCTTGGAATAACAAAGTTTGGTGTTGCATAAGAAAACTTCCTGAGTTTAAGACATTTTCAAAAGAAATTTGCCTTCTGCCTTATTGTATTCCAGATATTCAGTGACTATAGTTACAGTGTGTTAGTGATGGTAAATTCTGTGCAGTTCTTTATGAAATACTCTACATAACTGTTAGGTACATCAGTGTTTTTCAAATGGGCTGCTTAATACAGGATCCATTGTGTATATTCACCTTAAAATTTAACTTGTGATTTGGCTGTTTCCTGGATTTGAGAGCACCACATGTGCAGAAATGTACTCAAAATTAAGAAAGGAAGTACAATTTTATATGGATGCTATTAAATTTGAACATCAAGTATCACATGTATCAGTGGGTTTTTCTTTTTTTTTATTTTTATTTTTTTGGTTACTCTATAAAAATGCCTGTTTGGGATTTTTTAATTTTAACTGAGAGAAGTTCTCTTCTGTATAGAACAAATATTCCAAAATAGTTACGTGTTTTGTTTTCCTGTTGCATGACAAAATTAACTATTATTTCCAGCAATGGTGGTGCCTTCAGAGTCCAGTATTGCAGAAGATGTAGTGCCTCAAGTCTAATTTTAACTTTCTAATTCTGGTAGCTATTGTCAGAAACTTTTGAAAGCTTTGTTTATGTAGCCTTATTTTTTATGTAAAGAGAATTAAATTTTGCTATGTATAATTTTTTGTAATCTAACAGTTAATCCACATTGTCAATCAGTGTCAAGGGCTTCCTATTGTTCTACTCAAGTGTTACAATAAGTATTTGTAGATAATAGTTAATCCTTGTCTATGCTTATTTTAAAGATCTATATTGGTGAAAATAGTTGTGGATATATTAAGAGAAATGAAATAAAAGTATAGCTTCATTCACTTGCCTTTTTACTTTATACAAATCTTATCTTTCTTTTTCCCTAGTATGCTGTGACTTTTGAATAATGTGCGTAGTAAAGATTTCACACTGGTGTGGTAGTCAAGTCTGTGAGTGCTACTTGGTTTATTTCTGGAAAATTTTCTTCAGCCATTTAAGAAAATATTATAATCTACCGGGCTGTACTGGGTATAAAAGTGCCAAAAGCACTTCTGTAGTTTTCTGTATATAGTAAGTACTTTCCTGACTAGTTTTGAAACAAATAAAAGCCACCTACCTATGAGATTAACAAGGCTTAAACTTGTGCAAATTACAAGCAATCAGTGCCCATGTGTAGTTGTTTATTTTTCAAATCGATGGTATAAAAATTGAAAGATTTACTCAGAAATATAGAGCAACCAGTTCTAACAATTACTCTCTAGAGTTGCAGAGCTAAATATGTTACTCAGAGTATTATTATATAATGTTTTTCAACTCCTTATTTGTCAATATAATTCTGAATTTGGATTGTCCGCATCTGACCTTTTTTAGTGAGGCCTAGCCTTTGTCACTATTGACACATGCCTACTCTTCATTGAGGTGCTGACTCTGGATCATCATCCTTTATTCATACATGACAGAAAAACAGTCAACAGTTCAATTAGTGTGCTATTTGTCACCTTCCTTTCTTCCTACTTTTAAGTAGCATTTTGTGCAATTATTTAAGTCACATGAATAGACAGGAAACTAAATAATACATAGATGTGATCACAGGCAGCCTCTAAATTATCCACAGTGATTCTGCCAAAAAACCTAGGACAATCTACAGGTTTCAGTAGAGATTTTTTTTTCCAGTTCTGCATTGTAAACGTTGATTTTTAGAAAATAAAAATGAAATCAATTGTAAAGAAGGAGCCGTGTGTTTTAAAATTAATGAAACACTTGAAGCCCATTCATTAAGTATGAGGACCAATGGTTCCACAATAAAGATGCTATCTCAGTACCTTCCTGCTGCAATAACACAATACATTGGACTGGGTAACTTATAAAACCAGAAGTAAATTTCTTACAGTTTTAGAGACTGAGAAGTCCAAGATCAAGGCATTGATGGTCTCCATGTCTGGTGAAGGCCTGGTCTCTGCTTCCAAGACGGCACCTTGTTGCTGCCTTCTCTAGAGAGGACAAATACAGTGTCTTCTAATGGTGGAAGGGCTAAAAAGCTTTGTTAGTTCCATTGAGTTCTTTTATAAGGTCGCTAATTGCTCTCTTATTTGCCTCCCAAAATCTTGAATTTTTACTTCTACCATTCTGGGGTGTTTAAATTCCAACATATAAATTCTGGAGGGACACAATTACTAAAGCCACAGGCATCAAATGCAAAGACCAGAGGCAATATTGTACTATTTCTAATGCCTAGAAAAATCTGTATTTTAGTGTTCAGGTAGAAAACAGAAATGTGCTGGGAAAAATGGCCTCTTGTTTTACAGAAGGCAGCCCAGCTCTTCAGAGGAAAGAACACAGCTCACCCTTCCCAAATATAGGCCTAGATTTGACAAATAAGATAGGTTAAACACATTTAAAAATTTGAGACCAAAATAAGAATGTTTTTTAAAAAGAACAGCTCCTTTTAGTGTAATGAATGAGACATTTTATGACTGGAAAAGGGGTTTCACTTGACTCGATTATTCTTGGTTCATACACTATAGTATCAAATGCAATTAGGAAAAAACAAATACACTGGATTACACAGTGATTTCTATCGAGAGTTTTGTCTGATGACAGAGAAACATTTACAAAGGGGTAAATGTTATGTATCTTCTCATTATATTTGCAATAGAAGCTGGAGAGCAAACCTGGTTTTCAAGAGTGATCTGGTCCTTCATGAGAAAATCCTGTTCAATTACCAAAGGGGAGACAAAAATGAAAACGTAAAAATTTTGAAAATTTGTGTCAGATTTATTTGGTATCTTTGTAATGTTCTCAATTTATTTTCTGGGGAGTTTCTGGTCTTGCTTATCAATTATATTAGGATCAATTTCACAAGTTAGAAAATCCAATCCTTTCTTTTTATAGTCAGTAATTCTGACTGATTCAATAACTTCTTACAGGCAACCTCAAATTTCTAACCATTTCTTTTGGCTGAAAAAATAAGCAATTAACCGTTCACACATAAAACACAGTGTGGGGAAACCAAGTCCATTTCAACTTTGTCACTAGATTGAAGCATGTCTATAGGGAGCCTTCCTGAATCACCTTTCTTGAGCTCTGATTACCTGGGGGAAAGGGAAGAATTTTGAAATTAGGTATGCATTAATTTTATGAAATACTTGGCTAAGAACCATTTTTGAAACATACATGTAATTTGAAAGCCTAAAAAAGCAGTGATTTATAAACACAAAATTTAGCAAGCACATCAAAATAAACCATAAGGTATGCATTTAACACCATGATGCTTCTGACATATAAAATATTAATGTCAGTACTAATGTCCTTGTTATATGATAATAGTTTTTTTTCTCTTGGTCCTAAAACAGTGAACCACCCTACCTTACAAATTTTGACAAACTAAAATCTCTTAAATATTTTATCTTAAGAATGAAATATTTTATCTTAAATGTTTATCGGAAGAGTAATACCTTTAAAAGACTCGAGGTTCCATCTGAACTTTCGATTTTTTATGCTTTTCACCTTTTTGTCTTCAACGGAGAAGAAAGATTACTTGGATGTGCATTCTTGTTTCGAGAAGTAAAAATAAACCACAGAAGCCCTGTGTGTCCCCGCCCACAGTGTGTGTGCCAGTGAACTAATTTTTCATAATGGAAGTCATTCCTATCATCAATGGAAAACAAATAGATCATCTCAATGAAGGAAGCCATTAATTTCCCTCAAGTGTCCTGCGCTTTAGATTTGAATTAACCAGGAATCCAGGGAACATTCTTATGTTACAGTAATTCAAGCAAGACTTAACAAGGTTGTTAAGTGGACAGAGTAATCCATCTGATAGGACAAGAATCAGAATACAGATGTGAAGAAGAGAACCTGAGGAAAAAGGGGTGCAGCATACGCCCCTGGAAGCAAACTTGGACTGGCAGCCATCTCCACCTTTGGGTTCTTCTAGTACCAGCTAGCTGACACTGACAGCCTCTTCCTTAAACTCTGATTTCAAAGCAACATTCTGAAGCAAAGCACAGTCTACTTTTTTACAGCCTTATTTAAGGATCAGATGAGAATGCACAAAAATTACCTTCAAAAACAACCATTTACTACCAAACTCCTAAGCTGCATATTCTACACAGCATTTCTCACTGCTTGTAAGACAAGAAGAGGACAGGGATTCCTTTTCGGGCACCTGCCACTCCTCTGAATTTGGACACTAATTGACTCCCTTCACTCACCTCAATGTAGTTACTAAAGGTGAACAATGCAGCAACTTGTACAGAGAATTAAGTCATAATTATTACCCTTTCTTGATCCAGTTTTTCTAGTTCCCTCTGTTCCCTTTCTAAAATGTAGGTTACTCTGCCTTTTTTTCTTCTCTCTGCCTTCATTCTTTCACTTGCTGTTTCCACATTTTTTTCTTCTTCCTTTTGTTCTTCAATTTCTTTCTGATCTAGATCTAATAGAACAGAAAATAAAGAATTGCTGCCTGTATCACATTGTTCAAATGAATGCAGGACCATTCTGCAGGAGTCCTTGCCAAGATCCGGAGAGACTCTGCTGGGCTTTTGGTTGACATGTGACCTGCTTCAAGTTGCTCTTCCCTGTTCATTGACTTCAGGCCCCCAATCCCACTCCTTGCCACTGCATTCCACTTCACTTGGCTGAGATGAATACAAGTCACCCTCATCATGGCCGACTCCAACTGACATATCCTCCCTCCATGTCACAGGTTCTTGTCCTTTACACAGATCTCCTTTCTCTTCTTGAAAGCAAAGCCTACATTTCAACCTCTGCCTTTCATTATAATACCTCTCCTATCTGTATGACCCTGACTGAGCCACTGATCCCTATTTCTATACAGATCAGTTTTATAATTCTTACTCCCATAAAGATGCTCAACTCTGTTCTACTCTGAAAAACAGAACAGACATCAAACCCCTGCACTCCCCCAGCCATTCTAGCCATCTCACTGTTCATTTCCCACTTCCTCCAAATGGACAGCAGCCCTTCCTGGGGTTTTCACTATTATTCAGATAAGGATCCTTTCCATATCTTTTCCTCTATTCCTGCTCTCTTCACCTACCCTTGCATCCACAGTTCTGATAGTTTTCTACTATACACATGTGAAATCCCCACAATACCAGCTTCATCATGGGTGTGATCATTCTAGTTTTTTGTTTTGTTTTGTTTTTTTGTTTTTTGTTTTTTTTTTTTTTTGTCATGCTCTTTCCATCCTCCATCTGCCCAGCAACCAGCGCTGGCACATTCATATTCCCTGTATTTCAGCTGCAACAGGGGTCTTCCACACCATCTCCCTGAAATACTTAAACAGCCCAGTCAGGACTCTCCTTGAAGTCAGTCTGTACCTTCTAGTAACTTGTGATCATTTCTACCAGGCATTTCCTGAGGCATTTCCTGTGTATCTGCTGTGCAGTGTCTCTGCTCTGGTAGAATTCAACACCATGGTAGTATGGGCTCCAATAATCTGCCTTTATCTTTCCATATCGATTTCCTGTAACACCACCAGCTTTGTACTAGAAATATTTCATCTCTCTCAACCCACTCACTGGGGCCTGGCCATGGCTGTGTCTTCCTTGCTTGTCATTTGCCTTTACTGTATCCTCAGCCTGTATTAATCCCATGCTGTCATAAAGCCTGATATGACCTAACTGAAATGATAAAACCTAACTGAAATGTCATCTCCTCCTTATTTCTGAAGGGACAAGTAACCAAACCAGTCCAGCACCTTACTTGCACGATATCTTGCACCTGCTTCTTGAAAACCTACAGATACTTGTTTCGTCCACTTCTATTTTATCCAGGGAATGCCCATGTTTTAATAAATTGTCTCTTCCCTTTGCATCTTGGCACAGATCTCTGCATCTCACATGTTTAATTACATCTCATGCTCAGAAACAATTTTACTGACCTTTCTCTTCAAGTTCTGACACGTAACTTATTTTTTTATAAAGCTAGCAATGCTAATAACAAGAAAAATTCATAGGCTTACAGGAGGATTCTGCACCCTTTTGCTCTTCCTTATTTTAAAGTCATCAGCAGGGAGTTAGTTAGTTTCACGAATAAGAGAGAAGCAACACAATTTTTTCTCTCATTACCACCCATCTCGTCTCAATACTTCTGATGAAATTAAAATACAAAAAGGGACAATTTCTGCAGACAGAAATGCAACTTCCTCCTTGTTTAAAGAAGAAACAAAAGTTACTCTAAAGTGAGATTGCTTTCTTATGTGGAATAGTATTCTCAAAATAGCAATGTTGTTTAAGCACATTTATATTGAGAAATAAATAGGAAGAACAAACTACTTTTCTACTCTGGTGTGTATTTTGCACCTGTATGGTGGAATACAGAAATGTCTTTGGACACAAAGGCAAAGAAATAAAGTATGTTTATTGGGTACCTCATAGCAGAGACAACAAATTTCAGCCTTTTCCATATCATCTGTGCCCATGCAGAGGTGAAATGATGAATATAAAAATTTCTCAATAACAACTATGTTACTCGCTATGCTGCTTAAAAATTTTAAGGCAAATATTATAATGTACATTCTCTCTGAGAGGTAGAACACCTTGTTACTCAGTTGATTTCGTTTATTCTATCATGTTATTTTTATTCCCTTGCTTAGGCCTGTGAAAAATGGCTGCCTGTCAGAAACTCCCTCTTGTGGCCATGTCACCTATGCATCAGCTGCAACCGGTTTCTTCTGCAGTCCTGGGTAATGGCTTGCTGACCATCTGCCTCAATGTCTAGAAATCAGGAAGACAAAGGCTTGGTTTGGTTCACTGTTGTATGTTCAGCCCCAAGGAAAGTGCCCAGCAGACAGAGGCTCTAGATCAAGTCTCACTGAGTGCTTTCCAAAGCAGATTTACTCGGGAATCAGCAAAACACAATTTCTCAAAATCCCTTGCCTATTTAAGTAATTCTATGTGTTCCTCAGTGCCATGAATACACCCAAAAAACTGCTAACCAGACGTTTTGGTAATGTTTTGAAGAAGATGTATTTTCAATATTTGTGGGGAACAAAGAGGTGGCTTAACTTGAGAAATTATCTTTCATATTTGAGGATTAAACACTTTGATCCCAAAAGAAAGGATCCTGGATGTTTGCTCAGCCCTAGAACAAAAGTGCAAAGCTCCAACATCTCTCTTCCCATCTCCCTCCATCTCCAGCAAGGAAAGTTGGTAATCTTAAAGAAGGCTGGAATAAGAAAGTGGGACAGACAAGAGAAGTCTGATGGCCAGTTTTTGTATAGTGCTAAGTTAAACCAGTGTTACAGCTTTTCCAAAAATTGAAATACGAAATCTATTTCCCCAATTCCTTATTTTTTTTTACTTTTTTTTAAATATTATACTTAAATTCTACAGTACATGTGCATAATGTGCAGGTTTGTTACATATGTATACATGTGCCATGTTGGTGTGTTGCACCCATTAACTCATCATTTACATTAGGTATGTCTACTAATGCTATCCCTCCCCGCTCCCCACACCCCAAGACAGGACCTGCTGTGTGATAGTCCCCTTCCTGTGTCAAACTGTTCTCATTGTTCAAGTCACACCTACGAGTGAGAACATGTGGTGTTTGGTTTTTTGTCCTTGTGATAGTTTGCTGAGAATGATGGTTTCCAGTTTCATCCATATCCCCACAAAGACATGAACTCATCTTTTTCTATGGTTGCATAGTATTCCGTGGTGTATATATGCCACATTTCCTTAATCCAGTCTATCATTGATGGACATCTGGGTTGGTTCTAAGTCTTTGCTATTGTGAATAGTGCCGCAATAAACATACGTGTGCATATGTCTTCATAGCAGCATGATTTATAATCCTTTGCGTATATACCCAGTAATAGGGATGGCTGGGTCAAATGATATTTCTAGTTCTAGATCCTTGAGGAATTGCCACACAGTCTTCCACAATGGTTGAACTAATTTACTGTCCCACCAACAGTGTAAAATTGTTCCTATTTCTCCACATCCTCTCCAGCACCAGTTGTTTCCTGACTTTTTAATGATCACCATTCTAACTGGTGTGAGATGGTATCTCATTGTGGTTTTGCTTTGCATTTCTCTGATGGCCAGTGACGATGAGCATTTTTTTCATATATCTGATTGTTGCATAAATGTCTTCTTTTGAGAAGTTTCTGTTCATATCCTTCACCCACTTTTGGATGGGGTTGCTTGTTTTTTTTCTTGTAAATTTGTTTGGGTTCTTTGTAAATTCTGGATATTAGCCTTTGTCAGATGAATAGATTTCAAACATTTTCTCCCATTCTGTAGGTTGCCTGTTCACTCTGATGGTAGTTTCTTTTGCTGTGAAGAAGCTCTTTAGTTTAATTAGACACCATTTGTCAATTTTGGCTTTTGTTGCCATTGCTTTTGGTGTTTTAGGCATGAAGTCCTTGCTCATGCCTATGTCCTGAATGGTATTGCCTAGTTTTTCTTCCAGGGTTTTTATGATTTTAGGTCTAACATTTAAGTCTTTAATCCATCTTAAATTAATTTTTGTATAAGGGGTAAGGAAGGAATCCAGTTTCAGCTTTCTACATATGGCTAGCCAGTTTTCCCAGCACCATTTATTAAATAGGGAATCTTTTCCCCACTTCTTGTTTTTGTCAGATTTGTAAAAAATCAGATGGTTGTAGATGTGTGGTATCATTTCTCAGGGCTCTGTTCTGTTCCATTCATCTATATCTCTGTTTTGGTACCAGTACCATGCTGTTTTGGTTACTGTGGCCTTGTGGTATAGTTTGAAGTCAGGTAGCGTGATGCCTCCAGCTTTGTTCTTTTGGCTTAGGATTGACTTGGCAATGCGGGCTCTTTTTTGGTTCCATATGAACTTTAAAGTTTTTTTTTCCAATTCTGTGAAGAAAGTCCTTGGTAGCTCGATGGGGATGGCACTGAATCTATAAATTACCTTGGGCAGTATGGCCATTTTCACGGTATTGATTCTTCCTACCCATGAGCATGGAATGTTCTTCCATTTGTTTGTATCCTCTTTTATTTCATTGAACAGTGGTTTGTAGTTCTCCTTGAAGAGGTCCTTCACATCCCTTGTAAGTTGGATTCCCAGGTATTTTCTTCTCTTTGAAGCAATTGTGAATGGGAGTTCACTCATGATTTGGCTCTCTGTTTGTTATTGGTGTCTAATAATGCTTGTGATTTTTCCACATTGATTTTGTATCCTGAGACTTTGCTGAACTTGGTGATCAGCTTAAGGAGTGTGAGATGGTATCTCATTGTGGTTTTGATTTGCATTTCTCTGATGGCCAGTGATGATGAGCATTTTTTCATGTGTTTTTTGGCTGCATAAATGTCTTCTTTTGAGAAGTGTCTGTTCATGTCCTTCGCCCACTTTTTGATGGGGTTGTTTGCTTTTTTCTTGTAAATTTGTTTGAGTTCATTGTAGATTTTGGATATTAGCCCTTTGTCAGATGAGTAGGTTGCGAACATTTTCTCCCATTTTGTAGGTTGCCTGTTCACTCTGATGGTCGTTTCTTTTGCTGTGCAGAATCTCTTTAGTTTAATTAGATCCCATTTGTCAATTTTGGCTTTTGTTGCCGTTGCTTTTGGTGTTTTAGACATGAAGTCCTTGCCCATGCCTATGTCCTGATTGGTAATGCCTAGGTTTTCTTCTAGGGTTTCTATGGATTTAGGTCTAAGGTTTAAGTCTTTAATCCATCTTGAATTGATTTTTGTATAAGGTGTAAGGAAGGGATCCAGTTTCAGCTTTCTACATATGGCTAGCCAGTTTTCCCAGCACCATTTATTAAATAGGGAATCCTTTCCCCATTGCTTGTTTTTCTCAGGTTTGTCAAAGATCAGATAGTTGTAGATATGCAGTGCTATTTCTGAGGGCTGTTTTCTGTTCCATTGATCTATATCTCTGTTTTGGTAACAGTACCATGCTCTTTTGGTTACTGTAGCCTTGTAGTATAGTTTGAAGTCAGGTAGTGTGATGCCTCCAGCTTTGTTCTTTTGGCTTAGGATTGACTTGGCGATGCAGGCTCTTTTTTGGTTCCATATGAACTTTAAAGTAGTTTTTTCCAATTCTGTGAAGAAAAGCATTGGTAGCTTGATAGGGATGGCATTGAATCTCTAAATTACCTTGGGCAGTATGGCCATTTTCAGGATATTGATTCTTCCTACCCATGAGCATGAAATGTTCTTCCTTTTGTTTGTATCCTCTTTTATTTCATTGAGCAGTGGTTTGTAGTTCTCCTTGAAGAGGTCCTTCACATCCCTTGTAAGTTGGATTCCTAGGTATTTTCTTCTCTTTGAAGCAATTGTGAATGGGAGTTCACTCATGATTTGGCTCTCTGTTTGTCTGTTGTTGGTGTATAAGAATGCTTGTGACTTTTGTACATTGATTTTGTATCCTGAGACTTTGCTGAAGTTGCTTATCAGCTTAAGGAGATTTTGGGCTGAGACAGTGGGGTTTTCTAGATATACAATCATGTAGTCTACAGACAGGGACAATTTGACATCCTCTTTTCCTAATTGAATACCCTTTATTTCCTTTTTTTTTTTTTTTTTTTTTTTGAGATGGAATCTTACCCTGTAGCCCAGGCTGGAGTGCAGTGGTGTGATCCTGGCTCACTGCAAGCTCCACCTCACAGGTTCATGCCATTCTCCTGACTCAGCCTCCAGAGAAGCTGGGACTACAGGTGCCTGCCACCATGCCCGGCTAATATTTTGTATTTTTAGTAGAGATGGGGTTTCACTGTGTTAGCCAGGATAATCTCAATCTCCTGACTCATGATCTGCCCACCTCAGAAGAAATACATTCTCTAAAATCACTCATTTTAAATCTGATAAATTAATGATGTATTTATGAGCTTAGCTCAAACTCTGAAATTTGTCATGCTGAGATTTTTAAAAGTAAACAGACACAACCATAAAAAGTTTCATGATAGGAAAATGAGGTGATGCAGCTGTACTTGTAGTTTTATCACAGAATAAAAATGTTCCAATTTGTAGCTGCTTTTTTTTAATACCAATAGATATGTTTCACCAAAACTAATTTTTCTACAACTTCAACTTATAAAAACTGATACTTATGTTGAAACTTACCTTTAAAAGGTGAGTCAAATTAGTCATTGTCCTTAAAATTTAGCTTGTTGACAACTGAAAATTCACTTTTGTCTTGAAGTTCCCTCTGTCTGTGGTAAAGGCTAGATTGGAAAAATAAAATTCATGAATATGAAGTTCTAATAATGGAAAACCCAAGAGCATCAGGTGGCAAAAATCCTTCTGTTACTCAAGAAAATGCTCTGAAAAATTTCTTTTCTCTTTTTTTTGTAAAGATTACTCCACCTCACCACCATCATGAGGCACTGTTCTCAGCAATTAATACCTGCTTACTCAGTTACTCACTGTAACTATGTTATACTGTGAAGTGGGTACTACAGTTGTTAAGGAAGAATAATGTTGGACTCTGAATGCTACTCCTAGGAGTTTACTTTTTCAATAATGATAAAACATTTCCAAAACAATTTCTGCATATAATCAGCATGAGCCAGATGAGGAGGCATTAGCAAAAAATTGAGTGAACAGAGTGCCCTACTTAGCATATGTGTGTGTCTTATCCTTCCTTTTCGCTTATCACAAGTACAAAAAAAAAAATAACCTGGCCATGTGTGGTGGATCATGCCTGTAATCCTAGCACTTTAGAAGGCTGAGGCTTGCAGATTACTTGGTCAGGAGCTTGAGACCATCCTGGCCAACATGGTGAAAACCCGTCTCTACTAAAAATATAAAAATTAGGTGGAGCCAAGATGGCCAAATAGGAACAGTTCCAGTCTACAGCTCCCAGCAAGAGCGATGCAGAAGATGGCTGATTTCTGCATTTCCAACTGAGGTACCGGGTTCATCTCACTGTGGAGTGTTGGAAGGTGGGTGCAGGACAGTGGATGCAGCATAGTGAGCATGACCCAAAGCAGGGTGTGGCATCACCTCACCTGGGAA